>NC_000012.12:125286016-125587640 GCF_000001405.40 Homo sapiens | reverse complement strand
AAAAGGGAGTGGTGGAGACTACAGTGAGCTGGAGGGCACAGGTTTTATGCAGAGGAGCATCCTCTCTTCAACTCCAGACGAGGTTCACAGGAAATCATGGAGACCCAGGACCACCTGGTCCTGTGATTTTTCATAAGAAACTGTAAATCCAGATTTCTGTGCGAACTTGCCAATTTTTACATGGGGGCAACAAATTAAGTAACAATTTTTAAACTATGCAGACCCTCCCCGCACCCCCCACACACTTCTGGGTCAGATCTGGTCTGCAGACTGCCTGCCTGTGACCTCTGCTCTGAGGCACACACCCATTCATGCTAATAAAAATCAACCTGTAGCAGCCTTATCAAACAGTTGACTCACTGGATCCCAATACTGATAAAAACGCTAAGGCTTCTTGTGTGTGTGCGCACACACACACACACACACACACACAATCCTCTACTTGTTTTTTTTTTTTTTAACCTAAAAGTACAGCAGTCTCCCAGTCTCCTCCCATCCATGGGTAATATAGTCTAAGACCCCCAGTGGATGCCTGAAACCACAGATAGAACTGAATCAGACTGTCATCCAGCAGAACAAGTTTCTGTTCATGTCTTTCACCTAAATTTAATGTCTTTTCACATCTTAATGAAGAATTTATCACACACTGTGGCCTTAACTTTTGTATTTGAGATGTGACAGCAAAACTACGATGAATGTTTTTTCCTTCATCACGATTTCATGGATAGACGATTCGCTCTGACTGTAGATCTTAGTAACTCCAGCATATGATCTTTTTCCTTCCTTATTAAGTCAAGAACTCTCACCTTTTCACTTAAAAGAAGCACTTTATGACTTCTTGTTGGTCTAGCCGAATTGCCAGCATCACTACTCTTATACTTTGGGGTCATTTGTAAATAACATAAGGGTGACTTGAACACAAGCACTGTGATACCGCGACAGTCTATTTGATCACCCAGGCAGCTACTAAATGACTCAGAGGTGGGTGGTATCTACAGCATGGATATGCCAGACAAAGTCATGAGTTACAACCCAGGTGGGATGGAGCAGGAAGACTCAAGATTTCTTCACGATACTCAGAACAGTACACAATTTAAAACATGAATTGCTTCTTTCTGAAAATTTTCATTTAACGTTTTTGGACTGTGATTGACCACAGTGAAATGAAACCACGGAAAGTGAAACCACAGATAAGGAAGGACTACTATAGTTGTCAACTTGAAATTTTACATTTATCTCTTTTAATCTTGCCAGATTAGGCCAAGGTTCCAGCTTTTCAAAATCATGTATGTCCTCTGATTCTGTCCCGCAAAAGTCATACAATCACAGGCCAAACAAGTTCATTTGTTTGGATATTACCATAACTTACATCTTTCTAAATTCACATTTTTCCCTTATCTAACTCATGGTTCCAAGGCACAAAGATCTTTGGTGAGCCCTGCAAGACTCTCCCTAAAAATCATTCAGTGTTTTCTGTACTCTGAAGTATGACTGTGTGACAACTCCACAGACTCAGAGGATCTCTCCAAAGGGTGCTAATGAATGTGCCATGTATTTGAGGATGTCCCTGGGATGATGCCAAGGTCATAGCTCTGTGGACAACTCCATTCAACTTGGAGTTATAGTAAAATTTACTACAAACATTGACACTGAAGCCATAGTAAATGCATCACAGCCATTTAATTAAATCGCCTCAATTGACACAAGCCCCCAAACTTGCAACAGTCCTGGAATCCCCTTAAAAAGTGTGAATACAGCTCTGAGCTTGCGATCTGCAGGTTTCACTTTGTTCCTCTGAAGACTGGGCAATAATTTGTTAGACGAATCCCCATCCTCCTGAGGCTATATAGGTGACAGCTGAGCAAAAAGGTATCATCTTCCAAAACAACGTCTATGAGGATGAGCAGAGGATACTTTTAGTACATTTGTGTGGAGTGGAGAAAACCAGGTATATGGCAATAACGGGATCTGTGAACTTGGACCTGCCCCTCTAGAGTAGAGCTCTTCAGGGCAAGAGAAGGAGGATTCCACCCCATGGGGCTTCATAGCAGGCTCTTAGGTCAGAACAAAAGGCTTAGGAAACTACAGACTGAATCATTTGTTTGAGCCCATTATGACGTAAGCATACAGATACCATCTCTTATCAGTGTCTCCTTTCTAGAATGACATGGGAATAGTAAAAATAGTGTAAAACTTGCGCATTGTCAATAGCAACCAACAGCAGTTCATCATCCATATTTGTCATTGGTGCATATAATCTCCTGTGACTTGGCTCAGCTCTTTCTAAACTCTGAATATTTAAGGCCATATATTTAATCAAACCTGCCTACAGAATACAAGGACCACCAGGAACCCCAGGCAGGGCTATGTGTGCAGGTTTTAAGCCAGTCCACCTTCCATATCTAAGGACGATGAGCATTCCATGTCCAGGAAAGAGTCTATGCCAAACTTGAGTTTCCTAGGAATTAATTTCTTTGTTAATTAGACCTCACGAATACATCAGTCTTTTTTTCCGAAACTGTCTCTTGCTTAAGACACAGCATCCTGTAGGTCACAACAAGAAGAAATCAACCCCTCCCAGACCTTTTCTACTATAGGGAAACCCCTAAAGGTTTTCCTGTCTACCACGAAGTTTTCAATACTGAGACCAAGTTTCATGTAACCTCTAAACAAGAGCTTGTAGAATGTGAGGAAGGGCAGAACTCTGAGTTATTGTATTTTTCTAAAATAGCTGAATAGATTGGACTTTGGGGCTCTCTTAATAATTTAAAGGAGGAAGGATCAGTCATTCTAAAAATTCAAATCCTTTCTCCCTGAGGTCTCTGCTGCAAAAGCAATAGCAACCAATGTGCTAAGAAAAAATAGGCAGAAATATTAAATTTGGTGGTTCAAAAAGACCCCTTCAGAGAGCATGAAAAAAATATTTTCTGGTTCCTAGCAGAATTTGGAGTCAGAAACATAGCTAATTTGAGTGAAGAATCTAGCAGAAATGTCCCATTTCCTAAACTGTATCCCACTGGTTATATTCAAGTTCAGTTAGGTGGCACATGGGTGAACTTAATTTTATTTGAATAGTTATTTATTTTAATGCATATTAACAAAAAATGTAATACACCAAGCTCACGGACTTTATTGTCTTATAATGAAGCTAAATTAGTTTTTAAGTTTGAAAAAGTAATGCATTTATTAGCACCACACTCTAACCCACTGAGCTAACTGGCTACCCGAAAGAAGCAAGGCATTTAAAGAAAATATATTGAGTAAATAATATTATTAGGCACAGTGAGTTTGCAAAAAATGAGAAGGTCTTATTTGGATTGCTAAAGTTAGGAAAATATTGTCTTACGAGGAAAGATAGAGAGAAGAATAGGGGAGACAAGAAGGGGAGGAGAATAAATTCTTTCTGCTGGAGATTAAGGGTCAGGGATTCCCCTTTCCAGGGAGAGGGAAGCAGCATCACCTGCTGCAGCCGCCTGCTGATTCCAGGGAGTCTCTGCGGTCAGCTGTTTCCTCCTTCGTGAGGTCATTCTGGCCTCCAGCCCTTTAGAGCATGGGATGCTCAGTGAGAACAAGACCTTGGAGACAAAAGAAGGAACGACAAAAAGCTCTGAGCACTTAGGACAGCTGTAGATAAATCCCCCCTTACCTTAATGACATCTTCATCGGCAGACTTGCATTCCACAGACTCAGACACATCGACCACAGAACCATCCTCCTGGACCCCCACGACTTTGACAGGAACTGAAACAGGCTTTCCAGTGAGAATGGCAGTGTTCAAAACCTCGGTGTCCTAAACAGGAGAGGAGAGGGCTCAGATCAGCAAACGTGCATACCACAGGGGCGAGCAGGAGAGGGGTGTCCACCAAGCTCCCTACTGCCTTCATTCTCGTTCTGCGATTTAGACAGTTGTCTGAAGGGACAAAGCCACAAAGCTCACACAAAATGGAAGTTTCCAATCGGTGTTTCATCCCAGACTGAGATAATCAAACCTGATGGTTGGTTGGAATGTCTTCCCAGTCCCCAGGTGCAGGGTCATTCTCCCTCTCCCTGACCTCCTCTCCCTTACTCCATCCCCGCCGCCCTCAGTCCCACAGACTCACACATAGCACACGAGTTCCTTTCAGTATTTTTCAAATCTCGGCTCAAGGATCATTTGGGAAGTGAATGCCTATATTCTGGGCTTATTAACATAGTGAACATAGACTTCATTGTGATTTTAAACTAGGAAAGACAACAGCAGAAACAACAGAAGAGCACAAGTTGAACATTACGAACCTCTACACACCCAAGCTGACTGCCACACCCCACCTCCCCGACACCTCCAGAATCTCCAGAGATCTCCCTCCAAACCCAGGTATTTTTAAATGCTGACATGTGCGTTTCTCACTTCTTCTGTTGATTGATCCCCTCAGAGTTCTGTAGGTTCTAATATATGTTCATAGTTTATCTCAGTCTGTCAAATATTTGCCATCCCCACTGCCAACTTCCCTACTCAAGCCATCTTCTCTCAGCTGGACAACCACAATGCCCTCCCCAACTGGTTTCCCTGTGTTCATTCTCTTTACAACAAAATTATCTTTTTGTTTCAATATAATGCAGATTATTTCTTTCCTAGATTATAACTCTTTGAAAGTGTCCTGCTATTCTTAAGATAAAATCCAAACTCATGGACATGGAATGATCTGACCTTCTCACCTTTTACTCTCTCTCCTGCTCCTGTCTTTCTGTCCCTCACCACAGTTGAGCCCATTTACATCCCATCAACAGCATCTACCACAGGGTACTTCCCCTGTACCTGGGTTCTCTGATCTGGAAAACGGGGATAATAAAAACAGCTCCTGTATGGGGACCTTATGAAAATTTAATAAATCAATCAATGTACAAAGCTTAGAACAGAACTGGTACATAATGGGCAACAAGCATGCAATAAATCCAGCTGTTACAGTAAGTTCTCTACAGTATTTGCTCCATGAGTGAATTAAAGAACCACTGAGTAGATTCACAAGGGGACTGTGGCAGAGATGCCACTTCGCACTTGCCTGAAGAGAAAGAGAGTCAACCAGAGAAGATGGTAGACACCTGGGCAACACAGCCCAGCAATGAGAGTTCACCAAACATTCCATAATTGGCCTCACTAGAATGATCCAACTAGATAATTATTTCAGTGTCTCCCAGACTGTATCAGTGAGATCATTACTTGAGTATTGCTTTCACATTTGGAGTCCCTAACCTTAGCTCAGGCACTATGTGGATTCTATAGTCGGCCCCGCACTCTCTATTCCAAACTTGATTGTGAAGGCTTAATAGAGTAAGAGATGGAGTCAACCTTTAATAATAATAATAATAATAATAATAATAATAATAATAATTGCTAAAACTTAGCTATTATGTATGGAACAGGAAATGTTCTATGTGTTTTATATGTCATTACATCCTCATTCAGTTTTCTCAGCTCTCCCAAGGTAGTTACGGATATTATTCCCATTTTATAGATGATTTATTTTTTGTTGATATTAAACCTGCAAATAATAGCTACTTGTTAACAGAAAACATCAACTTTGTAATGAATACCTAAAAACAATAACAACCCAATCTAAGAAATGTGAAAAATTAAGTTTGTTTTTTACATGTGTCCCCTATTCTGGATGAAATTTTAAAGAGATAAATCCAAAAGAACAGAACTGTACTCCATGTTCCTGAGCACTCCCCTCTGCCCGGGGAGCTTAATTCTGTGCACACTTACATATATTTATATTAAAGCACATAGGACTGGAAGCACTGTGGAAGTTGAGATGAGAACTCACCTAGGTGGGGTAATGATATGGAAGTGGGAGTAATCTCATGAATACAAGGAACAGAGATTGTATCATAGTCCCAGAACAAACTGCTAAGTTCAACTCAATCATGCAGCTGAAAAAAAAAAAAATCAGTACAGGTATTTTTTGTGTGTGGTGGGCAGGCATTGATTTTGTCTAATGAGCATCCCTCTTCCTTCCTCTTTAGTGACAATGTTTCATTTTTTTTCTCTCTGTATCACCCGATTCCTGCCATCAGTGAATGTGGACTGGGTGGCGCTGATCCCAGAACACCCAGTCAGACTTCGCAGAAAAGCACATGACCAAAATACAGTCAATCCAGGTATTCCAGCCCTTGGCCCACAAAGACAGATTCAAGTGAAGCCCAAACAAAGAAAATCAGACAAGAGTAGGAGCTAGAAATATTCCTGGGAAAGATTTCCAGGTTCCTGAATCCAACTATACCTGAAGTCTGTTATCTTTGGAAATGTAGGTATACAAAATTAACTGTTTTACTAAAGTTAGTTTGAGTTGGGTTGTCAGTTGCAACTAAAATTCTTAACACATGAGGACAAGTAACAGGCTAGACACTAGGGAAAGAGAAAAGGTTAAACATCAATCTCCACCTTGTAGAAGCTCACAGCCTTCAAAGAAGACATTACAATATATTTCCCAAACTGAGTTTCAAGAAAGGTGACTTTAATTTTTATAATAAATCATAACTGATGCAAACTTATGATTCTATTACACATAACTTTGCAACCATGTTTCCTCCTTCAGCTTTTTCATGGGTAGCTGAGATTTTCATACCTTTTTTATCCTGTTTCCATCAACAGTCTCTCAAAAATCCCAAAGGCAATTCCTACTTACCTAGCACAATGAGAAAGCAATTTAGCATGGTAAATATTACATTGAAATCGTCCCCTGATCCCAGAGATGCTAAAAATTCCTAACCTATCAAAAAACAAAGTATTTTATTCTGCTCTTATTTGTGTGAGTTCTAGGTTTCATGCCTTGAAGCATATTTATAGTCCTTTATGACTATGTGCTTCCATTAATGTTGCACGTTAGGGTGATGTCAGTGAAAATGGCAGTCAAAACATCAGAAAATTCCCTTCTCCTGTCAAGATCAACTTTTTTAACTCTGGAAATAAACCAAAGGTTTATAGGCAACCAGGAGATCATTTATTCAAGAAAAAATGGCTAATTATTGGTAAAAACAGAACTTTGTGCCATTTTAACCTGACCTGCTTAAATCTCACACTTTCTAGTGCTGTAGTATCTTTAAAAAATAACAGCCTACATTGACAGTAAAAACCAGCAGTCTAGAAGCCACTGGAGGGGTCAGGTCAGGGCTGGAGATCTTTCAAAACCTCATTCCCAAATAATAGTCATTTATCGACTTGTCTAATGGTTCCCTGAAAAAACCCACTTGCAAGGTTGTCGGTATTTGGCTTCACTCTCAGTTCACCCAGTATGGAAAGCTCTTTCCCTAGAGATACTTGCCAGGCAACTGTTTGACTTTTAGCTGCCTGAAGCAGTGGATAACAGTTTAATCAAAAAGCTTCAAAGGAAAAGATGAAGAATGAGATGTCCATAGGGTCTTTGAAAGGCTATGACATATTCCTGGGAATCTATAAGATCATAATCATACTTAGGGCTGTGTGCATGCCTAGAGCTGTGCTCATACACAGGAAAGATCAGAGAATAGACCTAAGCTTTCACCTCTGGTTGATTTTGAGGCTCTGTGGAAGAAGGAAGTGAAAGCTAAGGCAGGTGTCAGGTATTTAAAGAAAACTCTGCCTAATCATTGGCTGACCACCAAGCTAACCAAGCAGAGACTTTATAGACTTTACAGAATTAGTTTATAAAAGTCACTAAGCAATCAACAGCTACTACAACAAACAACAAAAACAAACTTGGGGAGGGAAGGAGAATCTGATTCCAAGAGTTGCCACATTATATTATTTTAAATGTCCAGCTTTGAAAAAAAACTTATGAGACATGCAAAAAAGCAAGAAAATATGGTCCATACACAGGACAAAAAGCAATCAAGCAAATTTTCCCTGAGAAAGCTAAGGTATTGGACCTACTACACAAAGATGACAATTATTTTTAATTAAATGTTTTGAATATATTCAAAGAAATAAAATCACATCTAAAGTACTAAAAGAAAGTATGAAAGGCCAGGTGCAGTGGCTCACACCTGTAATCCCAGCACTTTTGGAGGCTGACACAGGTAGATCATGAGGTCAGGAGTTTGAGACCAGCCTGGCCAACATGGTGTAACCCCACCTTTACTAAAAATATAAAAAATTAGCCAGGTGTGGTGCCACCACACCTGTAATCCCAGCTACTTCGGAGGCTAAGGCAGGAGAATTGCTTGAACCCAGGAGGCAGAGATTGCAGTGAGCCGAGATCATGCTATTGCACTCCAGCCTGGGCCACAGAGCGAGACTCTATCTCAAAGAAAAAAAAAAAAGCAAGTATGAGAAAGCTGTCTCACCAAAGAGAGAATATCAATAGATATAAATTATTTTCTTAAATAATCAATTAGAAATTCTAAAGTTGAAAAGTGCAATAGCCGAAATGGAAAATTCACTCATGGGGCTCAACAGCAGATTTGAGCAGACAGAAAAAAAGAATCAGTGAATATAAAGATAGGCTAATTAAAATTAAAATGAGAGGAGTATAAAGAAAATAGAATGAACAAAAATAGTATAAATACAGCATCAGAGATTTCTGTGATGCCATCAAGCATACCAGCATAAGCACAATTGCAGTCCCAGAAGAAAAGGAGGCAGAGAAAAAGGAAGAAACAATATTTGAGTAATTAATGGCAAAGGTGTCCCAGATTTTATTAAAAACATTAATCTGCACGTCCAAGAGTTCAGCGAACTCAAAATAGAATAAACTCAGAGAGATCCGCACCTAGATACATCATAATCAAACTGTCAAATACCAAAATACCATATAATATTGAAAACAGCAAGACAAAAATACCTCATTATATACAAGCAATCTTCAATAAGACTAAGACCTGTTGTATTATCAGAAACTGGAGGCAAAAAGGTAGAAGGATGACACATTCAATGTGGTGGAAGAAAAAAGACTGTCAACCAAGAATTTTATATCCAGAAAACCTGTCTTTCAAAATAAAATGAAGAAATTGTCACAAACCAAGAAAAACAGAAAGTGAGAGAGTTCTTCACTAACAGACTCATCTTCCAAGAAATACCAAAAGAAGACCTCTAGGCTCAAATGAAGGGACACTAGACAGTAACTTAATTACACATGAAGGTATAGAGAGCACCAGTAAATGTAACTACATTGATAAATACAAAAGACAGTACAAACATATTTTTGTTTGGGACATTACATTTCTTCTATCTTATTTAAAGGAGAACTGCATAAAGGAATAATTATAGATGTTTGTTCATGGACACACATCTTGCAGAAAGATGCAATTTGTATGACAAAAACAGACACAAAGATGAATGTTGTATAAAATGAGTCAATCAACAAGAAAATATAACAATTATAAAACAGATGCACCTAACAACAAATCCCCAAAATACATGAGGTCAAAACTGACACAGTTGAAGGAAGAAATAAAAAATCCAACAATAAGAGTTGGAGACTTCAATGTTCCACTTTCAGTAATTAACAGAACAACTAGTCATAAGATCAACAAGGAAAAGGAAGACTTTAACAATACTATAAAGAAACAAGACATAACAGACATCTATAGAACACAGTAGCCAGCAACAGCAGAATACACATTGTTACTGCATTTACATGGAGCATTCTCTAGGACATACCACAGGTCAGGCCATTAAACAAGTCTCAACAAATTTGAAAGGACTGAAATTGTACAAAGTAAATTACCTGATATCAATAGAATGAAATTAGAAAAGGATAGGGTGGAAATTAAGAATATCTGTAAACATTCGGAAATTAAACAATCCTCTTTTAAACAACCAATGTTTCAAAAAATAAATCACAAGAGAAATCAGAAAATACTATGAGATGAGTAAAAATGAAAACACAACATGCCAAAACTTATGAGATGTATTAAAAGTAGTATCTAGAGGGAAATGTATAGCAGTAAATGCCTATATGGGAAAATTTAAATATCTCAAATTAATAACCTAGCCTTCTACCTTAGAGAACTAGAGAAAAAAGAGCAAACTAAACCTAGAACAAGAGCAAGGAAGACAATAATAATAGAGTAGAAAAAATGTTAAGTATAGTTTAATAATAATATAAATATTATATCACATTATTTATATTAAATATTGGTATTTACTATTAAATAATGTTATGTTGAATATTATTAGATATTATATTTCATAATATTTATACATTAATACAAAATAATAAATGACATATAATACAGAAAACCAATGCAATGAAACCAAAAGTAAGTTACTTGGAAAAATTTTAAAGCTGACAAAACTTTAGCCAGACTGATGAGTGGAGCAGTGCAGAGGAGATTCAGATTTCTAAAATAAGGAATTAAAAAGGGGCTCAGTCTTACAGGAAAAAAAATTATAGAGGAATACTAGAGCATATGCCAAAAACTAGATGACCTAGATGAAAAGAGCAAATTCATAAAAAGACAAAAACTACCAAAACTGGCTCAAGAGGAAATTGGAATTTCAATATCTATAACTGATAAAGAGATTGAACTAATAATTTAAAAATAAACTTTCCACAAAGAAAAGCTCAGGACCAGATGGCTTCATTAATAAAGTCTAACAAAAGATTGAAGAAAGAGTAATATTAATTTTTAGAAATTCTTCACAAAATTAGAAGATGAAACAGTTCCCAGCTAATTCTATGAGGCCAGTATTACCCTAATTTAAAAAAAAAAAAAGAAAGGCATCACAGGAAAAGAAAACTACAGGCCAATATCCCTAATGATTATAGATGCCAACCCCACCCCCCTGCCACACACACACGCAAAATACTAGCAAACAAATGCAAGCAACATTTTTTTAAAGGACTAAACACCATAACAAGTGGGAATTATCCCAGGGATGCAGGATTGGTTCAACATATGAAAATTAATCAATGTAATATACCTTAATTATAGAACAAAGGACCAAAATGTATGTCTGGATCATCTCAAGACATGTGAAAAAAAGCATTTGACAAAATCCAACACCTTTTAATGATAAAACTACTCAATAAATTAGGAATTGATGGGAACTTCCTCAACATAATAAAGGCCATCTATGGAGAACATACAGCTAATATCACAGTGGTAAAAGACTGTAAGCTTTCTTAAGATCAGGAACGAGACAAAGATGACTCTCACCACTTCTATCCAGTGTTGTACTGGAGGTTCTAGCCAAGGTAATTGGGGCGGGGTGGGGGGGATTAATTGAAATGAATCCAAACTGGAAATGAAGAAGTAAAACTATACCTATTTGCAGATGACATGATCCCATACCTAGAAAATTCCAGAAATCCACAAGCAAACCATTAAAGCTAATAAAGGAGTTCAGCAAATTTCAGGATACAAGATGAAAATCTAAAACTCAATTTTATCTGTAATGAACAATACATAAATGAAATTAAGAAACTAATTATCTTTATAACAGCATCGAAATTAATACATTACTTGGAAATAAGTTTAATGAAAGTAGTTGGTTAAACTTAAATGTCTCACAAAGTATTGTTGAAAAAATTTTAAAAATACCTAAATAAATAAATAAAATGTATCCTACGTTCATAGATTGGAAAACTTAATATTGTTAAGATGTCAACACTCCCCAAATAAATATATAGATTCAATGTAATTGCTATCAAAATTCCAGCTGCCTTTTTTCCAGAAGTACACAAGCTAGTGTTAAAATTCATATGGAGATGAAAGAGGCAGAATAGCCATAGCAATCTGGATAAATAACAGTTGGAAGGCTCACACTTCCTGATTAGAATTGACTTTCCAGAAATAAATTCTCTCATTTTCAGCAGATTGATTTTCAACAAGGATTTCAAGATAATTCAATGGTGAAAGAATAGTTTTTTCAACAAATGATGCTGGGATAACCGGATATCCACATAAAAAAGAACAAAGTTGGGTCCATACCTCACACCACATTCAAAATTTAATTCAAAATATATCAAAGACATAAATTTAAGCACTCAAACCATTAAACTCTTTAAAGAAAACTTAGGTATAAATCTTCATGACTTCAGACTCAGCAAATATTGCTTAGATATGACACCTAAAGCACAACCAACAAAGAAAAATAGATAAATTGTACTTTATAGAAATTAAAAACATTTGTGCTTCAAGGGATACCACCAAGAAAGTAAAAGGACAATCCACAAATGGGAGAAAATATTTGCAAATAATATATTTGATAAGGGTCTAATGTTTGGAATATATGCAGAAGTATTATACCACACAAAATAGACAAATACCCAAATTAAAAATGAGGGGATAGGATTTGAATAGACATTTTCCAAAAGAAGATATATTAATACAAGTGGCCAATAAACACATGAAAAGATGCTCAACTTCATTAAGGAAATGTAAACCAAAAAGAGATACCACTTCACACTGACTAGGACAACTTTAAATAAAAAGACATAAAATAACAAGTGTTGACTGGCAAGAATGTGTGGAAATTGGAACTCTCATACATTGTCTGTGGGGTGTAAAATTGTGTGACTGCTGTGGAAAAGTTTGGTGCTTCCTCAAAAGGTTAAACAGAGAATTACCATATGACCTAGCAATTCTACTCCTGAATATATATATATATATATATATATATGACAGCTAATAGGTTTGGGATTTCATTGGAGGAGTGATGGAAATATTCTAGAATTAGTGTTGATGGTTGCCAACCCTTGTGGATCAACTGAAAGCCACTGCATAGTGAAAACAAACAAACAAAAGATTCCATGTTATTCTGAATAGTGAGGTAATGCCATATGTCCTGGCATTTCATGTGTTGGGAACATCAGTACAGATATCAGTAGAAAGGCTCATACCACTCCTCAATGTCAGTGATGATTCAGTGTTTTGTGAAAGATGGACAACAATTTTGCCAATGAGAAAAAATTTGGCAGAATATAAACTCCAAGAAGTAGATATAATACAGGGCATCTTCAACACCCTTTTTGACCCGCTGAAGTTTTACCAGGGTGAGCAACAGCCTCATACTCTATGTCCATGAGAAGGATTCTTACATCAGCGAGTGAGCAGCCCTAAATATTGACAGTCTCTCCTTTCCTCTTCTTGTTTCTCAAATGGTCACGATTCCTTACGTGACAATAGTTCTGTTAGCTTCTAATCCGTAGAGTCAGTTGAATCTTAGGGATATCTTAGATCTAGAAAGAACTGAAGAACACATTGCCTTAAAGTACCTTGTTTTACAAAGGAAAGATAGCAGCAACTCCTTCCACGTTGGGAATCTGAAACCCCATTGGACGAGGTGAACTACCCACAGAAAATACAAAGGCAAAAGAGAACATCACAATCTGGTACCACATTTGAGAGAAAAGAATAATAATAGCTCTCATACAAGAGAGCATCTGCTATGTGCTCGGGATTGTGACAAGGGCTTCATATTAATTAATGAGGTTGCTTCTATTATTACTTTCACTTTACAGAGAAGAATGTAGGAAATAAGGAATCTCTGATTGATTTAAAAAAAAAAAAACTGACTGCTCAGTAACTCCACCTATGGGTATCTTTACTGAGAGAGATGCCCAAACAAGGTCATCAGTTCATGAAGGATATTCATCAAAGCATTGTTTCTAATAGGAAAAGATAAAAACTATCTAAATATCCATTAGTTAGGAAATGGCCCAATGAACTTGGTACAGGTCCACAGTATAAAATATTATGTAACAGATAACGTGATGAATTGGACCCTATATTGGTTAAAAAGAAGTTGGAGTACTTCCATTTTCTTAGCTATAAAAAATTTTTTTTCCAAAGAATTCATAAGGATGGCATTAAATAAATAAAATTTCCTCACAAGCACTCTTTTTGAGCACACAGTTTGATTGTATTTTACTGTCCATTTGAATTTGCCAATGAAACACAGGTGGAATTATGTGCTCATTTGAATCAGAAGCTCTAAGAACACAAGACTTCACACTCTCCCTTTCTATGCCATGGTGATGGTGGCTGCTCCATCATCCTGGCTCCCAAAGTGACCCAGAGCAAAATTCTCCAACTGATCTGTGTCAGACAGGCAGTGTGAGCACAAATAAACCTCTGTTGCTTTAAGCTATTAAAATTTAGGAGTCACAAGTAACTTTCGGCACATTATTTTGACTATGTACTCTCAGGCTAAAGATAAAAATAACTGTAAACACAGATTGAATTCTAGTTAGGTTTGTTTTCCACAGCAGTATGGGTTAGCAATTCTAAAACTGCTTTAGTATTCTAGGATTGAGCAAACAATATGTGTTGGGTAATGAGAGCCAGGATTCTCACTGCTAGAAAATTGAGTTTAAAAATGGAAAGGAGAAGGAGTTAGAGTGAACTCTGCAATCATGAACTGGGATGGGAAGTACCATCACAAAATCACAGGAGCAGGGACATACATGTGTCTACCTATGTATAACGTAGGTGTGTATATATGTACACATGTATATAGTTTTTTCCTAGTTCTGTTCACTGAGAGGGCTTAGATATAACACCCCTTTAGCAATCAGCACACCTAGTACCCAGAATGGAGCTCTAAAAACCAGTCTCCAATAAAAGAAAACAGAGCTCCTTAGAGAAATGGCTGATTTAAGTGCCAAGACAAAGAAAGTACAAGAACATGAGCCTGATATATCCTGTAGAGGCAGAAAGTAACAAAGTGCTCAAAAAAAATGTCAAAAGGACACAAGAGGCAGAGTGAAGGGGCACCCACTTCCAGTTTGGGACAATTTTAGCATCACAGTAAATAATCACAGTAGTCAATTATAATCTGTAGAATAAAATAAGCTTCTGAGTCCATATTGTCATAAACAAACAGTGAAGAAAGGAAGATTGATTCTTAGAGTAGAATTCCAGCTAATAAATATCAAAAGGAATGATGAAGCTAGAATATCACCACCTGGCAATCACTATTTATTACTATAATTGTTTCAGGCAAGAATCATTAATGGGCTCTACTACTGATTGAAAGGATGATAAGAAACAGGACATTTTCATAGTGCCAAAGTATCTCTGTGAAAGAAACATTAACTTCAAAGGGAAAACAGTAACTTTATGGTGTCTAAACCTAGCATATACCACCTGTCTTGGTCCATTTTGTGCTGCTATAACAGAATGCCACAGACTGGGTAATTTATAAAGAACAAAATTTTTTCCTCACTGTGATAGAAGCTGGGAAGTCTAAGATCAAGGCATCAGCATCTGGTGAGGGCTGCCCTCTGCTTCCAAGATGGTGCCTTGAACGGCGTAGCCTCTGGAGAGGATTGCAGAAGGCAGAGGGCAAAAAGGAATGAACTTCTTGGTCAATCCCTTTTATAACAGCATTAATTCATCCATGAGGGCAGAGCCCTAATGACATAAACACCTCCCAAAAGGCTTCAGCTCCCAGTGCTGTTGCATTCAGGATTAAGTTTCCAACGCATGGATTTTGGGAGACACACACAGACCATAGCACCCTGTTTTCCATGTGATCAAAGACAACATCACTAGCAATGGGATAAATATGCATTGTATGTCCTGAAAAGGAGATAGCATCACTTCTGGACTGTTTTCGACAAAAATCATGTAAACTGAATCTAATAATAAGGAAATATCAGACAAAACCCAATATGGCACATTTTGTCCATTTCAAATATGTCACAGCCTAAAAGACAAAGACTAGGAAACTGTTCCAGATTAAAGGACACAACAAATGCAATGTGTGATCCTGAATTGAATCCTCAAACAGAAAAATGTATTTTTCTTTTGCTATAAAGGATATTAGTGCAATAATAGATAAAATTTGAATATGGTCTGGGAACAAGATAACACTTTGCATTGACATTCATTTCCTGATACTGACATTTCACTCTACTTACGTAAGAGTTTTGAGGAAATTTACACAAACCTATTTACAGAAAAAGGATCATCATGTGTGTAACTTACTCTCAAGCAGTTCATTAAAATAACAACAATGTGTCTTTGTGTTGAAAGAGAGAATATGCACATTTGGGGGATTTTAGTGAAGGTATTTGGGAAACACATTTGTTCAGACTCAAAGATATAACCAAGAGAACAGGCAACAGAGATGAATCAATAAATAAATGCATAAAGATGCAGGATGTGGTAAGTGCCTAACAAACATAATTAGTGACAACTAATTTTTCTTAAACACTTAGATAAGTTCCAGGCACTGTGCCAAGTTATTTACATGCATTATTTGTTAATAATAATGCATATTTATAACAATAAACTACAATAGGTATCAACATTTGATAACCAACAAAGTGCCCAACAACAGTGCCTGGTATATTGTAAGTACCTGATAAACACTAACTGGTCTTATTAACATCTTATTTAATCCTCAAGCATCCCTACTGAAGCATTACTATTTTTATCCTCATTTTACAAATGAGGGAACTGAAGCTGAAAGATTCCATGATTTGGCCAGAATCACTCCGCTGCTAAGCTGCAGAGCCAGGATGGGAGCAAAAACATTTGACACCAGAGTCCCCGATCCCGGCTGCTGCGCTGGGTCTCCTCTCAGCTCCTCACTTGGAAAACAAACCTAACAATCGCATTTCTTTTCCCAGCTCAAAAGAAAGCTTTCAGCCTAAAAGATAGCTTTATACAGATTTTTTAATTTGAAATGTTTAAAAATATATTTTATAGATACAAAACTTAGTTTTTAGTAGAAACAGCTAAGTAGCCACAAAGGCCCAAGTCACAACCACGTGTGACTTCCAGTGTGTTCCACTCCAGCTGCTCTTCCAGCCTGTGAGGTTCTGGCCCACAACCCCAAGGCCTGGCCACCTACACTCTTTGATCCCTAGCACAGAAATGTCAGCCTCTGAGTAGGAATCTAATTCTGACCACATTGGGCCCTCAGACACCTTGACTTCTGATTTTTAAAATCGCAAGGCAGATGTAAATTTCACTCAGAGATAAGCAAGGATGTTGGCTCCAATTTAAATACTGATTTTTCAATCCCACTGTTGTGTATTATATAACGCTGAAATCAGCCAGCTCCCCCAACTTGATGGCTATTTTTAGACTCGGATCATTTATTATCTACGAGGCAGAAAGTGATTTCAAAATTCAGCTCTTTCTGAGTCTCTGAATAACACAAAGAAAATTATTTCAAATAGGATAGCACTCAGAGACAGAGCAATAAAATGTGACTCTGTTAAGGACCGACCTGTGTCTCCCAGGTGGTGACAACAGATGGAAGAAGCAAAGGCTGTTGGGGATGAGCTTTATCCAGTGCCCAGGTAAGTTCATTAACCAGTAACTAAGAGCAGTGAGGTGGTAAGTGCTGCTTAACTGACACGATTGAGGGTCACTCACAGGGAAGATGGTCATGCAGTAGGCCTTACAGGCAAGTTTACCTCACAGGGAAGGAGGAACAACAGTTCCTCCACTGCTGAAACAACAGACTACAAATACGTAAGGCCCTACAGCTCTCAGTACATATGGAGGTTCTACAAGAAATGGAAACTCAACCCATTAAAGTCACTAGACTGCAAACTTCTTGGGGACAAGGACCAGGTTTCTTTTTTCCCATTGGCTCGCATACTGCCCGGGGTGGAGTAGGATCTCAAACGTAGCCGAATGCAGGTAAAACCATTCAATAGTGACATAAGGAGCATCTTCTGGAAAACTTCCTTCCCTTCCCCCCCAACACTATCATAATAGTGACAAGGCTCCATGTCACTGCTTTATGCAAAATGGCCTCCCACTTCAAGTCACCATGGATTGGTCCAGATATGAGTAATGAACCATGCTGAACCAATGAGCCCTTTCTGTAAAGAATTTGGAATGAAAATGAAGAGATTCCAGCCTCTGACGCCTCTCCAGAAAGTAAGGAATATAAACTAAGAAGCAGTTGTTGGCCATTTTCTGCCAGGAGAGTGGCAAGCAGAGAGATGGGGGGGTTGGTCAAGCTTCCTAAGGAGCTCCCGTGCTGGTTCCAGTTCATTCCTTGTGCCCCGCTCCTTCCCTGCCCTTGGATTCCAGGATGTGTCCTCAACATTAATTCTCCTTTATGCTTTCATTGGCCCTAGTTGGTTTCTGTTACCACCAGAAGAGTCTTAACCAAGAGCTCTAAAAATATCCATGTCCCCTGCATCCTAAGTCCCATAGGGAAGGTAAGTGGGACACTGATAAAAGTAGCCCATGGTAAAAAGGACATCCTCAGCTGCACAAATGTTTCACCTTACCAGCTGCGGATGGACACCAGATCTTAAGCCCATCCCTCAAGGAACCTGCAACTAAGTGCTAAGAGGGCATCCGAGGCCACTGTGACGGGCACTGAACTCAGAGTCAAAAGTCCTGGATGCTGCTACCAATTTCCTAGGTGACCCTGGGCCAGCAATAATCTTTTCTGTAAGGTGGGGCGATAATATCCAGCATACCAGCTTCCTGGGGATAGGAAGATGCTTTGGGGAAGCAATGGTGATACTGCTGAGTGACTGGGGGAAATGCCAGCTTGGGAACCCCCAGTAGAGCTGGGGCATAACACAAATGCCCACAAAAGCCAAGCAGGCAACGGACATGAGCAGAGCAGCCCAGATAGACACTGAGACAGAAAGAGCAATGCCCAGAGCAGCTACTGTCATTACCCCACTTTACAGAAGAGGAAACTGAGCCTCTTGAGGTCACCCACCAAGTTAGCTGCTGAGCTGGGACTCGCCCAACCCCAAAACACATGCTCTTGACCGCTGCCCCAGAGAACTGGGTGGGAATCACACTGCAAAAGGATACAATTGCTGTGGTCATCGAGGTCAGAGATAAAGTGTGATTGTTTTTACTCTGCTGGTACCAGAGTAGAATTGTACCACGTCATAGTAAATTTTGCATTTAGCAAGAGACCCACATAAAGGGCAAATAATTAATCAAAGTAAATGTGGTCACTCAAATCATGACCAGCTACACACCCGCTTCTTTAGGATATGCAACAAATGGAAGCCATTGTGACCTACAAAGTGAGTGGTAAAAGCTCTGAAATTAGTATTGGATATTTAAACAAGAACCATCAAAAGAGCCAGAGGGGGGAAGAAAGGTATGCGACACTTGAGGAGATTCTATCCATGGCTCAGTCTCTGTATCTGACAGAATATAAGGCGGCAGAGTGAGGCTGTGATGATCTGTTAGCACTCAGCACCCCAGTCTCCATCTGACGAGGCTGATAAGGGCTGACCTTGAGAGCGGGAGTCTATCAGGCATTGCATGGGGGAAAACCTCTGGCTCTGGGCCAAAGGGGAGTGGCTGAAGATTCATGGAGAGACCCCCTCCTCCCAGTGAGAAGAAGACAAGGAAGAAGTGCTGGAGGGGATGGATACCCCATTTACCTTGATGTGATTATTATGCATTGCATGCCTGTATCAAAACATCTCATGTACCCCATAAATATATATGCCTACTATGTGCTCACAAAAATTAAAAGTAAAAAAAGAAAAGGGAAGAGGGAGAATGAGACAGAGAGACAGATACACAGACAAAAGCAGAGAGCCCACAGCTTACATGCAACACAGAGAAACAGACTGAGACAGAAGACAAAACACACATGTTTAAACAAAGCTAGACAGAGAGAATGAGATGAGTTAGAAAGATGGGGTGCTGGAGCTTAGAGACAGAGAAAGCCAGAGTTATAGACACAATGAGAGGGTCAGGGAGAGAGACAGACGCACGCAAGGTTAGACCCTGGGCTGGCTCCGAGGTGTCCTTCCTCCCTTTGCCTCTACCAACCCAGGTGGGCCCTGTTCATTCACACATCCCAGCTCCAGCGCTGAGTAATAATTACGTGTGTATTCTCTAATTCCTTGCACCACCTATTATACTAGCACTCCTTCAATTAGAACTGTAACCTGTTAAAAACATTTCTTTGTTGCCTGGGGGAAAAAAAAAAGTCTTCTCATCCAGCTTGAGCTACATTAAAATTTCACACAGCTTCTGGCTGTCACAGGACCGGCAAGCAAATGGCACCTGTTCAGTTAAAACCTAAAACTGAGTGGATGGCATTACGGAGAGAAATGGTCGAGGAAGCACTTAGCTCTATCAAAACCCAAGCCTGAACTCATAACTTTATTTAAATATGAATAAGCCTTCCTGTATCATTCCTGTGAGCTGACTGGTGCCTTGGTGACTGCAGTGAGCAGGAAGAGCCTTGGCTGGAGGCTCCGTTGGTCCCCAGTCCTTTGGTTAGGCCCCATGGACCGATGGATGAAGCGGGGAGGGAAAGAGATGTGTGGGGCAGGGGTCAGAGCAAGAAGGAGATGAGGAAGGAGAAAGGAAGGGAGACAGGAAAAGGGAAAGAGGGGAGAGAGCATAGGGTCCTAAAGAGAGAGAAAGAGACACAGATATACAGATAGAGACATTAGACAGCTCTATAGACAGAGAATGACAGCGAGAGAGAGATATAGAGAAAGACAGGTGGGGTGAGACAAATTGAGAAAAGGGCAGAGGGCCATGGACAAATGGAGGGAGACAAACAATGAGAACTAGCAAGTCAGCCAAGTGAAAGCAGGCTGTGGTTGTCAGCCAAAAAGACAGCCGGCTGCAGTAGCTCATGCCTGTAATCCCAGCACTTTGGGAGGCCAAGGCGGGCAGATCACCTGAGGTTAGTCATTCAAGACCAGCCTGGCCTACATGGTGAAACCCCATCTCTACTAAAAAATACAAAAATTAGCCGGTGTGGTGGTGGGCACCTGTAATCCCAGCTATTCTGGAGGCTGAGGCAGGAGAATTGCTTGAGCCCAGAAGGTGGAGGTTGCAGTGAGCTGAGACCGCACCACTGCACTCCAGCATGGGCGACAGTGCAAGACTCCATCTAAAAAAAAAAAAAAAAAAAAAAAAAAAGAAGAAGAAGAGGAAGAAGAAGGAGGAGAAGGAGGAGGAATCGAGAAAGAGAGAATGAAAAAAGACTTAGATCTTGCATGCCACAGAGATTTCCATTAAAACAAACCAAAGTGCCTCTCTGTGCCCACAGTGGGACCTGCCATTCCAATCCAGCCCTATCAACTGTGGCATCTGGCAACTGTTTCTCTAAAACTGATTGAGCCAGCCCCTGCACAAAGCATCACATTTGGTGCTAAACGCTGAACAGAATGCCCCTCAGAACAGATCCCCACAGGGAACTCTCAACCCCGCCACGTCCACTGAGGCTTCCTGGTGAGACTTGGTACATCTAAGAAGATTTTTCCAGCAAATGCTCGAAATGTTGTTGGGTATACGAGTGAAAATCAACAAAAATCAGAAAACATTTAAGATGTGTGAGCACTATTTATGTCTTACGTATTTTTATTCATTCAATACTCATAACAAATCTATGAGGAGGAAACCCTTACTATCTGCATTTTACAGGAAACAGAATAAGAAATTAGACCTCATTTTCCAATTGTCCGGGACTATACCCCCAATATCTGCAATTCAATAAATATTTGTTCAGAGGAAACAAAAGGGAAGTGAAGGAGAAGGGAATTTATGTGGGTTCATTTACCAATGCAAGCATTGTACCACTACCACTAATCCTATTTAGTGAAGAAACACAGGTACTAAAGGTTTTGGTCATTTTCTCATGGTGCAGAACTGGTAAGTAGCATATATTATTTTGGGGTAGATAAAACTTACACAATTTCCCTAAGTAGCCATAGGTTTCAAACCTTCCTCACAGCACTCCTGCTGCCTAGAAGAGCCAACAACATGGTGCAATGGCTCATGGCTGTGATATGAACAAGAAACAGGGAAATACTGGGTAGAAGAGGGCAGATCCCTGGCAAAGGCCCCACCCTCAAGCCTGGAAACACACAGCCCTAAATAAGAACAGGCATTCCTTTTTTCACACCCAAAAGTTGCCTTTTAGCCTTCCATGCCCCCCTGTCCTGTACTCATATAAACCCCAAACCCCTGGCTCCAGGAAGAGATGAACAAAAGAGGAGAAGAATAGCATAATAGTGCAGCAGAGAAAAGAGAAGAAGCATCTGTGTGCCGAGAGGAGTTCAGCTGGGGGCAGTCGGAGAGGACATCGGCCACTGGACAGCCAAACTCCATGGGAAGATCTTCTTCCCACTCCATCCCCCTTCCAGCTCCCCACCCATCCTGCTGAGAGCCACTTTCACCACTCAATAAAACCCTCACATTCACCCTTCAAGTCCATGTGTGACCTGATTCTTCCTGGATACTGGACAAGCACCTGGGTACCAAGGGGACATTGAGCTGGTTAACACTTAAGCCATCACAGATGGCAAGGCTAAAGAGCACACTGTAGCATACGCACACTTGGGCTTCAGGAGTCACAGGTCCCACCCCTGGATGCTGCTGTGGGGCCGGAGCCCAGAGGCACTTGCCCCAGCTCCTGCACCTGCCCATCTGCATGTATCCCCTCCCACACAGGGTTTGAGCATGCATGGCAGCTCAACAGACAAGCCACGATTCTGTCTCGCATCCTGCAAGGCGGGTCAGGGAACTCTCCTGTTTCAGCTGGACTTGGGGTGGGGGTAA
This sequence comes from Homo sapiens, assembly GCF_000001405.40. Classification (NCBI taxonomy): domain Eukaryota; kingdom Metazoa; phylum Chordata; class Mammalia; order Primates; family Hominidae; genus Homo; species Homo sapiens. Next base: position 125,565,194 of record NC_000012.12, on the reverse strand, counting down.
AGCCTCAGGTGCAAATCCTGCTCGGTCACTTCAGAAGTCATTTAAGCTCCCTCTGACTTACTTTCTTTATCTGTAGAGGGTGATCACAACTGTACCCATGCCTCAAGAAGTCAGGAGTATTAATTAAGGCAATGCACTTAAAACACTTGGAACAATGCCTGGCCCCAAAGAACGTGCTCAAAAAAGGTTAGTTACTGGTTGTATTCCTCCTCCTCCCACCTCAGTTTTTCATGGAAAACCCCTACTCATCCTTCACACCTCCCACACAACATTGTTTCACAGTCAGAATCAACCGCTTCCTCAAATATGCCCCATAACACTCTGTAAACGCCCCCTCTTAGCATATGCTAGCAGGGTTTGCGTGGCTGTCTCTCAGATATGTTTGTGTTTGTGCTTTTGAATGCCTGGGTTCTAGCACAAGTCTGGGAATATGAAGAACATTTGAACAAATTAGTAAAGACCAACATATTATAGAACCCGCTAAAACTACACAGGAAAGTGGTAAGTGCTGGTGAATTAGGAGGAGGAAAAAACAAGAGGCACATCCTTGAAAAGAAAAGATCGAAATAGTTCCTTAAGCCCTTCAATCCTGGACCTATCCTATTCCCCTTAAATACAAAACTCACCACAGAAGAGCTTGTCTAATTAAGAAGCTTTCACGAACAATCTGTCTTATGGACAGAAGAGAAGCCTGCACATCCTTCTGAGAAAACCGAACAGAAAACAACCCTTTTCCCACTCAGTGCATCTTAGAATTTCTATCTCAAGAAAATGCTGAAAGGAGGAAGCAAGGAGCAGAACTCTATGAAAATTACATCCTATTCTCTATTTTTTCACACTGAACGCACCAAGAGCAAATGTGTTATGTCAGTATTGAAGCCATTCTTCCAATCCGTGTGATAAATTATTCAACATCGTTTCCTTAATATACATAAGCATTGATTAATATATAAAATAAGCAATTTGCTATTTTATTATCATTCAAAGTAACCGCTGTGTTGCCCTCGCTCTCATGAATAGTGTTTCAGGACTCAAATTAATGAAACTGCTGGCTGCAAATCTATTTTTGTCTTCACAGCTGTATTATATCAAATCTAGCCGTACCCTTTCTTTGCCTAAGTCTTCAAACACGTGAGTGGGCTTGTATTAGTTTCCCAGGGACGCCTTAACAAATTACTGCAAACTTGGTGGCTTAAAACAATGGAAATTTATTCTCTCACAGTTTTGCAGGCCAGAAGTCTGAAATCAGGGTGTCAGCAGGGCCACACTTCCTCCAACGGCTCCAGGGAGGAAAGCTCTCTTGCCTCTTTCAGCTTCTAGTGGCTCCAGGAGTTCCTTGGCTTCTGGTAGCATAACTTTCATCTCAAGGTGCCTGCATCTTCACATGGCCTTCTTCTCTGTATTTCTCCTTTGTGTGTGTGTCTTAAGCCCCCTCTCCTTTTTTCTGATAAGAACATCAATTATTGGATTTAGGTACCACCATAAATGCAGGATGACCTCTTCTCGGGATTCTTATTCACTTTTCAAAGGGCCTATGGGAACACCTCACTTGGCTTCACCTTATTGCACCTCACAGATACTGTGGGGTTTTTTTTTGTTTGTTTGTTTGTTTGTTTGTTTGTTTGTTTTTGAGACAGAGTCTCGCTCTGATGCCAGGCTGGAGTGCAGTGGTGCGATCTCAGCTCACTGCAACCTCTGCCTCCCGGATTCAAGCAATTCTCCTGCCTCAGCAGTTAATTTTTGTATTTTTAGTAGAGACAGGGTTTCACCGTGTTGGCCAGGTTAGTCTCGATCTCTTGACCTCGTGATCCGCCCACCTCAGCCTCCCAAAGTGCTGGGATTACAGGCGTGAGCCACCGCGCCCGGCCAGATACTGCGTTCTTTACAAATTGAAGGTTTCTGGCAACTCTTCATCGAGCAAGTCTATTAGCACCATTTTTCCAGCAGCATGTGCTCACTTAAGTCTCTGTCACATTTTGGTAATTCCCAAAATTATTTCAAACTTTTATTATTATTATTATTATTATTATTATTATTATTATTATTACGCATTATGGTGACCTGTGATCACTGATCTTTGATGTTCCCATTGTAATTCTTTTGAGGGTGCCACAAACGATGCCTATGTGAGATGCAAACTTAACAGTGTGTGTGTTCTGACTGCTCCACTGACCAGCCATTCCCCTGTCTCTCTCCCTCTCCTTCGGCCTCCCTATTCCCTGAGAAGAGACATGCAATATTGAAATTAAGTCTGTTAGTAACCCTAATATATTAGTCTGGTATCACGCTGCTGATAAAGACATACCCAAGACTGGGTAATTTATAACAAAACTCACAGTTTCATGTGGCTGGAGAGACCTCACCACCGTGGCATAAGGTGAAAGGCATGTCTTACATGGCAGCAGGAAAAGAGGGAAAATGAGAACTAAGAAAAGGGGTTTCCCCTTATAGAACCATCAGATCTCATGAGACTTATTCACTACCATGAGAATAGTATGGGGTAGTGATTCAATTACCTCCCACCAGATCCCTCCCACAACATGTGGGGGTTATGAGAGCTACAATTCAAGATGAGATTTGGGTGGGGACACAGCCAAACCATATCACCTACAATGGCCTCTAAGTGTTTAAGTGAACGGAAGAGTCCCACATCTCTCACTTTAAATCAAAAGCTAGAAATGATTAAGCTTCATGAGGAATGCATGTCAAAAGCAGAGAGGCCAAAAGAGAGGCCTTTGGCACCAAACAGCCAAGTTGTGAATGCCAAGGAAAAGTTTCTGAAGGGAATCAGAAGTGCTAACTCCAGTATACACACAAATGGTAAGAAAACAAAACATCCTTAATCCCCATATTCTCTTATGTGGAGAAAATGTCAGTGGTCTGGATAGAAGTTTGAACCAGCCACAACATTCCCTTCAGCCAAAGCCTAATTCCAAGGTCCTATCTCTCTTCAATTCTGTGACAGCTTAGAGAGGTGAGGAAGCTGCAGAAAAAAAGCTGGAGGCTATCAGAGGTTGGTTCATAAGGCTTAAGTCAATAAACTGTCTTTGTAACATAAAAGTACAAGGTGAAGCAGTGAGTGGTGATGGAGAAGCTGTAGCAAGTTATTCAGAAGATCTAGCTAAGATCTTTGAAGATGGCTATACTTAAACAACAGATCTTCCATGTAGATGAAACACTTCCATCTTCTTATATTGGAAGAAGATACTATCTAGGATCGCTAGAGAAGAGAAGCCAATGCCTGGCTTCAAAGCTTCACAGGATAGGCTGACTCTCTTGTTTAATGCTGCTGGTGACTTTAAGTTGAAGCCAGTGCTCATTTACCATTCCCCAAATCCTAGAGCCCTTAAGAATAATGCTAAATCTACTTTACCTGTACTCTAGAAATGAAACAACAAAGCCCGGATGATAGCCCCTCTGTTTATAGCATGGTTTACTGAATATTTCAACCACATAGTTGAGACCTACTGTTCAGGAAAAAAAAAAAAAGATTCCTCTAAAACTATTACTGCTTATTGATAACGCACAGTCACTTAAGAGCTCAGATGGAGATATAAGGAGATTGTTTTCATGCCTGATAACACAACATCCATTCAGCATCCCATTGATCAAGGAGTAATTTTGGCTTTCAGGTCTTATTATTTAAAAAATGCATTTCTTTTTTTAATTTTTTTATTATACCTTAAGTTCTGGGATACATGTGCAGAACGTGCAGGTTTGTTACAAAGGTATACACGTGCCATGGTGGTTTGCTGTAGCCATCAACTCATTACCTACGTTAGGTATTTATCCTAATGCTATCCCTCCCCTAGCCCCCTACCCCCTGACAGGCCCCGGTGTGTGATGTTCCCCTCCCTATGTCCATGTGTTCTCATTGTTCAGCTCCCATTATGAGTGAGAACATGCGGTGTTTGGTTTTCTGTTCTTGTGTTAGTTTGCTGAGAATGATGGTTTCTAGCTTCATCCACGTCCCTGCAAAGCACATGAACTCATCCTTTTTCATGGCTGCATAGTATTCCATGGTGTATATGTGCCACATTTTCTTTATCCAGTTTATCATTGATGGACATTTGGGTTGGTTTCAAGCCTTTGCTATTGTGAATAGTGCCGCAATAAACATATGTGTGCATGTGTCTTTATAGTAGAATGATTTATAATCCTTTGGGTATATAACTGGTAATGCGATCACTGGGTCAAATGATATTTCTAGTTCTAGATCCTTGAGGAATTGCCACACTGTCTTCCACAATGGTTGAACTAATCTACACTCTCACCAACAGTGCAAAAGCGTTCCTATTTCTCCACATCCTCTCCAGCATCTGTTGTTTCCTGACTTTTTTTTTTTTTTTTTTTTTTTTTTTTTGAGACAGAGTCTCGCTCTGTCACCCAGGCCGGACTGCGGACTGCAGTGGCGCAATCTTGGCTCACTGCAAGCTCCGCTTCCCTGGTTCACGCCATTGTCCTGCCTCAGCCTCCCGAGTAGCTGGGACTACAGGCACCCGCCACCGCGCCCGGCTAATTTTTTGTATTTTTTTTAGTAGAGACGGGGTTTCACCTTATTAGCCAGGATGGTCTCGATCTCCTGACCTCATGATCCACCCGCCTCGGCCTCCCAAAGTGCTGGGATTACAGGCGTGAGCCACCGCGCCCGGCCTTTCCTGACTTTTTAATGATCACTATTCTAACTGGTGTGAGATGCTATCTGATTGTAGTTTTGATTTGCATTTCTCTAATGACCAGTGATGAAGAGCTTTCTTTCATATGTTTGTTGGCCGCATAAATGTCTTCTTTTGAGAACAGGACTGAATGACTTATTATTTCAGGAAGATATACACTGACTATGCCCAGACACCTAAGGTCAGATAAACACTGGCCCCAGATCTGCTCTCTCTTGGGTCCAGGTCAGCCCTGACCTCGCTAGGACCACTTCATTCTGGAGTTGAGCCCACCCGCAGCTCCCAAGGTGCTTTTGGTGACCCAGGCCAGCAGGCAATCAGCACCTGGCATTCCTTGGGCCCCAGTGATTGGTTCACGTTCCAGCACATGACTGCAGCTGGACCAATCAGATGGGGCTTTCTGTAGCTGGGAAAGCACAGCCTCCCTGACCCCAAGCCCTCGGTGGACACCAGGTCTGACGCTGGCAGCAGCCTCTGGCTTGGTAGTGACTTCCTTGCATTAAGAAGCGGGAGCCCAGAGAGGCTGGCAGCGCTGGATTCGAACTTAGGGCCATGGGTTCTCAGTCTTTTCCAGTGGCTTCCTTATCACACGTGGAGCTGCCCACAGGTTCCTGTCTCATCTAATTTCCAGGTGGACTCGGAACAAGGACAGGCTGAATTCAGCCACCGCCTCATTTAACATGGAGCTGTCATTCAGGACGCATGTGTCAATCGGAGACAAAGCCAGCCTTCCTGCACATGGCAGAGCTGGAGCCCCAGTCTGCATAACTGACTTCAGCAATTTCCTCTCCTAACTACACCTGCCACTCTCCTCCCTACCCTGAAAGTAATAGGACTCAGCTTCCAGAGCCACCATGCCGCTCACACCACTTTCATGTCAGGAGGGTCACAGCATCCCCGGGAGGTCAGCAGGAAAGGTCCCACCATCCGCATCACACAGAGGGGGAAGCTGAGACCAGGAGGGCGTCTGGCTGGCTCAAGGTTACAAAATTTTCCCAGGGCAGGAACTCGCATCTTCTCTATTCTCAGTAAATATTTCTCCTGGGATATTTTTCTTATTACTTATCTCAGTAAGGGTTGTTTTCAGACCCTGTACCTGCAGTATGGCTTTGTGATAAAGGGAAGAACTTGGGTCTTTTTCTGTGGGGGAGGGGAAGACGAGGTCTCACTCTGTCACCCAGGCTGGAGTGCAATGGCACAAACATGACTCACTGCAGCCTCGACTTCCTGGGTTCAAGCAGTCCTCTCACTTCAGCCTCCTGAGTGGTAGGACTACAGGTGTGAGCCACCACACCCCGCTAATTTTTTAATTTTTTGTAGAGAGAGGGTCTCACCATGTTGTCCAGGCTGGTCTTAAGCTCCTGGCCTCAAGCCATCCTCCTTCTTGGGCCAGTCTTTCTTCACCTGGAATCCTGGGCCTTCCACTAACTGAGTGGACTTGCATAAGGAACTGATTTTCTCAAAGACTCAACTTTATCATCTAAAAACAGGATTAATTTTATTTATATTCTTAGTACATTCTCCAAAAACCTGATACTCTAAACCACATCACCCTGTTTTTTCTTCCAATCATATATCATCATCTCAAATTAACCTACTAATATATTTGTCATCTTAGCTTCTTCTGTAGGGGAGGTTGGTGAGACAGGAACCTTGTTTGTCAAGTTCATTTGCCCTTTGCCTTAGAACATGGCTAGAAACAGTAATTGCTGGAGAAAGGATTGGTGGATGAGTGGGTGGATCAATTGATAGCTTAATTAATACATCAATTGATTAGACTCATCTTCTTGATCTATAATGCCTTGGAACTAACAACATTTGTTTCTAACGCTGATGTTCTCTGATACAAGAAAGTGCTGGCTCTCCTAAGTACTGTTTCTATAAGTACTTCAGTCAATTTTTGAAGCCCTTTGTCAAATCAAGGAATAAAGTCTGCATTGTGAAGTGATATAAAGGTTTTCTAGTTATTTGGTATGTGTATCTTGCATTTTCACTTCCACAAAAGTCTAAATTTAAGGAATTCACCTATACCATGAATTCAGACTAGCCACAGATCATAGAGAATTCTCCAGACATTGAACGAAGATGCTTCTACCCATGTTTCTCCCCAAATCATTGAATTGATGATGTCAATGTGAATTCTGCCTTGGGTCAAACTTTCACAACTTTACAGAGTTCACCTAAGAAACCTGTAAGTTCTTCAAAGTAGAACTGTTTATCCCTTCTCTAGGTGGGAGAAGAGAACACACTGGCCACTGAGTTACAGATGGCAGGGCAGAGCAAACAGACATCAAAGACAATCCCCCAAGTCACCTAGCAGATTCACTCATCCAGTGACAACCTCTGATGCCAACTTCAGAGCACTGAGAAAGGCACCAAGAGGACACATTCAGCCTGTCTTCCAGTGCCTTTCCTCTCAAAAGGAAACGAAGGACGGATGATTGGATCCTGATACCAGGTAAAATCAATTGTCTGAAAGCCAGCCTGCTCATGAACAGTCCTGGTTATCTCACAAACCAGAATCCACAGAATACATCTGCCCCATAAGCTACTCACAGGAGGGCCTTTTATCAGTGACCCTTCCCCTTTCCAGTAATCCTTCTCTAACTCTAACCATCTCCAGCCCTTCTTAAGCCAGGTGCCCCTCAGCATCTACTCAAACATCATCCCTAAAGAAAAGACTGTCTCCTTTGACCAACAACCTAAATTAGCCACTCGGACAGCCAGTCACTGTCTAACCCATCACCCTGTTTTCTCCCCTTGACACCACTAATCAGTCTCGGAGACTATCTTATTTACTTACCTATTTTTTTTTATCTCTGCCATGTCCTTAGTTCCTGGACATAATAGGAGCTCAGTAAATACCCAGTGAATAAATGAATGAATTTAAGCTATCCTGAAGCAAGGTGTCCAGTCCTTCCTTAAATGCATCCTACTAAACAAAAGCACAGTTGAATTGGCATTTTACTTAATATGGATAGTAGATAGATTAGTGATAATAGATAGATAAATAAGATAGATTGATAAGATAGATTAGATAATTGACCCAGATGATATGTAATAGATGCTATACATCCAACATTCATTCCCCTTTCCATGCTATCAGAACCCATTTGTTCAGATTGCAGGAAGCCCTGATCTCAGGGGAGGCAGACCCCTATAGCAACCCCAAGAGATGAATCATGATTGGGGTAAATTGGTCACAGAGACCCCAGTCTTCTAGGTAAAGGATACATCCAGGGGCCGGCATGTAGTTCAACTCTGGGTAATAAGTGCAAGGGAGGCTACTTAGAAAGTCTTCTAAGGTAAAGGGATGGAAATATACAAAAATAACTATATATACACATATGTATATGAACATATGTGTATACATTAGCATGCATATAAAGATAAATATGTCTAAATATGGGAGTAAGTGTGTATATGATAACAAAGTGCTGTGTGCCAGGCACCGTTCTAAGAACCTGCCACACACAAGGCACGTAAGTCAAATATTGTTAAAGAGAGGGTCGTTTTTCCTTCGTTTTTCTTCCAGTCAAGAACAGAGATGTCCTGGCTAACACGGTGAAACTCTGTCTCTACTAAAAATACAAAAAATTAGCCAGGCATGGTGGCGGGCGCCTGTAGTCCCAGCTACTTGGGAGGCTGAGGCAGGAGAATGGCGTGAACCCGGGAGGCAGAGCTTGCAGCGAGCCGAGATCGTGGCACTGCACTCCAGCCTGGGTGACAGAGCGAGACTGTGTCTCAAAAAAAAGGAACACAGATGTAATGTCTATAGTGACAATGGCTAATTTTTATCATGAGGCTACACATATGAGGCAAAGGCCAAGAAAACCTCAAAGAAGCTCGCCCTGATGCTATACAGCTGCTGAAACAACCTCCAGATATCTTGTCACATGGGAATATAAACTCCGATTAGTTTGAGCTCTTATTCATACGGAACTGGTTTTCTCAAAGACTCAACTTTATCATCTAAAAATGGGGTAATTCTTATATTCTTAGCACACTCTTCAAGTGGAAGACACTCTTCCACATCCCCCGGGTTTTTCTTCTAATCATATACCACCGTCTGGAGTTAGTCTAACTGATGTATTTGTTCTCTTAGCTCTTCCCATGAACTATGTTTAGTTTGTTTGCCCTCTGCCTTAGAACAAGGGCAGAAGCAGTGGGTTCTAATCATAGTCTTTGACGTGCAGCCAAAAGCATTTATAAATGATATATACTAGTTACAGGCTTTGTGACGTTCAGGTCAGGATAACGAAAGAACTTGGGACCAATTGGACATTAGCATCCTGTGAAATGCAACAAAAGATAAAGAACATGAAAAATCAGTTAACTGAGGAGATGAGTGGCAAAAAGAAGGTACAGGAAAACACTGTAAGACATGAGCAACAACTGATACCAATTCTGACAGCTCGAATAAAATTTCTGAATTGGCAGCCTTTTATTCCAAGTTAAAATAGGATTTCTTTAATGAACTAGAATATGTGTTAGACCTCTTCTCCAAAGATACAGATGTGCATTTGACAGCAGACACCCAAGACAGCAGGTTGCTGTTATTTTTGTAGATCTCTCTGATTTTCAAAGTTGCATGACAGCTTATCTTATCCTTGGGTCCCCCATCCATTTTAACACCACCCCAAAATACACGTACGTATTTTCAAAAGCATTCCTTATTTTAGATATATAAACGTCAACGGAGAAACTGTCTTACTTTCTGTTTCTTATGCAAACTCGACATCCCAGTTGGGGTAAGGGTCTGTGAAATGACTCTTTTCTTTTTATATATATATATATTTTTTTTTACTATACTTTAAGTTCTAGGGTACATGTGCACAACGTGCAGGTTTGTTACATATGTATACATGTGCCATGTTGGTGTGCTGCACCCATTAACTCGTCATTTACATTAGGTATATCTCCTAATGCTATCCCTCCCCCCACCCCCCACCCCACAACAGGCCCTTTATCTCAGCTGGTATTATTCCTGCACTTAACCTCTCCAAAACACTGTACTGGGCACTTGTTTTTGTTTTTCTTTCCTTTCTCTAAACCTGAAAGGAAACAGTTTCAATATGATGCACTCTTTTTTTTTTCCAGACTGATTCTCAAGAATCTTACTATTGCTGATATCCTGGGCCACATTTTAACATCCTCCTGCCTTCAACCAAAATATTACATCACTTGTTTTTATATTAACTTCAATGAGGTTTAATTTGCAACCAATAAAATATACCTATTTAAAGTTTACATCCACAGGCAGCCCTCATTTTGCAAGGTTCCAATATGCATGAATTTCAGTTACCACAAGATGGTTAAGTAACATCAACCCCCAAACAAAACAGTTCAATTTTCAGTTTCCAAGTTTCCTTAACTATAAGCATATAAAGTACAAACCTCATTGCTAGCCCTTCAGCCCACGAATCACTACATAAATAACAGATGCACATCATGATGAGCGACCAGTCACATCAATCATTTCACATTCTCTTGGTGACTGGTTGTCGTGCGTCCATTATTCAATTCACATGCAGACAGCAAAGTATATAATTGTGTTGCCTCCTTGTCCCCCAGTGATAAAACCACCTGACACACACTGAAAAACTGATAATCAAAAGATGAAACTCGCCAACAAAGAGGAAAGTGCAGCAAAGAAATACAAAGTAAAATTAAATGGTGAAAATAACATTTAAATTAACTGTAAATGTAGTCATAGAAGAAACAGCTGACTGAGGAAATGTTGACACTCCCACCATTCAGGGCACTATAGACATGCAACCAAGAGAATGTGAGGACAGTGAACTCAGCAACATAAATGAGAAAAGTGGTTGTAACTGAGGGGAAGAAAAGTTCCAGAGGATGTGACACCAGCCAAGAAACCTCACATTAAAGGGATTCTTGGAGATATTTCACAGCATTCGAAGTGCAAAGAACAAAATGTTGGAGGCTGATTGAACATTATAAAAGAGCATGACGATCCACCAACGCAGAGAAAAGCCCGCTCCATATTATAAGCCACACAATTAGAAGAACTCAAGCAGTATTAGACTACTGTTGATAAATCTTTTTTTTTTTTTTTTTTTTTTTTTTTAATGAAATGGAGTCTCACTTTGTCGCCCAGGCTAGAGTGCAGTGGCACTATCTCGGCTCACTGTAAGCTCCACCTCCCAGATTCACGCCATTCTCCTGCCTCAGCCTCCCAAGTAGCTGGGACTACAGGCGCCCACCACCATGCCAGGCTAATTTTTTTTGTATTTTTAGTAGAGACAGGGTTTCACCATGTTAGCCAGCATGGTCTCAATCTCCTGACCTCGTGATCCACCCACCTCAGCCTCCCAAAGTGCTGGGATTACAGGCGTGAGCCACCGCGCCCGGCCTACTGTTGATAAATCTTATACAAAGAAAGAAAACATTTTAATTCTCAATGTTGCTAATCTTTTAAATTACAATATGCTAAATAAATATTACAATTTTACTATTTTTTTCATTTCCCTGTACATTTATAATCAACAGGAAGAGAGTTTGTAATGTTCTGACAGGACTTTTTAAAGGTCACAGAACAGTCAGAGTTTTTTTCATTCATTATTAATATTGAACAGTTTGAGCTTGCACAGTCATTTTCATGGCCCCACACTACCATGCAAAGCCAAGGACACCTGTACTTAAAACAAAGCAACTGTATTAAATTACATTTGGATGCTGTTGCCTGTCCAAGACTTTGGCAAAGGACTTGTTATTCTCTATTACAAAGGGAGATTAGCAAATTAGAAAGCTGTTAAAAACACAGTAGAATCTGTTCTTGACCTAATCAGAAATGTTGAAAGAGAATTAAAATATTCTCCCTATGTGATTCATTTCATTTAACACAAAGCTCATGCACTATGTAAACTCATCATAGCTTCTGGGATGAGTCTTCACTACACTCAGTCTTCATGACTTTCCTCCGTCAGACCCCACCCAATGTGAACTATCCAACTTCCAGGGCCATGATCCTCATCGAACTTCAGAGCCTCCCCTGAGCCCCAGCGGACCTGCTCGTAACCCTACTCTGTGCTCTCCTAACACCCCAGACAGGCCTGGTAGCGCACTTGCCACAACTGCAATCACATCATCAAGTATGTTCTTGGTTGCTTCACATCAGCCTTCCCTGTCAGATCACAAGGACGGGGCTCTTTGTTCCTTTTCCTCTCCATTGCATCCTGCAGCCCAGCCCTGGGACTGGCGTCTACCAGGTGCTCATTTAACATTCATTAAATGCTGCTGAATGAATGACTGTTCTGGGCCACTGCAGGAAATAGTACATTCCCTAAAGGGTATTCAGTACAGAGAAGCTATTAGTCCCTAAAGAACCCGTGCAAATTATAAAATGGTCCCTCTTCCATCCCTCACAAAATTGTCATAATATACCAATTTGGGTACAAGGCACTTTGTTGCCATGTGTTGTACAACTGTCCTAGTAAAATCCTAAATCTACAATGTCGAGAATGTGAATAAAATTGCCTTAAACATGCTATGAGCAGTGTGCAACCTGCACAACCTTACTCAGCAGTCCTAAGTGTGTTTAGACATGCTTAGGCTGGGAGGCCACTCAATGAGAACAGAAGCTGATCCTGCTGCAGCCAGGCCTGATGGCCCTCTGCCGCTCTCCTGACTCCCTGTGCAGGGACGTGTCTGTTATTCCCCATGCATTGCAGAGTGGCTTCATCTACTGACACATTACAGATTCTAAAACCACAAAAATGGATTTCAAATGAAATATTAAGCAATGAAGCTACAGATGTAGAAAGTTATCCACATCATGCGGTCAAACCATCATGCAAAAAGCTGATACAATGAATCTTACAGAGACATCAAACAGTGACATTCTGGAAAAGCTAGCTGAGAAAATGGAAGTAGCCCCTTCTGGTTGAGGAAGGCATGGGGAGGGGCCCGGGAGTGTGATGAGGTAGCTTTTGCAAGGCGACTTTTGGGTTTCTTTCAATGGGATTGCATCATACAGTGACTCTCTGGGGACTGGGGACTCTGCTTTGTCTAGATGACAGCTCCAAATCATGGTGCCCCCATTACACGGTTAGACAATGGAGCAAGGCTAAGGCAGCTCTGCTCCTGCCCTTCCAATGCCTCAGACACCAGGGCACCCCCCTCTGTCTCTGCCTAGAAAACGTGTGGCCACTGGTGGAGACCAGTACACCTTGAGGAACCCATTAGCCTATATTAACCCTGCAGAAGAACACAAGCTTGGTTCTCTTTCTCATTTGCAATCCTGTGGGAAGCACAAGCTATTCAACGTTTTCCTTAGGAGCTTAGAGCCAGCTACAAATACAGGGCCACGATCTAATAACGTAATCATTATTTTTTCCTCATGTTCATCTGTGAAGAAAATTATACAGGTTATTTTATCAGATGGTGTTTTAAATGAGCTTGAGTATTCATATATAATGCACAATGGTAGGAGCTATTACTGAGGGAAACTCAGGAGGAACTGAGAGGTTATTTCTTCTTTGCTTGGAGGAGGGTGTGGTAAGAGACACGAAAAGAAAACATTTGTCATCTCATGGCAAACAGGCAGAAGAGACTGTCCTCAGCCTAGACCATAAGAGATCACATGTGTTTCTGCTTCTCCTCCTCCTGTGTTGCCACCAGGACCATGAAAACAATGTGCCAGGTTAGATCCTTGATCCTAGAAGAAGAATGACAGACCCATGGCACAGAAGTTCCCCAGCTGAGCCACCCCAGATGAACCCTCCTGGCTCAACTGCCCCCAGCTGACCAGCCCTTGCATAAGAGAGAATAAAAGACTGTTGTTCCAAGCCACTGAACTTGAGGATATTTTATTATACAAAAGTAGCAAACCAATACAACGATAAAATGAAAAGAGAAAAGGTTAAAAGGTTAAAATGAGCATCATCTTGTTTAAAAAAAAAAAAAAGATAGATGTGGAGAAAAGAAACCAGAAATAGATGTGTCAAAACTCATCTCTAGGCAATAGATTATTTTTATTTCATTCTTCTTTATGACTGTCTATGTTTCACAGATTTTCTAGACTAAGAAAAAAATTTTGAAAAATGAAATTATTAGCTTCAATTTCCACATCATTGGTACAAAAGAAACAGAACAAAAGGGTTTTATTGTAAGCTAGAGCTAGAAAGTGGAATTTAATGGAAAGGAAATAGGATCTGGGGTCAAAAGCCCAGGGTTTGGTTTCTGTCACACTCACTGCTGATCTGTCTACAAGTACTTCTCCAAGCCACCAACCAGTAAAATGAAGTTAAGGCTCCTAACAGGATTGTTGTAAGAATTAAGTATGAAAAATATATACCGAAAAGCTATTTAATGATGAATTAAACCAGAGTAACTCAACATCTGGCAACAAGGCCCAAGAATACACACGTTAAACCAGCTCCAGGGCCAGACACAGTGGCTCACGCCTGTAGTCCCAACACTTCGGGAGGCCGAGGCGGGCGGATCACCTGAGGTCAGGAGTTTAAGACCAGCCTGGCCAACATGGTGAAATTCTGTCTCTACTAAAAATACAAAAAGTAGCTGAGCGTGCTGGCACATAACTGTAATCCCAGCTAATTGGGAGGCTGAGGGGGGAGAATCACTTGAACCTGGGAGGTAGAGCCAGGTTCTTGCAGTGAGATCTTGCACTGCAGATCTTGCAGTGAGCCAAGATCGCACCATTGCACTACATCCTGGGCAACAAGAGTGAAACTCCGTCTCAAAAAAATAAATAAATAAACTAGCTTCCCTAGTGATTCTGAAGCCCACTAGGGAAGAAGAACCACCAGCCTAAATTACCAAGAGTTTTTAAAAGAAATGTTGTGCTGTTACTCTTAGATACACTTAATACCCTAATCAGCTTAAAAAAGAATATTCTTTCATTCACCAAAAAGTAGTCTGAAGGTGTCCTGGGAAAACTTGTTTAAACAGAAAGAAAAATATGAATTGGTAATGGGAAAATTAATATCCCTTTAGGGCTATGTTAATACATATGTTAGTACCTAACTATCTATGGTAATGTATCAGTCAGAGTACAGCCAGGAGACAGAAACCGCACCAGTAACTGCACAGAAATGCAGTAATTTGATCAGGAAATTTTCAAAATAAAAATTACTAACTAATAAAAGATGGATAACTATAAATGAGTTTAAAAAAAACAGAATATAGAAATAGCCCATGGAAGGAGCAGCTACCACCTCTAGGGCTGAGGGAGAGTACCCAAGGAACAAACAGAAGGTGTGCCCGCCCCCCAGCCTGAGGTTCAGCCCTCATGAGTGGGTATGGCTGCAGCCCACTGGATGGTGGGGAAGTGTGCTGGGTGTCTTGAGCGAGAGCTGGTCCCCAGCTAGTAAGCAGAGTCAAACTCACTGGATGGCCCTTGCAGGCTCTGGGGGCTGTGCGGCAGGAACAGAAAGAAGAAGATACCAAAATCAGGATGAAAAGCCCTTCCCCTGATGTGCCCCACACTGTCCCTCTAGCGTCCTCTGCTGGAAAGGCCCAGTACTGCACCAGCTGACAAAGGAGAAATGTTTACAGGGTCCAGCTCCAAGACCACAAAGCAGGGAGAGAAGGATGGTGTAGGAGATGACCAGCAACAAAATGACAACTGGCACATGCTCGTTCTAGAAGGTTCAAGGGCATCTGTGTGCAGAGTCCTATCATACCTCACAGCACAATGTCTGGTGTTAATTTCTTCTGTCTACTGGGTGTTCAAAATCTGTGATCGGTGAACAACTAACATACTTGAAAGGCTTGATAAAGGGTTGCAATTCTTAATTTCTGCAGAACGTAAATTTTCAGGGGAGGAAATGAAAACAGAAGTTAAGTAATGTGCTTAACATCACACAACAAAGTAGGGATAAAACAAAAAATAAAATTTGTCTCCCAGGCCAGTGCTCTTAAGAGCTTCCATCACATGTGTTTCCCATGAGTTCTTTAAATCAAGAGAGCGGTGATGAGTAAGCCTGAAAGATTATAAAATGCTTTGTGCTGTGTTCCCAGTGAGCAGAGAGACCTGAAATTCATTTTCAAGGAGTGAACTGTGTGCATGTTTTCTACCTTCTTTCTTCAATAGAGCAGGAACAAGCACCATTACCTCCTACCTATGATGCCATGAATTAGCAACTTCTCAAAGATCCCCTTAGCTCACACAGCAGGATCTGAAAGGGAGGCTGTTTTCTAGAGACCTCAGAGCGTGGGTGGGTTCAACAGAGCCGAGGAGGCGGACTCACTGAAAGTCATTAGCCTTCTTCATTAACAAAGGAGATTAACCTGATAAATGCTTAGTGGCTGTTTCAACACACTGCTTGTTATCACAAGCATAATTTATCTCCACAATGATAAACAATACATCACAACAGCTGACAAAGTCTGCCCTATGAAGTGACATTTTCAGATGTAGCTTATATCAAATCATTTATTCTTAGAAACTTCCTTAGGACCAATCATTTCCCTTGCTAAAGGCAACTTTAGAGAGGATCTCTGATGATAGTAAATAGGACTAAGTATCAAAACTTTATTTCTAATTCATGATGCAACCCAGATCTCCCAAGTTATTTTCTCACAGGGTAACACAGGAAACTGGCTCAGGGGCTCCCCATCAAAAAAGGGCCTATGTACTTCCACTTTTTAATAACTCTGCACCTCCTTCCTAGCATAAGCCACCATCGTGTCTTGCCTGGACCTTTGCAATAACCTCCAATCGTAACCCTCAGCCCATTTCCCACACAGCAGCCAGACTTCCAGATAGTTTCTCAAACATAAACCATGTCAACTCCTCTGCTCAAACCCTCCCGTGACTTCCCACATTCATAGAAAAACATTCCCCCTATTTATTCTATGGCCCTGCAAGGCTACCAACATCTCTGTCCTTATCTTTACCATGTCCCCTGGACTCACGACATCCAGACCACCAGCCTTTCGCCTGTTCCTGGAATACTGTGAGCCTTTCCTGTCTCTCAGCCTTCACACACTTTTCATACCAGGGACTGTCGTCTTATCCTTCAATCCTTAGCTTAAAGGTCACTTTCTCATAGGGTATGTTTTTCAAACTGTGAGTCACAATCTATTAATGGGTCAGGAAATCAACTTAGTAGACTCAATCATTTTTTAATAAAAAAAAGTAGAGTTGTGGTCATCACTATAGTCATTAATATCAATTTTTGGCCACCAAATATTCTGAGATATCTGCCTACATCTGCAACATGATAGGAGGTATTTCCTGACCCTCCAATGGCTTGGGAAGGGGAGGCCTGTGACTGTTAACACCAATGAGTTGTGAAAAGAAGTGACATGTGGGACTGTCAGCCCAGAGCACTCAATTGCCAGGCAAGACCCTCCAGAACTCTTTTTCCAGGTGTGACCCATTCACTCCACATAGACAGTTGGGATTGCTGGAGCCTTTGGTGGGGGCAGACCTCTCTGCCTTCCCTTCTCTGTGGCCCCAGGAGACACAGTGGGCTCAGAGGATGGGCTGAAAGTATATAGACAGTAACTCTCATTCTTGAAGGGCTCTCAATACCAGGAATCATCCAGATAATATCAGATAAAAAGGAATCTCAAAAGCAGCAGGAAAGCATAGCTCAGTTTCCTTTAAATATTGCTTCTTGGCCATGTGCTAACTCGGGGCTGCACATGGGGCAGCAGGCAGACAGATCACAGAGTTGGCTGTTTCTTGGCATTCCTGGACATCAGGGTCCAGAAACACTGCTGGGCACCTGGAGCCAGGGACCACTGGCCTGGGGATGAGAATTCCTGAGCTGAATCCATCCTGCCTTGTACTGAGTAACCCTGGAGAAGGCCCTTTGGGGCTTCAGTTCCTCACTAAGCTACTCAGGATCAAGGGAAACCTGCAAAGAGCCAGGCTTAAAAAGCAGCAAAACCAGGGAGGCAAATGTTGCGGTTTAAGTCTAGACAAGTTAACTACCTACCAGAACAACAACAACAACAAAAGACAAAAATCCTCAGAGGAACAAAACAGATTCCAAAATATCTACAATATATTATCGACAAAGCTCAGTTTTCAGAACAACCTATGAAAATAACGAGCAAAAGATCTGAACAGACATATTAAAAAAGACAACACACAAATAGCCCAAAAGCACATGAAAAGACATTTAACATACTCAGTCATCAGAGAAATACAAATTAAAATCACAAGATTACTTTTATGCAGCCACAAAAAAATGGCTAAAATTAAAAACAATGACAATATCATGTGCTGACAAAGATGTATAGCACCTGGAACTCTCATAGATTGCTGTGGGAATGGGAAATGGTGCAGCTACTCTGGGAAAGTTGGGCAGTTTCTTACAAAATTAAGCATATGTTTACCATAGTACCTGATATGGTTTGGCTGTGTCCTCACCCAAATCTCATCTAGAATTGTAGTTCCCATAATCCCCAAGTGTCATGGGAGGGACCAGGTAGAGGTCATTGAATCATGGGGGCAGTTTCCCCCGTCCTGTTCTCATGATAGTGAATTAGTTCTCACGAGATCTGATGGTTTCATAAGGGGCTTCCCCCTTTATTGGGCACTCATTCTCTCCCCTGCTGCCCTGTGAAGAGGTGCCTTCCAACATGATTGTTAAGTTTCCTGAGGCTTCCCCAGCCATGCAGAACTGTGAGTCAATTAAGCCTCTTTCCTTTATAAATTACCCAGTCTTGGGTATTTCTTCATAGCAGTGTGAGAACAGATTAATACAGTACCCATCAATTCCACTCCTAGGTATATACCCAAGAGAAATAAAAACTTACATTCTCAGAATCTCTATAGAAATCTTAATATGGCTTTAGTAATAAAAACTGGAAGCAACCCAAATGTCCTTCAACTAGTGAATAAATTCATATATCCATACAATGGAATACTACTCATCCATAAAGAGGAACAAATTACTGATACACACAAAAACATAAGTGAATTTCAAAAGCATCGTTAAGTGAAAGAAGCCAGACCAAAAATTACATACAATATGATTCCATTTATATAAAGTTCTAGAAAAGGCAAAACAATAGCATCAGAAAGACAATACTTGCAGCCGGTCGTGGTGGCTCATGCCTGTAATCCCAGCACTTTGGGAGGCCAAGACAGGTGGATCACTAGGTGAGGAGATGGAGATCATCCTAGCTAACATGGTGAAACCCCGTCTCTACTAAAAATACAAAAAATTAGCCGGGCGTGGTGGCGGGTGCCTGTAGTCCCAGCTACTTGGGAGGCTAAGGCAGGAGAATGGCATGAACCCAGGATGCGGAGCTTGCAGTGAGCTGAGATCGTGCCACTGTACTCCAGCCTGGGTGACAGAGCAAGACTCTGTCTCAAAAAAAAAAAGAAAAGAAAGACAATACTTGCCTGGAGCTGGGATTGGGGATGGAAATTTATTGCAAAAGATGTATACATTATATATATGTGGGAACTTGGGAGGTGATGGGTATGTTCTGTTTCTTTATTTTAGTGGTGATTACACAATTGCATTCATTTGCTAAAATTCCCTGAATGATATACTTAAGAAGGATTAATTGTATTATATATAAGTTATGCCTTACAAAAGCTTCTACCAAAAATATATGCCCTTTTCCCAATCTCCTGAAGGCTTTAGAAGCCAGAACTCTTTGAACTGCAAGTGAAGGAAACTTACATTTATTGGCTTAATCAAAAAAGTCACCCATGGACTCCTGCAAGTGAAAATTCCAAATGTAGCTTGGGTATGACTGGATCCAGGGATTCAAAGAACCCACCAGGAATCTGTTCTCATTATCTCTTGTCTCTTCTTCATTTTTGAGGATTTCACTCCTAGGCAGCCTCTCCCTTCATGGTGGCAAGATGGCAGCTGGAAGCTCCTTCAAACGTTCTAGCAAAGGACCAAGGACTGATTATCGTTGAACCGTCTTAATCACAGTCACACTGTACACAGTGACACACAGTGGCCAGGGAGATGCAATATGCTGGTCGGCTAAAACAGGACGGTGTCAGCACCAAATCTCGTGTCTGTGTGGCAGGGAAAGGCATTTCCCCAAAGGAATATCATGGTGCCATGACCAGAAGAAGACAGAATTCATCTTGAGCAGGAGACAGTGGACATCCACACTGGTGTGTTCCGGTTGGGAAATGAAGAGCAATCTGAGCCTTTGTGACCACCTGCCCTATTCTAAGGATGTATCCTAAATGATCTATGGTTTGTGTGGCCCTTCCTACTGTACAGAATACCAGAAAGGTTTATCGCAGCCACAAACTACAAAGAGTTCCTATAAGGCACTTCTTAACTAATTTACAGGCAGCAAGCACAACATTCAGCAGTCTCTGACTCACTTCATTTATACAAACATTAACCTTGGAGAGCAAGCCGCTTGTGTAGTCCTTGACCCAGTTCAGCAGCCTGGGGTCACTTGATTTCCACTAACATTGAGCCTCCTCCCCTTGTGATTATGGTTTCCCCCACAGACCTGGAGGTCACGCTTACTCAGTATTGGGTAATCTCTCTCTCCCCCATGAAACAAGCCTACAGTTTATATTCTCTGAATCACACAGCCATTTGACCCATAGGAGTAATCAATTAAACAATAGGTTCTGTTCACCCAGTGTCATGGCTTGATTACTATTGTTTTCTGGAAATACAAGAATACTGCTAGATATTCAACACTTACTATATTATTTCACATTCACAGCAACGCCAAGATGTCTGCAAAGTCATCCATTCATTCAGGGTCACTTTTTTGGCCCTGCATAATCTGCCCACACCCTATACCCACTGCTCCTCTGACCTCAGCCCTACCACTCTCCCCTTCGCTCACTTTACTCTGATCCTATATGGCTTCTTGCCATCTTGCATTGACTGCGGGACAGGTGTAGAAAATGGCATAGAGATGAGTGGAATAAAGTCTGAAATACAGAGAATTGGGAGCTTATCATGAACATCTGTTTTTTGAGGTCTACTCTTTACCCATTTTCCCTTCTACTGATATCAGCACCTTCATTAGTATCTCTTGGAGGAAGCCTCCTTTTCTAGACCCTAAGTGAATGTGGTACATGGAGAGTTGGGAGCTGAACCCATCCCACAGTTCCATGGATGAAGAGCCAGACCCAGGCCACCTAATAAACCTCTTTCATCTCCCTGGACGCAGTGATTATTCCAAGTTAAAATATGAAATTTAAATCTGTGACTATACTTGCAAGTTTTTTTTAAGTTCCGGGGTACATGGGCAGGATGTGCAGGTTTGTTACATAGGTAAATGTGTGTCATGGTGGTTTGTTGCACCTATCAACCCATCACCTTAAGCCTGGCATGCATTAGGTATTTTTCCTGATGCTCTCCCTACCCACCACCCTCCTGCAACAGGGCCCAGTGTCTGTTGTTCCCCTCCATGTGTTCTCACTGTTCAACTCCCACCTATGAGTGAGAACATGCAGTGTTTGGTTTTCTGTTTCTGTGTTAGTTTGCCGAGGATAATAGCTTCCAGCTTCATCCATGTCCCTGCAAGGAACATGATCTTGTTCCTTTTTATGGCTGTATAGTATTCCATGGTGTTATATGTACACAGTTTTTTTAATCCAGTCTATCATTGATGGGCATTTGGGTTGATTCCATGTCTTTGCTATTGCAAATAGTGCTGCAGTGAACATAAGCATGCATGTATCTTTATAATAGAATGATTTATATTCCTTTGGGTATATACCCAGTAATGGGATTGCTGGATCAAATGGTATTTCTGGTTCTAACCTTTGAGAAATCACCACACTGTCTTCTACAATGGTTGAACTAATTGACATTCCCACAAACAGTGTAAAAGCTTTCCTATTTCTCCGCAACCTCGCCAGCATCTGATGTTTATAATCTTCTTAATAATCGCCATTCTAACTGGTGTGAGACAAAAACAAGCAACGGAAAAGGATTCCCTATTTAATAAATGGTGCTGGGAGAACTGGCTACCCATATGCAGAAGGTATTTAAAAAGCACTACAGTCATCCCTAGGTATCTGCATAAGATTGGCTCCAGGATCCAGAACTTGAAGGAAGCTCAAATCTCTTATATAAAATGATACAGTATTTGCATATACCTATTCATATCCTGCTGTGTAGTTTAAATAATCTCTAGACTACTTATAAGACCTAAAACGATGTAAATTTTATGTAAATAGTTGTTAGACAACATTGGTTTTTTAAATTTGTATTGTTTATTGTTGTATTGTTGTTTATGGTTGTATTATTTTTTATTGTTAAGTTTTCTAATATTTTCCATTCATGGTTGGTTGAATCCACAAATGCAGAACCTGGAGATAGGGAGGGATGACTGCATTATCATATAACTGAATTTTTAAGCTATAAGTATGATAGGGGTCACCACATTGACAGAGACTGTCTGGACTTCTGAGAAAAGTAGAGCCTAGAAATGAATAAAGACATATATGGGTCCCTGGATTCAGCTGTTTCTAAAACCCCAAGTATCCCTGGACTGTTAGACTTTCTGTTACATGCAACTGAAATAAGTGACTGAATAAGGGTCATATTCTGGGATCACCTTCCTAGATCTGAAATATGCATTTCTCATTTCCTGAGAAAGCAAACAGCATCATCAGAATGGAGGCCATCACACAGTCCAACAGCTGCCACATTGCTGACGCTCGTCTAGCACCCTGTATAATAAGATACCAAAATAATTAAAAGCCTGCTCTCCAATATACTCAAAAGAACAGAAAGCAAGGCTTCGAAGAGATATTTGAACACCCATGTTCACAGCAGTGTTATTCATAGAAGCTATAACATGGCAGCAACCCAAGTGTCCATCAACAGATGAATGAATGGATAAGCAAGATGTGGTCTACTCACATATAATGGAATAGTATTCAATCTTCAAAAGGAAGGAAATTCTGACACATGCTACATGGATGAGCCTTGAGGACAACATGCTATGCAAAGTAAGCCAGCCACAAAATAATAAATACTCTATGAATCTACCTACATGAGGAAAATCACAGAGGCAGAAAGCACCATGGTGGGTGCCTGGGACTGAAAGGAAAGAGGAATAGGGAGTTAGTGTTGAATGGGTACACAGTTTGAGTTTTGTAAGATGAAAACAGTCCTGGAGATGGATGGTAGTGATGGCTGCATAACAGTATGAATATATTTAATAACACTGAACTGTACACTTGAAAATGGTGACGATAGTAAGTTTTGTGATATTTTACCACAGTAAAAACTTCAGGAAAAAACAAATCTACCATCTAAAGACATTATTTTCCTCCAACAATCCTGACCTCTACCCTAGCAGACTCTTGAAGAAAGACATTGTTGAGCAGCAACATGGACGCAAGCTGTTTTCTCTCTGGGTTAGAGGTACGCATTAATGTACAGGTCAAAGAGCAAATCAAATTCATGCTAACTTTTCTAACTCATACATGATTTTATGCTTCCCAGAGTGGCTTTGCACCACCTTTGGTGAGGTCCACTTTGAGGAAGCAGGTGTTCACTTCTTTTTTTTTTTTTTTTTTTTTTTTTTTGAGACGGGGGTTTTGCTCTGTCGCCCAGGCTGAAGTGTAGTGGTGCGATCTCAGCTCACTGCAAGCTCCGCCTACCGGGTTCACGCCATTCTCCTGCCTCAGCCTCCCAAGTAGCTGGGACTACAGGTGCCCGCCACCACGCCCGGCTAATTTTTTATATATTTTTTTTTAGTAGAGACGGGGTTTCACCGTGTTAGCCAGGATGGTCTCGATCTCCTGACCTCGTGATCCATCAGCCTCGGCCTCCCAAAGTGCTGGGATTACAGGCGTGAAGGCGTTCACTTCTTTAAAACACCAGGTCTCGGTGGACTCACAGGGTTGCATCTGTCTATGTCTCCTCCCTTGATTTGAGGAAGTCATTTAGGCAGGATAGCACTATGGAAGCTGAGGAATGCTGAACACTCTCACCTTTTAGGGTGAGATTTATAAAGCACTTTGGCATATTAAAGGCTCTTAAGAAGTCCTGTGGTAATGAAATCTACCTACCTTTATTTAATTAAATTTCTTCCATATTTATTTGACACTCCAACCTCTCACTTTTCAAGGCCCATGCAGTCACATCCTGTGTGCCAAGAAATACATGAGAGAGAAGGCTGTTTTAGTGAACATCTGTCCAGTGATGCAAAACCCCAAGAGGCTGTATCAGAAGAGACAGTGTCAGGACAGACAGAATCAGGGGTGCCAGGGTCAAGCCCTAGCTCCCGCATAAGAGGCTGCCTGGCTCCTTCTGAAACTCAAGTTTCCTGCTCAATAACAAATATTTGTTGAGGACTCTCTATATGTGTCAGCTGCTGTTCCAGGTGCGAAAGATATAGCAAAATGTGTCGTGACAATGATTATTATGAAGAAAAACAAAGCAAGAAAACTGAAGCAGCATAAAAGGAGTTGGTCGTTCTCTCCAGGGTGATCAGGGAAGGCCGCTCTTACCAGGTGATATTTGAGCAGAAACCAGATTGAACTGAAAGCATGAGTCTTGTAGACATCTGGAGGAAGAGAAGGCCAGGCAGAGGGAACAGGAAGTACAAAGGCCCTAAAGCAAGACCATGTATGGCACATCTGAGAAACAGCAACAAGGCCAATATGGCTGGAGGGGAGATACCAAGGAAACAGAGAGTGATTAGGAGGTGAAGTCAGAAAGGTGGCCAGGGGCCAGATCTGGTGAGCTCTACTAGGTCATGATAAGGATTTCAGACGTTTTTCTAAGTGAGAGAAGATGACAGTGGAACAATGGATCAGAGGTCAGACATGATAGGTCTGGCTGCTGCGTGGAGAGCAGACTGTAATGAGCCAGGGTAGAACTAGGAGAGATTACACCACAAACCAGGCAAGAGATGCTGGTGGACTTGAGTAGTCACTGTAGAGGTCCTGAAAAGTCTGGATTAGGGACTGGATAGCCACAGTGGCTATAACAGTATCAGATAAAGTAGATTCTATAGCACATAATATTACCATGGACAAAGAAGTTAGTCTCATAGTGATAGAAGGTTCAATTAATCAATGTAATATAACCATCTTAAATTTTATATATCTAATAACAGAGCTTCAAAATGGATAGAGCAAAATCTGATAGAACTACAACAAAAAACAGACAAATCTCCAACAATAGTAGGATATGTCAAAACCCCCTCTCAATAATTGATATCAAAAAGTGGGAAAAGAATCAGCAAGGACTTAGCAGACTTGAACAAAACAATCAACCACCTTGACCAACTGACATTTATAGAATAATCCACTCAACAACAGCAGAATACATTTCTCAGTGTGCACAGAGCATTTATCAAGAGAAATTATCTCTACACCATAAAGCTAGTCTTAATAAATATAAAAGGAATTAAGTCATATAAAGTATGTTATCAGCCACAGTGGGATAAAAGTTAGAAATCAGTAATAGAAAGATATCTGGAAAATGCCCCCAAACATTGGAAAATCTGTAACACATTTCTAAAACCTATGGACCAAAGAAAAAAATCAAAAGCAAAATTAGAGAATATTGTGAACTGAATGAAAAATGAAAATACAACTTATGAGAACTTAGGGGAAAATTTATAGCACTAAATGTCTATAGGGGAGAAAAGAAAGGTCTACATCAGTGACTGCTTTCACCTTAATATATTAAAAAAGAGAAAATTAAAACCAAAGTAAGCAGACAAAAAGAAATCACAAATATGACAGCAAAAGCCAATGAAATATGAAAATATAATGCAAAATCTATGAAATCAAAAGTTGATTATTTGAGATCATTATTAAAATTGATAAAACTCTAGCCAGACTGATCAGGAACAAAAGAAAGAAGACAAAGAATCAATGCCAGAATAAGAAGGGTGACATCACTAGAGAGTCTAGACATATCAAAAGCATAATAGGGGAATATTATGAATGACTGCATGTCAAAGTTCACTCAAAATGACAGCCAACCATTCATCAAAGAATTGTGAAGATGAACAAGGGCCTGCCCTCACGGAGCTTACATTCCCAGGAAGAGAGAGCTAATAAGTTGCCAAACACATGTGTAACCAGAGGATTTTGGAGAGTGCTCATTCTGCGAAGGAAAGAAACCAGATGGGTGTCACAACGGGTCACTGAGAGACAGCACCATTACCTCATCGAGGGGAACACATCTGACCTAAGACCTGGGCGGGGAGAAGATGGAGCTGCTCTTGGGGTCAGAGAGAGCCTGTCAGAGAGAAGGACGTGTTCCAAGGCCTTGCAGTGAGAACAAGATTGGCCCATTCCAGAAAAGAAAGGAGGCCAGCATGGCCAGAAAGTATAGGAAAGGGATGAGAAGTGAGGGAAGAGGGTGGGCAAGAGAAGGCACACAGACCTCTTTCGGCCACTTAAGAATGTGTGTGTCATGGCGTCATTCACAATGCAATGGGAAGCCAACAGAGATTTTCATCAGGGGACTCATACAATCTGTTTAATGAATTAAATAGAGGGCCTGGCTGTGGTGTGGAGAATAGATGACAATGACACGGGAGTGGAACAGGGAGACCAGGCAGGAGGCCAGGACAGGCGGTCTGGCAGGAGATGGTGGTGGCTGGGCTCGGGTGCTGGCAGTGGAGACGGAGTGAATGGTTGAACTCTGGGTATATTTTGGAGATTACAGATCCTAGGACTTGCTGATGGGCTGAATATGATGCTTGAAAATGGAGAGGCATCCGGGGTAACTCCTCTATTTTTATTCCGAGCAGCAGGGTGATGATGGTGCCATTTGCTGATACAGGAAAGACTGGCGGAAGATTCTGTCAACACAAAGAATGGGACTTGAAGAACCTCCTGAACCCTGGAATTACCAAAATCTTAGTAAACCCTTTACAAATCAGGTTTTCAAAAACGAATGCCTCTGGCAGAGTTAATTAACAGGAATTCCACTGAATAAGAGGCTTGTTCTCAGAGTTACAAATGATGCCCTTTGAACTTGGACTCACATCAGAATCATTAAGCATTCAGCCCACGGATGAGGAATAGAAAGTTTCATTGATTGGCAACAGAACAAGAATGAATTCCTGCTGAAAATGCAAGTGGTCCCTGGCCAAGTGACTGTCTAACAGCTGATCACTTGAGATGTGCTTGCTAGAGTGCCACTGAGGAAGGTCTGTGTGTCTTGTGTGAGATGTGACAGCCAACAGCACTATCCCTAAAATTGGTGATGGCCGCCCAACAGAGACCAGAGTTATCTGCACCCTAACCCTGACCCTAATTCTTCACACAGTTGTTCCTCACCACAGAAAGCTGAGACTTGGGAGATGTGAATTCTTAGGTCAGTTCAGCCCTGCCTAGCTGGATATCATAAATAAACTCTCTCCAAACCAGGGTAAGAACAATATAAATAACCTGGGAAGAGTCACCCCATACCTCAGTTTCCCTGAGAGTGTGACCTTAATTAGATGATCGACAATGTTTCCATCCAAATCAGATGCACTCTGTGAGCTTTCAGCTGCCGAAGCACAGCGGATGGAGACTTGAGATGGGGATGGCAATGCTGACGCCAATAGGAGCCGAGCGTGCATGTGGGGGAAGCAGGCCTGGCTGGGGATGGGCACAGTGTGGAGATCTGCAGAGTTTCGGGGTGGTGGATGAGTGTGTGGACTCTGGAGTCAAGTGGCCTCTGGGGAGGTGCTGTTATCCCCATGTTGCAAGTGGGGACACTGAGGCTCAGAGACATCCAGGGACTTGCCCCAGGTCCCACAGCCAATAAGTGGCAAAGCAGATATTTGAAGCCAGGTTGGCCTGGCTCTAGGACCCAATGTTCCTAACTCTGTGCTTTAGAGGAGCTTTGCCATCTGTGGTCCCTGATATGCCACCTCCTAGATTTCCCTGCTCAGCCTGGCCAAGACAAGAACAGGACCTGACGTCCCCATCCAGGAAGAAGCTGACTCAGCTTCTACCTCTGCTCCCTTCTGCCTTTGTCATGTGGAAACAGCCAGGGATGGCATCAATCAATATCTCTCGAACACACGTCCTCCTTCCTCTCCCAGTGATGCCCCTCACTGCAGCCATTGTCAAGAATGGATGTCCGCCCCAGGTGACTTAGAAGGCCACAGACCAACAACAAGGCAGCCAAAGTTCCCAGGAAGGCCCCAGGAACAGTAGAAGTAGCCAGAAGAGGTGCCAGCAGGTGGCTTTAATGAGTCTTTCTGCTGTCTGGAGTCTTCGAAAGCATTTGTGTTTTGTGTGTTGGTTCGTTTTGCTTTTGGAAATTTATCCTATTGCAGTGTTTTATGGGAAATGTTTTTAATGCTTAAACAGTTTTTGAAAGGCAATACCCTTGAACAACATGGGTTTGGACTGTGCAGTTCCACTTATACATGGATTTGTGGGATGCAAAGCCCGTGTATGAGGAAGGCCGACTCTTTGTATATGTGGGTTCCCCAGGGTCTACTTTGGGACTTGAGTGTGCACAGATTTTGGTATCATGGTGGTGTCCTGGGATCAATCCCTCAAGGATACCAGGGACAGCTGGACATATATCCCATTAATTAGATAATCAACAATGTTTCCATCCAAATCAGATACACTCTGATTTTTTTTAAAAAATCCCAAAAAGAGTAAAAAAAGATCTCAAAAAGAGTAAACAGTAAGGCTCGTATTGATAATATCATATCTCTTAGCTTGGTTTTAAAGGTATGGCATGCATATTTATTTACTGGTATTTTTTTTTCAGGATAATCTCCCCAGATTCACATCCTTAACCTAATGACAGCTGCAAAGCCCTATTTGCCATGTGAGGAAACATATCCACAGGTTCTAGGAATTCACATGTGGGCATCTTTGGAGGGCCACTATTCTCCCTACCACAATGGATATAAGGTTTTGCCCACAGCGTGATTTGGTTATTTTCAAATGATCCATCTGGTAAAGAAGGTGTCTTTAGATAATGATGAATAAACAACATCCACTGAATATCTACCATGTGCCAGGCAATGTTTTAAGCACTTACTTATATTAACTTGTTTAATCCTCACAACCAGTGTGTGAGGTGGGCACCATCATTGACTCCATATTACAGATGAGATGCACCTGAATTGAGTGGATGGTGCAGTGTTGGCGAGTGAGTTCATGGAAGTGCTGGATTTGAGTCCTAGCTATCTGCCAGCAGACTCTGTGGCCCCCCAGGAGGTTTATGGTACAAAAAACCGAATGATCACCCCTGGAGCCAACAGAATCTGCCAGCCAGTGCTGCTTCCTACTGAAGCTTCCTGATGCTTTACATTTGGGAAATTCAGATGGATGGCATCGTCCCTGGGAGATGGCGCCTCTTAAGGACAGCAGCCTCTGTTTAACTCTGACATGCAACCAACTCTGTGCAGCAGTCTGTCACCACCTTGCAAGGAAACTATGTGCGGATTCAGCCACACCTTGCAGAGCAAAGACCTGACACCCTGTCCTTCATTCTTAAAGGTCAGAGGAACAGCAAGGTTGGGGCCAGCTGATACATGGCATGTGGAAAACAGGGGCAGCTCCACCATGCCCAGATGCAACCCACCTCCCTGCAGAAGCAATCCTGGCTTGTTGTGGCTGCTTTTCATGGGGGAATTCTTAACAGCCCACAAGACACAGTCACAGAAGTCTGATGTGGTTGTAAAATCACAGAGTAGAGGCATAGTCCCCCAAGGAAAGTAGACTGTGTTCAGCCGCCTTTGGTTTCTTGCTGCCTGGACAGGTAGAAATTTACTCTATCTGCAAGCTCCCCTCTCCTGCAAAGAGTGTGGGACCTTACAACCATCACCTGTGCAAAGTGGACATTTTCCAGAATCAAAGGTGGTTCTGGAGAAAATGCAAAGGTGGGCAAGTCTGCCCCAACCCCTCTCTTGGTCTTTTCTAAATACTCTCTTGCCTTGTCTGTCTCAGAAAAGAATCCAGCAGCTTCTTCAGCTGAGTCTAATTATAGAAAGACACAATACCTTCATCCCAGGAGTTCAGCTTGGTCTTTAATCGTGGCAGAGAATCTTTCCTCCTTCATTAAAAAAATTTCACAAAAAAGTAGGAGAATTGTGTTCCTGGCAAAAAAGCTTTCCTGAAATCCCCGATGGCAAGAACTGAGCCTCCTTCATCAGGTGCTGGCACACAGGCCCTTGGTCAAGGTATGGGAGGAATGACTGGCAAACAACCCTTTAAATCTCAGCAGCATTTCACAGGTTACCAAGCCCTGTGGGACTCCCAGTTAAACACAGTGGGCTGGAAACTTGATTCATCTTTTCCCCCGCTCAGGATCTCATTAAAGTGAGACTAACAGAATGAAAAAGTCAAAAATTCTCAACACAAAGGGGCCATCAGTGACAAAAGAGATCAGTCTTTTCTGGAACAATGGCGGTAACTGATGAAGTGAGTAGGGATGCCTGTTATAGAATATGAACAACAAATTAATATTAAGTAGAAGCATTGGATTCTACGAGCAAATATAAATGTGATAAAACTTGGTGTAAATACATCTATTAGATATATAGGTTATAAACAATTAATAAATACCTAGGCAGAAGTCTCATGGTGCTGTTTATTCATCTGTCAGGGAAGAGAATTAATCAATAGCAGCGCTGTCCAACAGATCTTTCCTCACTGCTAGAAGATTCTATATCTGTGCTGCCAGATGTGGTAACCACTAGCTCCATGTGGACACTGAGCACTTGAAATGTGGCATGTGCAATTGAGAAACTGAATTTTTAATTTTATTTAATATTAATTTTAATAGCCACATGAAGCTAATGGCTACCATATTGGATAGCTTCAGGTTCTAAACTAAAATTAAATTGTGGCATCTGAAAGAGCGGATGTAACTATAATGGTAGTAGTGATGGTAGTAATAGTAATAATAAAAATAAAGTGGATGTAACTGTAATGGTAGTAGTGATGGTAGTAATAGTAATAATAAAAATAATGACTCTAATCACTGACTTGTTTTTACCATAAACCTTTTCCCTTTAATCATAGTAAGATGATTTTTGTTTACTGTTTTGTTGTTGCTATTGTTGTCTGGGTTTGGTTTGGTTTTGGTTGTGGGGTGGAAAATCTGAGACAGGTTCTTGCTTTGTCACCCAAGCTGGAGTGCAATGGCATGATAATGGCTCACTGCAGCCTCGACCTCCTGGGTGCAAGCAATCCTCCCACCTCAGCCTCTCGAGTAGCTGGGATTACAGGCATGTGTCACCATGTATGGCCAATTTTTAAATGTTTGTAGAGATAGGAGTCTCACTATGTTTCCCAGGCTGGTCTCAAATTCCTGCGCTCAAGCAGTCCTCCTGCCTCAGCCTCCCAAAGTGTTAGGATTACAGGCGTGAGCCACTGTGCCCAGCCAGCAAGGTGATTTTTAAAAAACCAGTATTCCTTGTAGTGATTAATGGTTTTTTGAAGTTCAGAAACTTCATATTAGATTATTTGTCTTCTCTTAAATGTAAGTAAAAGGAAGGACCTAGCCCTTAATAAAGAAAAAACCCAGCACACAGAATATGCTCCCATTTTCGTGAAGTATGAAGTTCGCCGGCCACTTGCGTGTCCAGCCACAGTCATCTCTCTGCCCATACGTGGACTTTGACTCCATACATGGAACAATAATTTTCCAGTATTACTGCTGGCTCTATCGGGGGTGCTGAGATTCTGATTTTTCCATATATTGTTTAAAAATGTTATAATGAGCATGCATCATCTTAAATAAAAATAATAAAGCCTATTAAGATTTTGGCTGAAGCAGGTTGTCAGGTGCCAGGGGTCACGGGCTGCGCTGAGCGCTGGCTCGGGCTGCAGGAAGGAGCCTTTATTTGCTCACACTCAGGGAAATCGGGAATCCCTGGAAATCGCAGGGCCTGAGGACGCAGCCAGTCAGGCCGGGCAGGGGCTCCAGGAGCCTCCGCCGGGGAGGGGAGGGCGCGCGGCCTGTACAAGCCGGTCTGCGGCGCCATCTAGCGGGTGCGCCAGGACCATCGCCCACGAGGTCCTTCCCCGGAGGAGAGGCGGATGCCAATCAAAATGCCATCGCGACCCCTTGTCAAAGTAAAGCCATTTAGAGAAAGACTTGCTGGGCTCTGCAATCAGCTATGCAAAGGGAAAACAAGCGTTTAGGAACATTCCCTCGCTGTTTGTCTCAGGCGGGGCTGATGTGCAGCTGGAGGGCCCTGGGAAGGGGAGAGGCTGTAATAATTATTTACAAGGTGCATCTATTCCGATTGGCCAGTGGCCACACCACCCTGCTATTAAATATGTTGAATTTCATCACTATCTTAAGTATTTCACCTTCAAACAAAAATAAGAAACAAACTCTTAACATTTATCATACATGTATTATGTGACAAGCAGTGTGCAAATACTGCTTCACTTCATCCTCATGATAACAAGGTTATTCTGGCTTCTGGTAGGAATTATATTACACTTTTTACAGGATAGGTAAGGGGGACTGTGTTGAAGGTCACACAGCTTTAAGCCAGGCTGGAATTGAACGACAGCAGCTTGATTTTCTTAAGCACATGCATCTCACATCTCCCCAGCTGTGGAGAAGGGGCCCTTTCCTGATCAGTACAGAGGCTGGCAAAGTGACTCGCTAGCAAGAACTCTGGTTTACCAAACATAAATATCAGGCTTGCAGCGGGCAACCCAACATCAAAGTGCTCAGAGACAGCCTGCATATTCACAACCCCCAAACTGTGATACATAATCTAGTTCGCTGTCAACAGTGACTTGTTTTTTTAAAAGAAAATTATTGTCTCAGAACACAGGTTCCTAAGGCCGGGTGTGGTGGTTCACGCCTGTAATCCCAGCACTTTGGGAGGCCGAGGGGGGCAGATCACCTGAGGTCAGGAGTTCAAGACCAGCCTGGCCAACATGGTGAAACCCCGTCTCTACTAAAAATACAAAAATTAGCTGGGCATGGTGGCGCACACCTATAATCCCAGCTACTCAAGAGGCTGGGGCAGAAGAATTGCTTGAATTCAGGAGGCGGAGGTTGTGGTGAGCCAAGATCGCACCACTGCACTCCAGCCTGGGCAACAGAGTGAGACTCTGTCTCGAAAAAAAAAAAAATACAGCTTCCTGATTATTTTACTACCTTTAAGGGGTTGTAAAATAGGACCATAAAATCCCTTGCATAATCACTCTCAATTTGGGGATTTGGGGCTCACCCAACAAGCAGGACAATTCCAGGGCAGTATTTTCTGACGGATGTGCTGCATGACAGCCATCCTTGTGAGACAGGTCATAGATATTAATGATATTGACAGAGTCTTTAAAAATTTGTCATGTCTCATCCCTGCCGCTGAAGCCCCTGGAATTCCACTACTTTGTTGCTCTGACTGACAACCACCCATTTCTTTCCCGAACTTGCTTAGCTGGGTCTATTTTTCCCTTTCGCCTTCAGAAATTATACATCAGCAAAGGTTTTCCCAAATAGAGGCAGGTCAACTGAACCAAACATCTTAATGGGCTTTTCCCTTCCTTTCCACTGAGCTGACTCCAGTTCACTCTCCAAGAGCAGTCCCTGTAATATTGTTATGTTTTTAATGTAAGTTAGGAAACGGCATAACAGCTAAATCCAGTTATGGGGCCACTGTGGCAAGGGGTTTACTAAATGGCCTCCCTGGCACTATGTGCTGGAATAACAGTGTGGGTAGTTGGCTTGCAGCGCCAGGAGAGCCACAAGTAGGGTGCCCACTCTGCACCAAGTGCTACGGCGGCATTTACAAAGCACATGGCTTTCAGCTCAGCCGACAAAGACGGTTACTTGTGGCCATTTGTAAAGTGCACCCAGTGGACAGGCATTCTCCTTGACAATTTAAAATTAGTCCTTTCAGCTGTGAGAGGGTAGGATCAATCAGGTGAAATGGTGCGTATATAACTGAGGTTATGGCTGTTTGCAGAACACCTTGCTCATTCTGTTATATTAGAGAACCTAAGAGACAGAAACCTTCAGTCTATTCTAGATACCAACTGCCAAATGTTTTGTGTCTTCCTCAACGGTAATTATACTGACAAACTTGTAGTTTTGTGGGAAGGGGGAGAAACACAGACCTTCCAGGTAGGCTATGACATCAGGGTGACACAAAAATAATTCTCAGGCCAGGCACAGTGGCTCGCTCCTGTAATCCCAGCACTTTGGAAGGCCAAAGTGTGAGAATCACTCGAGCCCAGGAGTTAGAGAACAGCCTGGGCAACATAGTGAGACTTTGTCTCTACAAAAAAATAAATAAAAATCAGCCGGGTGTTGTGGCATATGCCAGTAGCCCCAGCTCCTCAGGAACCTGAAGTGGGAAGATCACTTGAGCCTTGGAGGTTAAGGCTGCAGTGAGCTATGAACATACTGCTGCACTCCAGCCTGAGTGGCAGAGCAAGACTCTGTCTCAAAAACAAAAACAAAAACAAAACAAAAAGAAAAGAAAAAGAAAAAATAAAATAACATTCAAAGACAGTAAAAGTTCTGTCCTGTCCTGATTAGCAGAGTCCAGTCAACACGACTGAGTGTGAGTATTGTGTAGCTGAGTGAATGGCTGGAGATTTAGCAGCCTGGCAGAGTCATCATCTGGAACTCCAGTTCTCACTGCACACGCGAAGGTGCAGTGACTGGGCTGCCCCGGATCTAAGTGGTTAATGGCACTCATGTAGCCCCCCGCCTGCCTCTTATACCTATAGTGAGCTAGTGTCCCCCTAAAATTCATGTTCACTGACAACCTCAGGATGTGACCTCATTTGGAAATAGAATTTTTGCACATCATTAGTTTAAATGAGGTCATACTGGATTAGGGTGAGCCCTCAATGCAAGGACTGGTGTCCTTATAAGGGGAGGACACAGAGACACAGACACACACACACAGCTTATGTGATGACAAAGGGAGAGATGAGGGCAAGGTGGCCACAGGCTAAGGAACGCCTGGAGCCAGCGGAAGCTGGAAGAGGCAGGGAAGACTCCTTCCCTGGAGGCGTCAGAGGGAGCACCTCCCTGCTAACACCTTGATTTCAGACTTCTGGCCTCCAGAGCTGTGAGAAAATAAATTCCTATTGTTTTAAGCCACCTAGTTTGGGGTAATTTGTTACTGCAGCCCTAGAAAACTAATATAGCACCCAAAACAGACATTGTTTACTGATTGGCATCATTTTTCCTGCCTAACATAGCGCTGCAGCAGACGACCATTTGGCACATGATGTAAAACCCACTTCCCACCCCCAAACCAGATGGAGCTTTACAGGATGCATCCTAGTTGGGGGTCGGGGAGTGGAGGAGAGACAGAGAGAAAGAGAGAGAGAGAGGAGAAAAGAAAAGAAATGGAAGCAACCTAAATATTCGTCAATAGGGAAATGGTTTAAAAAAAAAAAAACTATGGAATAACCTACTGCAGAATATAACAGTTTTTAGATAATAATTAAGCTCTATTCATATTAGCACAAAAGGGCTCCAAAGCATGTTGTTGACTGTAAAGAATATTACACTCAACATAATGCCATTTGTTTTAAAATGCAACCACACATAAAGCCGTACCAAGGATTTTCTGCAGCCCCACATACATTTGTTTGGTTTTGTTACAGACAGGGTCTCGCTCTGCGGCCCAGGCTGGAGTGTGGTGGCACAA
This sequence comes from Homo sapiens, assembly GCF_000001405.40. Taxonomy (NCBI): domain Eukaryota; kingdom Metazoa; phylum Chordata; class Mammalia; order Primates; family Hominidae; genus Homo; species Homo sapiens. The sequence continues at coordinate 125,529,981 of NC_000012.12, read as the reverse complement.
TCACAGCTCACTGCAGCCTTGAACTCCTGCGGCCCCATATATATATGAGAATGTAGATACATAGAAAGATAACGTTCTGGCTAAAAGAAATAAAATGATACACAATCATTCATTTGGGTGAGGCAGCAGGAATTAGTGAGCAGCCAACGGGCACTTATCTGTGATGTTTTAGGAAGATGTATTCAAGCACTGTTTAGATTTTAAAGTTTTACACAAAACAAAAGACGAAAGACAAGACATAGACTGCTCCAGAAGCCTTCAAACCTTTCTAAAATGCCCTCCTACTTATGGCTTCCCAAAGCTGGGACAGACCCCAAGGGCCCATGTGGCACCTGCTGGCCCTTCCTTGGGGTAAAGCACCCCTACTCAGCACTGGAGACTCCACAGACAGAGGCTACCCCCGTCTGAATCCCAGCGACCAGCAAAGTGAGTGAGCACAGGACACACAGAGGTGGGAAGGCAGAGAAAGGCTCTCTTGACAGGAAGGAGAGCTTTGCAAGAGTCAAGTCCCTGTTGGCCTTTGGGGCCACCAGGCAGAATCATTCAAAGAAAATAAAAGGCCTCCTGGGTACTTAATAAGTTTCAGGCCGGGCACAGTGGCTCATGCCTGCAATCCTAACAATTTTGGAGGCTAAAGTGGAAGGATTGCTTGAGCCCAGGAGTTTGAGACCAGCCTGAGCAACATGGTGAGACCTCATCTCTACAAAAAATTAAAAAGTAAAAAGTAAAAACTTAACCAGGCATGGTGGCATGCCTGTGGTCCCAGCTACTTGGGAGGCTAAGGCAGGAGGATCACTTGAGCCTGGGAGACTGAGGCTGCAGTGAGCTGTGATTGTGCCACTGCACTCCAAAATGGGCAACAGAGTGAGGCTTTATCTCAAAAGAAGAAGGAAGAGGAAGGAGGAGAAGGAAGAAGAAACAAGGAGGAAAAAGGAAGAAGGAGGAGGGAGGAAGAAGGAGGGGGAAGAAAGGAGAAGAAGGAAGGAGAAAGGAGGAGGGGGAGGAAGAAAGAAAGAGGGGGGAAGAAAGGAGCAATAATAACAGAAATAAAGTACACAATTAATGTAACACACCTGAATCATCCTGAAACCATCCCCTCATCCTGGTCCATGGAAAAATTGTTTTCCATGAAACCAATCCCTGGTGCCAAAAATGGTTGGAGACTGCTGATATATAGCACATATAACATGCAAAACATGTGTTGATTAACTATGTTGTCAGTAAGGCTTCTAGTCAACAGTAGTCTATTAGTAGTTAAGTTTTCAGTCAGTCAAAAGTTATACTGAGATTTTTGACTGTAGAGGGGTCAGTGCCCCTAATGCCTGCATTGTTCAAAGGTCAACTGTTTATGTTTCTTGCATTCATCAGTCCCCTCCCCTAGCATGACAGCATGAGAGTTGAGGCCTTGTCTGCCTAATTCATCGCCATTCACCAGAACAGTGCTCGGCACAGAAGAGGCATACAAACGCTGTCTGGAATAAAGAAGTATTTGTGTCCAGGCCTTGTTGTAAGGTTTCAGGCCAATACGACTAAAAAGGAATCTGATGATCTCTCATTGTAGCCTGTGCTGAGCCCATGTGCCCAGTTGCCTAGAAACTCACAAGTGTGCTCATTTTTTTATTCCAATCTTTTTGAAAGATAATGTGGTTTTTATCTGCATGTGCAGAGCCAGGCTTTTTAGTTTTAAGAACAGTCGTTGAAGGGTGGACTGCAGCCCTCAACACCAAGCCACCCACGGAAATAAAGCTCTAAGCTCAAAGCTCAGTAATTGGGCAGAAAACCTAAAGAAGGGACACCATTGAAGGAAAAAGGCAAATTTGTGCCTTCAGAGGAAAAAAAAAAAGAAATAGACACATTTGTTAGCATTTCTTAGCCACGGAGAGGGGGCAAAAAGACGATACAGATGTAGAAGATAATGCAGAAAGCACCACTGTCACCCTGGGTGGCAGCATCCCTCTCCTTAGACCACCCTTTTCAAGAAGCGGTTTTTGAAGCTTTTGACCATCTGTGCTGCTCTGCTAGAAATGGAAATCTTAGACATAAATGGTTTCCAAGGCCTAATAGTTTCAACTTCAAAACTTTCATCCATTCCATTTTCTCTCTTTTCATTCACTAAAAAATTATGAATCCAGCACATAGTGATGCTAAGTAAATGTTTGCTATTCACCGTTTGGGTGGCTGGGTTGGATGGGTGGATGGAAAAGTAGATGCGTAGATGGAAGGTGGATTGGTGGATGGAAGGGTGAATGGGTGGATGGAAGGGTGGATGGGTGGATGGAAGGGTGGCTGGGTGGTTGGAAGGGTGAATGGGTAAATGGAAGGGTAAATGGGTGGATGGGTGGATGGAAGGGTGGATGGGTAGATGGAAGGGTGGATGGGTGGATAGAAGGGTAAACGGGTGGATGGAAGGGTGGATGGGTGGATGGAAGGGTGGATGGGTGGTTGGAAGGGTGGATGGGTGCATGGAAAGGTAAATGGGTGGATGGGTGGTTGGAAGGGTGGATGGGTGGATGGAAGGGTGGATGGGTGGATGGAAGGGTAAATAGGTGGATGGAAGGGTGAATGGGTGGATGGAAGGCTGGATGGGTGGATGGGTGGATGGAAGAGTGGAGGGTGGATGGAAGGGTGGATGGGTGGATGGAAGGGTGGATGGGTGGATGGGTGGATGGAAGAGTGGAGGGTGGATGGAAGGGTGGATGGGTGGATAGAAGGGTAAACGGGTGGATGGAAGGGTGGATGGGTGGATGGAAGGGTGGATGGGTGGATGGATGGATGGAAGGGTGGATGGGTGGATGGATGGATGGAAGGGTGGATGGGTGGATGGGTGGATGGGTGGATAGAAGGGTAAATGGGTGGATGGAAGTGTGGATGGGTGGATGGAAGGGTGGATGGGTGGATGGGTGGATAGAAGGGTAAATGGGTGGATGGAAGGGTGGATGGGTGGATGGAAGGGTGGATGGGTGGATGGAAGGGTAAATGATTGGATAGAAGGGTGGATGGGTGGTTGGAAGGGTAAATGGGTGGATAGAAGGGTGGTGGATGGGTGGATGGAAGGGTAAATGGGTGGATGGAAGGGTGGATGGGTAGATGGAAGGGTAGATGGGTGGTTGGATGGGTGGATGGCTGGATGAATGGAAGGAAGGAAGAATGAATGAGTGAGCACCTCCCCACAGCCGCCTCCCTCTGCCAGCCTGCCTGCTTGGCTACTACCTCAGCCCCCACCCTGGTGTCCATGACTGGGTCTCTCCCACTTCCTATCAGGCATTCTCCCAAAAGCTGTGTGTTTATCTTCATGAAGTAGAGGCTGACTTGCTACCCAAAATGTCAACAGCAACCAACACAATCCAGGATCACACACCTGTGGCAGCAAAGTCCTAAATCATAAGTCTGGGGTTGAATCCCAGGACAGCAGCACCTTCTCAGAGGGCACCAGGGGCACTGCGTGGGCAATTCCATGAGTGCAGATGCTTCAACTGCCCAGTCCATGGCTGTCACAGGTAAGATTACAAGGCCAGACCCTCATTCCCCCAGCATCTGTGTATGCCACCCAGTTTTAACCAATGGGAAGGAAGGTGCCACGGCCAACTGGGGCCTGTAGGAATAAGTCTCCTCTCCAGGGAGAAATGAGGGATGGCACAGTGGATGGCATCCCTGCCCCTTCCTTCCTGATAGTGACAACCCCTGTGCGAGGAGCCCAGCAGGCCTAGGAAGGTGATGGGAGGCTAAGAAGAGCCTTCAGTTGAAACCCTCCAAGCTGCAGCTAAGAGCTAGCCAGAGGGGATTTACAGTGGGCAGTTTTACTGTGTCACAAGGCAGGAGGCCCAGAGGAGGGAGGCTGGTAACGGGGTAGCTGGGCAGCCTGTGACACTGGCGAGGACACAGCCTCCCACCCTGTCTCTGCTCTGCCATCCCAGAGTGTGTGCAGCTCCTCTCACAGTGACACCTCCCACTCCTTACACAGTCACGCTCAGGGACAGAAAGCAGGAATAGCCCTGTGCTTCAATCCTTTTTAACGACAAGTTATTATTTCTCCAGACCCCTCACCCAACTAGGCAACTTCCCCCAGGGTGCAATAATCACAAGGGAAGGGGATGAACAAATCGTGATGGTTTAGGCCAATCCAGATGCCACCCTGGGACTGTGGAGGGGTCCAACCTTACCCAGTGGACCAAAGGATGTGGCCACTCAGTGGGCAAAGATCATAACCGAGGCCCTTTTAGCAAGAAAGCTGGGAAGGAAGCAGGAGGCAGGAGTGGCCGTTGGCTAAGAGAACACCACTGGCCACCACCCCACCTGCAGAGTATACCACAGGTCCTTCTTCTTCTGTCCAGCTACAACAAAATACCTGAGATTGGGTCATTTATAAAGAACAGAAATTTACTTCCTCACAGTTCTGGATGCTGGAAGGCCAAGACAGAGACCCTAGCAAGGTCAGTGTCTGCTGAAGATCTGGTCTCTTTGCTTCCAAGATGGTGCCTTGTTGCTGCGTCTTCCAGGGAGGACGAAACACCATGTCCTCGCATGGCGGAAGGGACAGGCACAGGGGCCTAAGCCAGCTTCCTCCAACCCTTTTATAAGGAAGCCATCCATTTGTGAGGGCAGAGCCCTCATGGCTAATCACTTTCCAAAAGGCCTCACCTGGTAACACCACCACAAGGGGGATTGAGTTTCCTCGTGAATTTTGGAGAGGACACATTCAAACCACAACATACAGAACTGCAATGAATACTTGTGGATTCATACATTCTTTGTGATCCGTAATAAATGATCCAAACCAATGAATAAAGGGTAACTCCAGAACAAAGATCAGACATCCTAGCCTAGTATGCAAGCCTACTAGAGTGTTCTGCTGCCCCCTTCTCTGTTCCCCTTATCACCTCCCCTCAGCCCAAACACCAGCCCCACCAAGCCACCTGCAGCCCTCTAAGCGCCCATGCTCTTGCTCCTACTCATTACACACATCATTCCATCTGCCTAGAACACCTTCCTTCTTTCCACTTGGCTAATGTCCATTCACCTTCAAGAATGAGATAGCACATTCCTTCCTCCCCTTTCTTCCCTGACCCTCTCAAACAGTAGGAGCTCTCCATGAGCTCCCAGACCCTCTGTGATTCTGTCTCTCTCTCTTCACCCATATTGTGCCCACCCTAAACCCTTTGGCTGTGTCTGACTCAGCAAATCAGCCTCCTTTCCTCCTCCTTTTCTCCAAGAGGAGAACCTACCATCATCCATCCTGAGGTTGAACTTCTGTTTTACCTTCTCCCAAAGTTTGACAACTACACCTATAGATGGCTAGATAACACAATGACAATGATGAAAATTATAACAGCTCAACATTATTGAGTGCATGCAGTATGCCAGGCCAATGGGCAAACACTTTACCTTAGTATATCATTTAATCCTCACAAAACTATCAGGCAGGGAATGTGATTTTTACAGTTTACAGATAAATAATTGGAGCTTCAGAAAGATTGAGTGACTTGCCCAATATCATGAAGCTAGTAACTGGAGTTCAAATTTCAAACTAGGCAGGTTGACCCAATAGCCCTCACTCTTGACCAAAATATCTCACTGCCACCTACCTCGAAGGTAATCATAATTGAAATTTTCCCAGGCAAATCAATAGGATAACGAAACTGGCTGGATAGAGAGGATTGTTAATCCCACACGCCAGCTGAATCTGATCCAGTGCCCTATCTGGGACATTTTCCCTTTACATACATGACTTTTATATTTGCTTTGATAGTTTAAGCATGTTCATATTTTTTATGGCTCAGTTTATCCATCTGACACCACTGTGAAGTAGACAGAAGAGGTACTCTTGCTTGTAAACTCACACATGAGCTACTAAAGCAAAGGGAGGTTAGGTGACCAGCCTGAGGCTACGTGGAGAATGAGAGGCCAGCTGGGCTTTGACTTCGGGTCTCCTCCTCCCAGTCCCAGGATTAGAGGACAGTGATGTGAAATTGTGACCAGAGCCCACCCAGCCCCTGTCCTGTGGCTGTCCACATCCCCCCTGGGGATGAGGATGCCTGTGAAAACTAAGAGACTCATGTTCCTTGGTGCTCTGGAAGCTCTGCTCTGGGGTCCTCTGGAAGAGCCAAGCACAATGAAAGTGCATCCCCGATGAGGAGAGAGTAGTATCCCTAGGATCTTGGAGCTGTCAGAGGTGCTAGAGTGACATGGAGGCCAAGAGAGCTCCCAAGGCAGCAGCCTGGGAGGCATTAAGCTGTAAGCTGGTGCAGGCAGCAGCCTGGGGCTACAACACAATGACAGAGCAGATCATGCGAGAAGAGATGGAGAGCCCTGAGCACCCAGTTTGAGGAAGCTCCAACTAGAGAGAGCTGGAATCCTGCATAAGCAAGTGTGGTAGGAAAATAACAGCCCCCTCCAGAGATGTCCACGTCCTAATCCCAGAACCTGTGAATATGTTACTTGGCATGGCCAAAGGAATCTCTGCAAGTGTGATGAAGTTAGGGATCTTGAGATGGGGAGATTATCCTGAATTATCTCGGTGGGCCCCATGTCATCACAAGGGTCCTTAAAAGGGAAGAGAAAGCAGGAGACTCAGAGAAGGTGATACAATGATGGAAGCAGAGATGAGAGTCACGTGGACCCACGAGCCAAGGAAAGCTGATGGCCTCTAGAAGCTGGAAACGGTACAGAATAAATTCTCCCCTAGAGCTTCCAGAAGGAACCAGCCCTCCTGACAACTTTGCTTTAGCCCAGGGAACCTACTTAAGACTTCTGACCTCCAGAACTCTAAGAGAATAAATCTGTAGGTTTTTAAAGTCATTGAGTTTATGGTAATTTGTTAGCGCAGCACAGGAAAATTAATAATATGGCAAGCAAGAGCTCTCTAGCCAATGGACTCAGGCTCTGATGGTAGGCATAACCATTTGTTCATTTGCTGAGCAAATACTATATATTCGGCACCATGCTGAAAAAACATCCAGCAAGCAAAACAAGCATGGCTCCTCTCATCAGGGAGCTTGAAATCCAGTGTGGAAGACCTGCAGTATGCTTGTTATCGATTCATGGCCTCTCAGCTCCAAGTTCACCCCTCATTACCTGCTCTGTGAAAATAGATCTGAGCCCTATTTTAATATTTTTGCTTTTCCAATGGGCACGATATTAGGCTTTGTCAGTAGAACATACTGGAGAGACAGTTTGGGAGGAAAGGGTTGACTTTCTGATGCTGAGGCCCTCTCTCTGCAGCTCCTGCCATGCACAGACCTTCTCCAGCATTGGTGGCTTCCTCGGTGTCCCACTCCTACAGTTCATGGTGGCCAGCAGCACCTCACAGCTGGCAGCTTTCCCCAAGGTCCACCTTCAGTAGTTTGGTAGCAAGTGCATCACTTGTGAACAGCTGTCCCTAGCACTACAGAGGACAGATTCCCATCAAGCTCTACTCGAGTGCTGCATCAGCAACTTGTCTGCCATTCAGTAAGCTGTGACCATAACCTCTCAAGAAATGTTGCTTTGGGGGGATAGGCAGGGAAACCTCTTCTTTCAGCATTATAGTTCAGCCCTCAGGCTAGCAGCTGCTCCCTGTATCTGCCATTCCTATACTCTTTAGAGTTCTCTTCACTTCTAACTAACCAATCCCTCACTATCCCAGTCCTCTGTGATAGTTAACAATTCTCTATTTTAAACTTTCCGTGTTCACATTCTTTCTTATGGCTGGACCTAGACTGAGACAGACAGGACACAAACACTCATAAATAAGCATGGATCACAGACTGTGATGGGATCTGCACAAGACAAGGACAAATAAGTGAAAATAGAAAGGGGGAGACTAATTTAGCCAGAGTAACCAGGAGAAGCCTCTCCACGAGTTGACCTTCAAATGAAAAGTGACAAGAAATCAGCCATAATGGAGCATTCTGGGCCGAGGGAGCCAAAAGGAGACCTGAGAGGAACGAGACTTGGCATGGCCACGTTCTGAATATGCAAGCTTCTGAGGGACAGGCTGGATTTGGTTCACAGGAGTCACATCATGCAATAAAACAAGCAAGATAATGGCACTGGCTGGAGCCCGTCACCCTCAAATCCAGTTCCTGGCCCTCCTCTGATCAGTTCTGGATCATAGCAGTGTTGAGCCCTGAAGATGCTGCTTCCTAAGCTTATGCCTCAGCCAGCAGAATGAGATTAAGTGAAAGACTTTGCAGGATCTGGCAGGAGGAGGGAGGCAGAAGCCAGGTAATTCCTCACCCCGCTCCCAGCCCTGCCTCAGGTAGCATCCTTCGCAACAGTTGAATCTCTCCCACACTCCAGCCCTAACCAGGCTGCTCAAATGTGATTCTAGCTGCAGCAGTGACCCCCAGGTCCTGGGCTCTGGTAATAACCCCTCCACCCTCACCCTCTGGCCTGGGGGTAGTAGCAGATTCCCACTCTTACTAGGGTGCCCAGCTCTCTTCTGTTCTACATCTGCTTCTCATCTGTTTCATTCCCTGTGTACTTAAGTCCTTGCATTTAAAGCTGCTCTGTTCTAACTACAGAGGGATTTCTGCTTCACATCAGACTCTGAAAATAGTGAGCCCATTTTTTGTACATTATGTAGCTATGTACCCTAGTGCCCTTACTTCATGCAGGGGCAGTCCAGCATTAATTGCCACTGATCTTTCCATGACTTGCTTTGGAATAAGGAAAAGGAGAAGGGGAAGGGGAAGAGGAAGGAGGAGAAGAAGGAGAAGGAGAAAGAAGGAGAAGGAGAATGAGAAAGAGAAGGAGGGGAAGTGAAGGAAGAGGAAGAGAAGGAGGAAGGAGAAGGTGGAAGTAGAGGAGGTGGCAGCAGTGGTAGCTTCCAAACCCACAGTGAATGCAGTGCTACAGATAAAGCATAGAGCAAAGTGGTAAGGACATTGAGTAGAGATTTCCCAACCTCAGCCTGACCTAGCTGAGCTGGAGAATTTATAGATGGGTTCCCAGGCACAAGGGATGCAGTTTCATTCCACCTTAAAACCCACACCCATCCATCTCTGTTCCCTAACAGGTACTTCCCCGTCTAGATTGGCTGCCTTCAAACCACAATGTGGGTCAATGATGATAGGAATGATCTCCGTCAGTCTAATCTTCAAAAACTAAATGACCCTGGAAGCTTGGACTAAAGCACAGATCCATTCATTCATTCAACAAACATTAACTGTGCCAGCCATTGTGCTAGGTGCAGGGGTGAAAGATGTGGACACAACTGACCAGGATAACCCTACTGTCATGAATCCCACCTTCTGGGGAGGAAGACAGAAAATGAACCCTAAATATCAACCAGTGATAATGTCTAGGAAGAAGATAAAACAGGATGATGACAGGTAGAGGGTGATGAGCTGGCAGGGGAGGGAGGGCCAATTTTAGCCAACAAGGTCAGAGAAGGTGACTCCCTAACAGTTGAGGTGGGGAAAAGGACCCAGACGTGGGAGATGTAGGGAAAGTGTGTTCCAGCAGAGAGACACATTCAACGCACTTGAGACACTCGAGATTCGGGGATGGCAGAATTAATTCTAAGATATAGGGTTCAAAGGAGTCTCAACTTTGTTGTTTAACTTGCATGATGAATGATCAAAAGCACCCACAGATTTTTCTAGAGTATCTGGACATGGATCCCACACTTTGGTACCAGACAGGAAAGTCAAGGCAGTGCAGAAAATGGTTGAACATTTCCAGTGTGGAAAAGGGTATTAAGCAGGTAGTACCCATGGACTTACTGTCTCCGTGGAATCTCTGGAATTTAGGCTCTGGAATCTCACCCATGACCCTGATCTCAGATGTAGCCCCTGAGCTTGACTATGAACGTAACTTCAACCAAGCCCAGGAGAAGAAATCCAATCACCTCCAGGCCAGTGAAGCAGAAACACAGACAGTTTTGTGGACTCTGGGGCTCTACCCAGCTTAAAGTGGTCAGTTCCCAGCAAGGCTCTTTCAGTCCATCTGCATTTTAGAGTTTTCCAATCCATAAGTTACCTGGGAGACTTAAGGGCAAAGCCAATTGACAAGGGGTCAGTTACTTGGCATATAGAGCCACTGTTCCCAACGTGTAACCCTGATGCATTTCAACAAAACTGTTTTCACTCAGCGCAGCACTCAGTCCTGATATGCACGCAGATTGAGAAAATAAAGAATAAGGGCTCCCCAGGAAACAGTTCCGCAATATCCACAAATGAAAAGGGATTTACATGGTAGACCTTAAATAGTTCCCAAGGAGCCATTATGAAAAGCAGGTAGATCAAATGCAATTTAAGTATATTTTCCTTGTTTAAACAGTGTATCAGGTATGTGGAAAATAACAGATTATACAGTGCATCATGTTTAAAGAAAACTTCTTTGTGACACTTCCTCTGAAACCCCCAGATTCCTCACCATGGCAAGAGGGACGATGCCCACGAAGGTTGTCTGGCTGACGAAGATCTCGGAGACGACCAGCTCACTCATGGAGTCCTCAATCGGGTACTCCACCTGCCAGGTAATCTGCTGGGCCCCAGCCAGGTCACTGCTATTATCAATTCCAAAGTCCACTTGCAAGATCTCATAGAAGGATCCATTTACCCTGGAAAACAAACACATATTAAGGTTCCATTTAAAACCTCAGACTCAGCAAAATGTCAAGAATGTAATAAATTGCCACATTCTTATTTGTCAACCAAAAGAATGACTGCCAAGTTCAACAACTCACACGGCAGTGTTGTCGGAGCCTAATTCACAGCTGCCCATCAGCAGCCCACACCTCAGAATAGGCTGACGATCCGTCTCTAGGGCTCCGTGTTGCAGAAAGCAGGCTGTCTTTCACTGGATGAGTAACTCGGTCAGCATTTCACCTCTTCGCATGCCACGCACAGCTCTCCCCTCCCCAGCCCAGGCACGGGCATGCCACAGTCCAAGTTCCACACTCAGGAAAGGCCCCCAAGCCATTTCATGTAGCTTCACTGCTCTTCCAATCACAAAGCACACCCTGGACCTTGGCCATTCCTGCTTCTACTTAGCTGAGGTCTGTAGACCAGTTGTTAAAACTCTCCAAGCTTTAGAATTTGCAGAGAATAGTGGGGACCTCATGGGTGTGTGGAAGCATCAGGAGACTGAGAGTGAGAAAGAACTTCACACACTACGTGGTTTACTACATAAACTACGAGCAACATAAGAAGATACTACACTGGACTTCTCATTTCACCAAATGGGATTAGAAGTAATGTAAAAAAATCCCACCTGCCTTAATTCATGGAATGACAAGATCATATGTGTGTTTGCAGGTGGGGGGGCTATGAAGTTGGTGAATTCTTCATAACTGAAAAAGACTAGTGTGATTATGGTATTTGTATGTGCAGGGAGCCCCTTGTCATTGACATGGACTTGTAAATTGCAGGCTATCGCATTGACAGGGAAGTCACTGAACAGAGTTAAAACAGAAAGCCATGCAGCACAGGATTGTGAATGACCCTGATCCATCAGCCTGTTTCCATCCCAGTGAATCCAGCTCCACCCAGATACAAGGAAGGCAACAGCAGAGCAGCTGATCCGCAAGCTCCCCCAAGGCCTGAGCCACACACACCAGCAGCTCCTTCTCTGCCAATGAGCCTCCTAGGACCAATGTAGGCTGAGAAGTCTCCTTCCTGCCTCTGGGGGCCTAGGCAAGGTCTGCAGTCTGGGCTCCCAAACTCACAACCTGTGTGGAGTTTTGAAAAAGAAACTGCTGCCTGCTGCTTGTGTAATGGACTCTCCTACCACGGACAGCTCCCCTGCACTGGAGCTCCTACAAGAACAGTGGTGGGGAAACCACATCTGCTTCCTTGTATATGCCAAGAGGTATCAGAGGAACACTGGAATACAGCCACAGCACTGACAACACGAAATCACACTGACCTGATTGGTAAGAAATTCTACCCAAAGGGAAACCACATTGTACTCCACATAGAATAGGTCATGGGCAACCTTTTTCCTATTTAGCCAAGATTTTAAGGAACTCTCTGATACCACAGTGCCCAATATTGTGGCCACCAGCCACAAATGGCCATTTACGTGCAAATTAAAATAATTTAAAAATAAATCAAATTTAAATTCAGTTCTTCAGTCACACTATCCTAATTTCAAATGCTCACCAGCCACATGTGGCCCTTGGTGACATGTTGCACAGGGCAGGTAGACAACTGCTGACCTGCTTTGTACCCTGGGAAAGACATTCATGCCCATTCCGCCATCAGCTTCCTTGTCTGAAAAATGAGTGAATAACAATAATATTGGTCTTTCTACTTTCAGTAGAATTATGGGGATGGAATGAGGGAATGGGTGTGTACTCACTTCATGTACCATCCAGTAATATGAATTCATACTGTGATGATCTCAAAATCATAGGAGACACACAGCTGTGGAAAAGTTTAGGGGCTCCCGTGGGCAAACATAGCCAGGTGGTCCCAGCTGACCCTAAGCTGCACATAGGTACTTGGGATCTATAAATCTTCAAATATCCATTGGTACAAGTTGTTTTGCAAGAAAATATGTGTTGGGCCGGGCGTGGTGGCTCACGCCTGTAATCCCAGCACTTTGGGAGGCCGAGGCGGGTGGATCACGAGGTCAGGAGATCAAGACCATCCTGGCTAACATAGTGAAACCCCGTCTCTACTAAAAATGCAAAAAAAAAAAAAAAAAAAAAAAAAAAAAAAAAAAAAATCAGCAGGGCATGGTGGCGGGCGCCTGTAGTCCCAGCTACTCAGGAGGCTGAGGCAGGAGAATGGGGTGAACCCAGGAGGTGGAGCTTGCAGTGAGCTGAGATCACACCGCTGCACTCCAGCCTGGGTGAAAGTGCGAAACTGTCTCAAAAAAAAAAAAAGAGAGAGAGAGAAAATGTGTGTTGAATAGCAGTTTCTGAACTCATGAGAGGACTGAAAGTGTGCACACATGGGACCCCCCTTCCCATCAGGGGACCCCTATTTACCTGGGTATCTTTAGTGAAAGGCAAAGAAATAGATGAAGGGCTGAGCTTTCAGCTCAGTTTTCAGCTAGAGTCACCCCACCTGCACCCCTGCCATTTCCCATCAACCATATTCCAGCCTAATTTCTCTTCACTAGTCACAGAAATTCTCCACGAATCCATCTGTTAAGTCACCTCCTACGAGAGATGCTTGGTCCTGTCAGACCAAATTTTCAATTTCTCTTTGGGCCGCACTGTGCTTTGTAACCAGAACTAGGAAGCTGCTTCCAAAACCTCCCGGGTTCTCAGCATTCCGTAGACCTCAGAGAAGCTAATGCCAGGGAAGCGAAGATCCAGTGAGAGGAGAAATGAGCTCTTCCACCAGCCATTTCATCCTGCTAGATTCATACTCTGGTCCTGGGGTAAAGAAAGAGAAGTGGCCAGTCTTTAGGCAAAGAGGGTAGGTCTGCATAAGATGATCAGCCCTTCTGACTGTGGGCACGTCCTGCTCCTCTCCAATTTCCCAGCTTGTGAGCTGGACCAGCTGCAGGAACCTGCCCAAGTCCAGCAATGAATGGAATAACAATTAAGGCAGAGCTTCTTTTATGTACAGGTTTTTTTTAAAGTCATTTCTCTCAATCCAGAGGAAAGAGGTCTTATACTTTTAGGCAATGGGCATGCTTGCTAATGAGTCCATTTCTACAAAAATGAGTTCATAACTGGTAATTTGACCTGCTCCTGATCTAGTCTTGATAAGCCTTTCAAATATCAAGAAGTGTTTCATGATTCTCTCAGTTTAATAATTACAACCGCCTTTCAGGAATCAGGATCGGTGTTTCAGCCATGAGACATTCATTAGGCAATTTTTCCTGCAGTGGGGAAGGAGGCATGTGAGAGTGCGATAGTGTATGTGAGTGTGTGTGTGAGAATGTGATAGTGTGTGAGTGTGTGTGTGAGATTGCGATAGTGTGTGTGTGATAGTGTGTGTTAGTGTGTGTGAGATAGCGTGAGAGTGTGTGTGAGTATATGTGAGAGAATGCGTGAATGTGGGGGTGTGAGAGTGTGTGGGAGTGCATAGGAGTCTGGGAGAAAGGAGAATGTGTGCATGTGTGTGTGTCGGCACAAGAGAGAATGTGCAGCTCTGTGTGTGACAGAGAAATAGGATATGTACATGTGTTTGTGTGTGTAAATGTGTGCGTGAGAATGTCTATGAGTGTGTGTGACAGGGAGAATGTGTGGAGGTGTGTGTGTGACAGAATGTGTGAATGTGTTGATAGAATGTGTATTTGTGTGAATGTGAAAGAGATGTGCAAATGTGTGTGAGAATGTGTGAATATGTGTGAGAATGTGTGTGAATGTGTGTGAGAACGTGTGAATGTGTTGTGTGAGTGTGGGAGGGAATGTGTGTGAGTGTGAGAAAGAATGTGTGAAGGGGGTGTGAATGTGTCAATGTGTGTGACTAAATGTGTGAATATGTGTTGTATGAGTGTGTGTGAGAGGGAATGTGTGTGTGTGAGTGTGGGAGACAGACTGAATGAATGTGTGTGAGCGTGAGAATGTGTGAAGGGGTGTGAGCGAATGTGTCAATGTATGTGTGTGAGTGTGACAATGTGTGAATGTGTTTCTGTGAGGGAATGTGTGAATGTGTGTATGTGTGAGAGTGTGTGAGCAAATGTTTGAATGTATTTGTGAGAGAATGTGTGAAAGAGGTGTGAGTGAATGTGTCAATGTGTGTGTGAGTGTGACAGAATGTGTTGTTTCTGTAAGAGAACATGTGAATAGTGTGTATGAGTGTGTGAGAGAATTTGTGTGTGAGTGAATGTATGAATGTGTGTGTGTGAGAATGCATGTGTGTGAGAGAATGTGTGAACGTGTGTGTTTGAGTGTGCATGAGAGAGAATGCGTGTGTGAGTGTGGGAGAGAATGTGCGAACATATGTGTTTGTGTGAGTGTGTCTGCGTGTGTTAGGAGGAATCCGCCATGGAGTGGCGACACTGCTTGGCTGTTTCTCCCTCAAGCTAGAGCACACACCTTCCTTCCAAAAGGACTTGCCTCCCAGAAGCCCTGTTTGTCATGGAAACCTCCCCTTCCGTAAAAGCTAAGCCTCCTCTCTGGAGCCCTGGGACCCCTGAGGAGGGGCTGAGGCACCTTTTAGTGCACAGTGTGGCTGCAGCTCAGTCGTGCCAGCCAGGAGGAGGAGGAGGAGGAGAAGACACAGGGCAGCAGAGAGGGACAGGGCACCTAACCCAGCAGTGTGTCCCCAGGACCACATGCGGCTGTTCCTCAGTGCATCGCTCATGATCACAAGAGTGACTGCTTCACAGGACCAGGGAAGGGAGGGAGGGATCAGAAAGGTGGGAGGGAGGAAGAAATGAAGAAGAGTGGGCAAGTTCGAAAGCTTGAACTGTTCTCCAGCAAGTTGTGTCATTTACATAGATTATTTTTTGCAAACGTCTGGATGGTTCTGAGCTACCAGGCAGAGATGGTAACACTTTCCCCACATGGGAATTCTAAAAATGGGACAAGAGAAGCTGTCTCTGGTCTCAGGTATCTGTTTTTTCTTATGAGACTTTTTCTAGGCATTAATTTTTAAGATGACCAAAAAGCAAGGTAAACTACTGAGTGATGATTACACTGAACAAATGTCCCAAGATAGGATTTGCTGGTGCCTCTCAGGAGATACAATGGGAGACGGGGACCTCTGACTCCTCCTCTCGACCATGACCTCCATGAGGACACAGACGTGCCTGTACTACTGCTGCCCTGACTGTAGTGCTGACACAGTGCCTGAAAAACTGTAGGAGTTCAATGAGTATTTGTTTAATTCTTTGAACATACTTAAAAGACCCAATAGGATACCCTGTAAAACTCGTTGGGGGTGGGGGGCGTGTGGCGTTTGCATTCTGGGAGACAAGAAGCGACCAGCCAGCAGAGCCTTGAGCCGTATTCTCCTTCCAGGCCGTAAGTCTGTTTATATACTCTGCTTAGAGAAGACACGTCTGTCTTCACTACTGGACCACAGTAAGTTCCTCAAAAGCCAAAACCTATTATAACACCATAGTCACTGCAGTTCCTGGCACATTATTCACTAATATTTATTTGGCACCCCCTGTGGTGTGCTGGGCACTGAGATTCATTAGTAGACAAAACAGATGAGACTCCTGTCTTACTAGTCAGGAAAATAAAAGACCACATAATGACAAATGCTATCATGAACACGAAGTGGAAGAATGAAAGTTGTTTTAAGAATTAAACAAAATTCTTCAATTTTTAAAAATTAAAAAAATACAATTTAAAAATGGTCACCTTAAATTTCAAAATAGAATATAAATTACAACAGAAGACAGTGGAAGGGCGTTCTGGAGTAAGAAGCTGGCATCTGAGCTGAGACCTGAAGGGCGAGTAGAAACCAAGCAGATCCTCAACAAGTGTTTGCTGAATGAATAAGTCTATTTTAAGCTAAAAAATTCATAGGAAAACTGTATCCCAAACCATCAGCATGAACACAAGGTGCTAAACAAAAAAGAGCATCCTTCAAGTCTTTGTTTGAAGGCTGCCAGCTCAGTAAAGCCTCCTCTGACCACCCCAGTTAAAATTCTGTTCTCATCTCCACAATTCCAACCCCCTTATCCGGCTCTAGCTTTTCCATGGCTTTTATCTTCTAACATACTGTTATTTATTGATAATGTTGATACTCTCTCGCACACGCACGCTCTCGCTGTCTCTCACACGCACACACGCACACAGGCACACGCACACGCACATACAAGTATGTAAGTGCCTGTTTTGCTCACGAATGTATCCCCCACACTTAGAAGGCTGTCTGGGACATAGGAGATGCTCATTAGACATCTGTTGAATGAATGAATGAATGAAGAGTGTTAAACACAGTTTGAGCGGGTCTCAGAGGAGCATGTGCCGAGTGCAGCAGAGCCCCTGAGCTGCAGGTGAGTGAAGGAGACAGACCTGCGTAGGCAGGCAGGCCAGGGAAGGCTCCCGGGGAGGCTGGGCTGTGGCTGAGCTTTGAGGACTGGGCTAGATGACAGGCAGCTGCCACAGCCCCACTGCGTGGGGTCCCCTCATCACCCCCGTTTCCCCTCCTGACATCCTTCCCACTCCCTGAGTCCCCACCAACACTGATGTCCTGGAGAGGAGAGGGCACATTCCTGCTCACGGATCCCTTCAACAGACTAGAGGTCTTTAGTTCGTCTCTCTGCCTCTCATACAACCTTTTTTTTCATCAGGATCTAATGGCTGGCTCTCAGAATGGAGCATAAACAAACCATCTACTTCTGCAGTTTCATAGGATCCAGGCACCACCTCCTCATTTCCGTTTTGTCAAGGGCAGTTCTGCTTTCTCTGAGTATGCTCTGAAAAGACCAGGCAGGCAGCGGTTGGCAGTCAAAGGTCTACAGGCTACAAATACTTAAGGTCCACTAGTCTAAATCAGGGACTTATCTTTTAGGACTCAAAACATTCTCTCATTACTCGTTAGATTTTCTGACTTCCCATCATCAAATTGCTACACAGAACTTTAAAAAAAATCTAGGACTGTGCCAACTGGGCATACTCTAAGAAATTGGGTTCCTTTACAGCATTTCTGGCTGATGGGGAAAATTAAATCGAAATCCCAGAGGTTGCAGCTTCATATAACTGAGCTGCTCACAGCCAGAGCCATACTTTGCTTAATCATTCCCACTATCATGTTTTACAAAATTCGAATCAGCTGGCGATATTTTTAAATATGGAGAATCTATACCCCCCAAAATAGTAATTCTGCCTTCTCTGGAGAAGGTTAGGCAACACTATTCCACATTCCCATGTGGTAATAACCAGCTGGGGCAGAACACTGTCCCCTTTATTAGGGTTGAAACTTTCCAATAGGCCTGAGCCACTTTACTCACTTATCATGTCCCCCAAGTCCCTGCGGACATTTGTGATTTCTGAGAAAACACACTTGGTTTTGAGCTCCCTAGTAGGCACCTTTTGCACTGTGTTTCCAGCTCACCAGTGATTCCTCATTCTGCTGAGAATTCACGTACCTATTTCCACTCTTACCCTTGTCCATAGGGCGGGACATGGCATGACCTTATGAGACCCAATCTCTAGCCATGGGCTGGACTTGGTGGTGAACCCTCACCTCAACTGGATGAGGGACACTTCCTAGGAATGTGATTTCCAGCTAGGAAATTTGGAATTTGGGATGCTTTTTCTTTTCTTTTTTTTTTTTTTTTTGAGATAGAGTCTTGCTCTGTCGCCCAGGCTGGAGTGCAATGGTGCGATCTCGGCTCACTGCAAGCTCCGCCTCCCGGGTTCACGCCATTCTCCTGCCTCAGCCTCCCAAGTAGCTGGGACTACAGGCGCCCGCCACCACACCCGGCTAATTTTTTGTATTTTTAGTAGAGACGGGGTTTCACCATGTTAGCCAGGATGCTCTCGATCTCCTAACCTCGTGATCCGCCCACCTCGGCCTCCCAAAAAGCGCTGGGATTACAGGCGTGAGCCACCGTGCCCGGCCTGGGATGCTTTTTCAAGCAGAGATGTGAACTCTAACCAGCTGTGCAGTTATCTCTTCTACCAAGCAGACTAAGAACTGAAAAAAGAGATGAGAGTGAAAAGGACAGGGTAGAAGTTAGAATAAATATTTCCAGAGTTTCTGGTAAATTTCTACTTCCTGGTTGCAGTTCCTGGAACCGACTACAATGCTTTCCTTGGGTTCCATGAAACACCTTCGTATCCTTATGGTTCATCCCCCCCAAAAGGTGAAAGCAACCCAATTTTCTATCAAGCAATGAATGGATCAACAAAATGTGGTATTTCTATACAATAGAATATTATTTTGCCATAAAAAGAATTACTGAGAAATGCTGCAATACAAATGAACCTTAAAAGCATAATGCTAAGTGAAAGAAGCCAGTCACAAGAGAGGATATATGACTCCATTGACAGGAAATGTCCAAAGTAGGTCAATCCATAAAGACAAAAAGTAGAATCGTGGTTGCCAAGGACTGGGGTAAGTGGGGGAATGGGAAGTGACTGCTACTGGATGCAGTTTCTTTGAGTGTGACAAAAATATTCTGAAATTACATAATGCAATGATTCCATGACTTTCTGAATATACTAAAAACGACTGAATTGTTCACTTTAAAAAGATGAATTACATGGCATGCTCATTATAACTCAATTGTTTTTAAATAGAAGGAAATGAGAGTAAAAATCAAGTTGCACATGTATATGAATGGTATAATACTTTTTATAAAAATTAGAAACATATGCAATAATTATTTCTATAGTTTATATTAAAAACTGCAAAAAAACATGCATGGTAATGATAATGCCTACCTCAGAGAAGGGAGAGAAATAATGAGGTACTGAGGGCTCCAATTATATCTGTAAAATATATTTCTTTTAAAATTTGAAGAAAATAAAGCCAAATAGCAAGAGTTAATAAAGCTGGGGGTAGGTGAATGAGTATTTGTTATATTATTTTCTATACATTTCTCTAATCAAGAAATATTTTACGTAAACATAGAAGATCACCATCTTCAACTCTCTCTTGTTTGGTTTCTTCTGCTTTTGTTTAAATCTCAAATATATTTTTCCCTTGTAAATACTCCAAAACCTCTCCATCTGACTCCTAAGTCAGCACATAATCAGTCGGCCAACCCATTGCCCCACTTCCCAAACACAGGAAAAGGATGTTAGAGTCTTCTTATTTTTCTGTTTTTAAAATGTGTAAAGTACTTTGCAGACTGGCATGAGTGGTCCTATTTTTGCTTACCAACATTTTCTCAGAGCTGAAAACAATAAATCTTGATAATGAGCAAACACTTGAGGCACCTCCACTTTCTCGGCTGCCAAACCCATGACAATTTCTCACACTACAGCTCACCCTTACTTCCAGCTTATCTGATTTTATCAGCATCACCGTGACAAGCCCAGAGACAGCTAAGACAATTGCCACAATTTTTTCCCCACTGCCTCTATCTTTCTGACAACATCCAAAACCCTTCTAGCAAATGATGACTCAGAAATCATCTTACACCACGTTCTTAAATACAACTTTTCAGAATCGTCTCTGTTTCTTTCTATTACCAACCTGGAGGAAAACGCTTGTTACATAAAAAATGGACAATGGATTTCTCAGTGAAAACCATTTCTATTCAGGTCTCCTTAAAGAGAAGAGGCAAACCCATGCTGACAGACATGAGAAATCGAATGACAGACTCCAGACTCCAGACTCCAGACACGGAGGATGCAGGACTGAACCTTGTTACTGTCCTCTGATTCCCGAGGCAAACATTCGCAGCTTCACCTCAGATTGGAACTGGGGGTCTGATTTTGATTCATAACATAATGTTAACTTTTGAATAGATAATCCATTCCTAAGATGTAAAATTCAAAAAGTATAAAAGAATAGTCTTCCTTCTACTGCTACCTCCCGAGACTCCCAAATCCACTCCCCGCAGCCAACCCAAGTTATTCTTTTCCTTATTAGCCCTGCAGAGATATTCGATGCACCTACAGGCATGAAAAAGTGTGATGCTCTGCCCCACTTTTACACAAATGTGCACATTATACACTCCATTCTGCATCTAGAACATTTGATCTCCAGTCCAAAGGGAAAAGAGAGGCCTAGTTGTTCTCCTCATTAACTATGGAATGCCCTGGCCTGGAAGCAATCACCAGTCACATGGCCCCATCTGACCACAGGACCAGCAAGGATAATCCTCCTGCATGCGCAGAGAAGTGGTGAACGGTACCCATAACTAGAGCGCCAGGAAGCCCCGGCCCAGGCAGGTTACACAGCTATGAAGTGGAGCGTCCAGGACCCACCACACCTCTGATACCACAGTTCATGCTGGAGAAAGACTGAATGTAACACTTGTGCATTCATACATGCACATTTACTGAGTGACCACTAGGTCCCCAGCCCTGTGCCTGTTATATATCCACAGGGGGAAAGTGAAGAGCAGAGTCACACACAGAAAACTCTAATTACTGGCTGGGTGTGATGGCTCACACCTGTAATCCCAGCATGTTGAGAGGCCGAGGCGGGAGGGTCACTTAAGGCCAGGAGTTCCAGACCAGCCTGGGCAACATGGTGAAACCCCGTCTCTACCAAAACTACAAAAATTAGCCAGGCGTGGTGGTGCACACCTGTAATCCCAGCTACTCCGGAGACTGAGGCAGGAGAATCACTTGAACTGAACCTGGGAGGTAGAGGTTGCAGTGAGCCAAGATCATACCACTGCACTCCAGGCTGGGCGACAGAGTGAGACTCTGTCTCTAAAAAAAAAAAAAAAGAAAGAAAGAAAGAAAAAAAAAGAAAACTCTAATTACTTTTCAAACAGTCTGCTTCTGAGTGGAAACTTTTCTTCTGTCATGTTGCACAGGATTACTCTGCATCTCTACTGGGAAGGGCCTCATTAAGTGGGGATCCTCTACATGCCTAATAGGCAAGTTGACTCCATCAAGTAGAAGCATCTGCTAATGAGACCATGGTCCTGGAGTCATGCCATATGCACGCTGGTTAGCTAGATTTTCCCAGGTGGCCATGGAGGGCTCCTATAAGTCCAACACCCTGAAAGCCACTCTGGTTACCAGGGGCTAGTTGGCAGCTGCAACTGCAATCAGTGCCAATTTTTTCCCAGACCTGGTGTCTTCCCTGCTGAGGTACAGGAGCAGCATCACGCACAAAGGATTACACTGGGCTCTCCATTAAGGGAACTGTAACAATGAGATGACCAGGGCTTTGTTCGTGGCTGACCTACAAAGATCAGGCCCA
Source organism: Homo sapiens (assembly GCF_000001405.40). Classification (NCBI taxonomy): domain Eukaryota; kingdom Metazoa; phylum Chordata; class Mammalia; order Primates; family Hominidae; genus Homo; species Homo sapiens. Next base: position 125,508,298 of record NC_000012.12, on the reverse strand, counting down.
AGATGAACTTCCTGCAGAACACTAGATCAGAAGAGTGCTCACATTCACCTAGAGCAAAATGTAAAGGCCGCAGATATTTGATTGTACTTACTAGGAGAATTTACTACTCTCAAAGGATGGAGTTAGAAGGTGCAAAGATCATGAAGTTTATTGCAGTCTTCCCCATTAAAGGCAACTCCAACCATCCTTCCAGTTACTCTGGTCAAAATCTTGGTCGTCCTTAACTCTTCTCTTTCCTTAATAGTGCACGTGTAATGTGTCCAGGAAGCCTGCTGGTTCTACCTTAAAAATATGTAATTTTTAAATACCTCACTCTAACTGCATCTACTGTTTCTGCCCTAGGCCAAGTCACCATCGTCTCTTGCCGGGGCGACTGCAATAACCTCCTACCTGATCTCTCTGTGTCCACTCTCACCACCACTCCCACACTCTCTTCTCTCCACACAGCAGCCAGAGTGCTTGTGTTAGAACTTAAGTCACATACTCTTCTCTCTTCTTTTCAAAACCTTGAGGAATTCTCATCTCAGTCACATAAAAGGCAAAGTCCTTACAAGAATCTATACCCGGCCCCTTAGCTCTATGGCCAGATACCTCCCTAAACACTTGTCCCCCACTCTCTCCCTGCTCATTCTGCCTGAGCCACAACGGCACCTTTACTGTTCCCCCAGCTCCAGCCATGCTGCTGCCTCAGGGCCTTTGCACTAGCTCATGCCTCTACCTGGGCCACTCCTCCCTATGACAGCTATACCATCCTTGGCCTCGCCTTCAGGACTAAACTCAACAGCTGTCTTCTCAGTGGTGTCTTCTTTGATAAGCCTGCTGAAAGACCCATCTCCTACACTAGAGCGATCCCTATCACCTTCCTTGCTGTTTCTCAACAGCACCATCAAACATACTCTATTTTATTTATTACCTTTCTTTGGGCTATTTCTGTCCACTAGATTGTAAGCCCAGTGAGGGCAAGGGTTTTGTCTGCATGTTCCTATATTACCCCCCAGTGCCTAGGAAAGTACCATAGTAGGCACTTCATAAACATATCATGGATGGATGAATGAATGAATGCATGCATAATCTGTGAACCTCAAAGTAAAGACACTTCAACATGACACCCCTTTGGCTTTCCTAGATTGTCATGTTTTCATCCTTGTGTCTGAGGTCTTATTCGTGTCCAACCCTGCCTAGGTCTAGACAGGCACCACTCATCTCCCAGTCTTCCAATTTCAATATTCATCTATGGGCTTCTGCATTACCTTCCATAGGAGCATGAGGAAATTTCTGTTTGGCAATTTTCCTGCAAAGGAGTTTCCCTCTGCCCTGCAGAAGTTTGGAATGGCAAAGCCATGATATGCTGGAATCTCAAAAACACAAACGTAATATTTGAATCCTAACTTATTGGGCACTCAGTGCTTCTGAAGCAACAATCTTCTCTTTATTGAACACCTTAAAATATGAAGTACTAGCATACAAGAAAGATATAAGACCCAATCCCTGTCCATGCAAACAGTTATACCTTAGCTTATCAAGTTTAGGCTGGCATGAGACCCAGAAGGGTATTGAAGCTATATGTTCATCATGTTGATGTCAGAGATGACTTCTATCTCTCAAACCTTTTTTGTGCATTAAGCTGGTTAGTATTTGATAAAGTATTTTGATAAAGTATTTTTTTCAAAAATTATGTCCCACTTAAGAGAGTTGCATGGAAAGAGCCATAAGTTACATAGAAATATAATTTTTTTTTACTTTTAACTCCATTATAAAATTTAATATTAAAAACAACTATAATTTACATGGGATAAAATCCACTATTTTAAGAATATACCATGAGTTCTGACAAATGCATAGTCATGTAACTATCACCACACTCAAGATATAGAATCTTCCCACCACCCTGAAAAAGTGCTCTTATGACCCTTTTCAGACAACTCGCTTGCCACACTCCCCAACTCTGACAACCACTGATCTACTTTTTCTCACTCCAGTTTTTCCATTTCTAGAATTTCATATAAATTGGAATCACACAGAATATAATTTGTATCCGGCTTCTTTCATTTAACATGAGGCTTTGATGGTTAATCCATGTTTGTGTGCCCATCAGTAGCAAGCTCCTTTCTATAACTGGGTAGGATTCTGTTGTTCAGAAGTTTACAATTCGTTTATCTATTCATCAGTTAATGCACACTTGAGTTCTTTCCAGTTCTTGGCTAGACTGAAAATGAATATGCTGTTGTAAACATTCATATATATCTCTTTGTATGAACATACGTTTTCATTTATCTTAATGCAATACCTAGAAGTAAGTTTGCTTGGTCATATGACAAGTATAGGTCTTTCGCAAAATTGGGAAATTTATAAGCATTACCTCTTCAAATATATTTTCTGTCCCTTTTCCTTTTTCTTCTTTTTGGACTCAATTCCACATAGACAACTTCCTATCGTCACACAGGGCCCTGAGGCCCTTTTAATTAACATTGTCAATGTTTTTCTTCTGTGTTCTTCAGACTGAATAAGTTCCATTGGTCTGTCTTAAAGTTCACTGACTCTTTCTTCCATCATCTCCAATCCTCTGGTAAGCCACCCAGTAATTTTTTTTTTTTTTTTCTGAGACGGGGTTTCGCTCTTGTCGCCCAAGCTTGAGCACAGTGGTGTGATCTCAGTTCACTGCAACCTCTGCCTCCCGGTTCATGCGATTCTCCTGCCTCAGCCTCCCGAGTAGCTGGGATTACAGGCATGCACCACCAGGCCCAGCTAATTTTTGTATTTTTAGTAGAGACGGGATTTCACCACACTGACCAGGCTGGTCTCAAACTCCTGACCTCAAGTGATCCACCCTGCTTGGCCTCCCAAAGTGCTGGGATTACAGGCAAGAGCCCCCGCACCCGGCCCCAGTAAACTTTTTTATTTCAGATATTATATGTTTCAGTTCTACAACTTCAACTTTATTCTTTTTGTAGTTTCTATTTTTCTCCATTTCATGTCTTTCCTTTCAGTAGGAGCATATTTTCCTTAATGTCTATAATGTAATAATAATAATAATAACTACCTTATAATCCTAGCCTGATAATTCCATTATCTGGGTCACCTTTGCACAAGTCCCCACTTACTGTTTTTTTTTTTTTTTTTTTTTTTTTTTTTGTCCTCTGGTGTGTGAGTCTCATTTTCTTGTTCCTTCTTATGTCAAGTAATTTTGGATCACGTCCTGGACACTGTGGAACAATGCATTGTAGAGACTCTGGATTCTATTACACATGTCTGAAGAATCATGTTGTTACTTTTTTATTAAATAGGGAGTTAAGCTGAGCTTCCTGGAGTCTTCATAATGCATGTGCGATTCCAGGGTCAGCCATAGATTTGGGCAGAGATTGTATACAGAATGTGAGGCCTCTCTTTCTCTAGATCTTTTTTTTTCCAGCATTCTCCCCTCATTTTCCAGTGGTTGTGGTTGCCCCAAACACTGCCTCTGGTTCTTCAAGCCGGTAAGACTGAGCTTTCTGCAATTCAGCTTCCCTGCATGGGTACTTCCATCAGTGTCTAAGTCATAAAATGAGAAACTCATCCAATGCCATTCCCTGCTTGCAAGTGTCTGCTGCTTTTGGTTACTCTCTGTAACCTTTAAATAGCTGTTTTTTGCATTTTCTCCTGAGTTTATAGTTGTCATCGGTGTGAATATTAGCATTGTAGCAGTTCCTCCACCATTATTAGACAAGGAATCACCAGTGCTAATGTTTTGCAGGCAGGTGCCATTACAACAGATTCAGTAACAGGTAAAAGATGAAGACAACTTTTCCAAGGAGTATCACAAATGACAACCAGCGTTCTCTAAAATTAAAGTAACTACCTTTGATTCAGTCACTCCCAAAACACATGGCACCTCTGAGTCACAAAGGATTATTTCAACACCACCAGAGCAAAGGAAAAAAATGAAAGAGAGGAAGAGAGACAGACAAACACCTTGAGATATTAAAAAAACAAATCCAAACAGAATCTTCAACCTCATTAACCTTGAAATTAGCAGAGTTGGGAGAAGCCCACAAGTAGTTTGACACTCTGAAGGCCATCTGGGTCAACAATCAGATTAGAATTCTTGTAACCTTCCACTCACCTGGCAGATTTTCAATAAATGTCAGCTAAGCAGAAAGTCAATGGAAGGGATTTGCAGGTTCCTGTAATCCCAAAATGTGTAAATCTCCCTAAGTGAAGAGCTCTCCTCCAGGAAACAGAAATTCTCCTGTCACCAATTAATTAATACCCAATGATTGTATCACGTCTGTGACTTGGCCCATTGTATTAATTACAACAGCCTCGAAATCTTTCTTATAGGCCAATTACTCTAAAGAAATTAGCTCTTAAGCCAACTACAAATAGAAAAAATTATGTGCATGTAACTTCTCTAGCTTCTCCTTTGCTGATTGTGTCTCTTAAAGCACTCCTGAAATTCTTTACACAGAACTGAGCCCATTCTTACCCTGCCATATTTTGATTAAGAGAAACTAATTTGGGCCTGAGGAGCAAGTGTGAACCAGACTGATACATCAATTATAGTGGTAAGAAGCTGGATTCTTTCCTTTCATCTCACAAGACTGCTCATCTACCCAGTTGCAGGATGCAAAAATATAATAAGATGGTCCAGGACAGGAGAAGGCCTAGTGTACGTGACTCAAGTAGCTGACTATCTGGATTCCAAGGAAAGGGACATCGAGTTCACACAGGATTCAGGTACCACCTCCTTGAATTTGCCCAATGCTCACTGCACATCAATCTTATTTTCAGAAACGGGTCCACTGGTGTATGTTCTCAAGGAATGAAAACTATTTCAAATAACGATGAGATCCAGCGGTGAGTCAGCACCATGTCAGGCCCTCTGAGAAAAAAGACCACTAATTGGCCTGAAACAATAGGATGAAAAAGCAAAAACCTGTTCTGGTGGCTGAGCCAGGCTGCACTAATGAGAGGCTGTGTGGCTGTGTGATGGCCATCAGGCTAACTGACCTTTGACATCATGTCTATGTCCCCCGTACACTCACCACCACCAGAGAGGGCCCCCAGGGTGCCAGGAGACAAAGCACAGCCCGGGGAGGGGAGGGGGCTGCGCTTGGGCCTCACAACTAAGCGAAGAGTAAATCCTCTCTCAGATCTGAACCTGCAAGGTCAGCACCTGCAGAGCCAGTTTCTCTGAAAACTCTTCTCCGTCTTAAGGCAATAATTCGTCTGCTCTCACTGATGTTGGACAGCCGATGCACCCTAATGAGAGATCCCAGGAGTCTGGGACCGCACCTGCTGAACTCAGAGTGAGAACACATGGTCTGAGATCTGTGAGCTTCTAATGGGAACCGAATGTTTAAAGTGAGGACAGTCCCAGAACATCAAAAAGAAGCCAGGAAACATAAAAAGAAGTTGGAGCCACAGAGTTGTCCATTCTCAATCCCTAATTCTACCAGAGTTTCACAAACTTATACTCTTTGTCTGGGTCTCCAAGTTATGGATTATGATATATTCATTCAAACATTCAATGAAATATTTTTGAGCATCTACTCTGTGCCAAGCTCTGTTCTCAGCACTGGGATCAACCGTGAGCTCTTCTGGAGTTTATATTCTAGTAGAAAGAAACAGTTAACACGCAAATAAAAAATAGATAAGGCAACTATTCAATCATGAATTTGGTATAATCAGTGACCTTTCCCAAATACTTCCAGCTCCGCATTTTCTGAACACGCGAGAGTACTGCACATCTGCTCCACTTGGGATTGGGTGGGCCCAGGTGACTAGTTTCAACCAACCCATTTTGTATCTCCCTTCAGTCCAGAATACGTACTTAGTTACTAGCATGAATCTCTGTTTCCCTCTGCCACAGCCACCAGCAACTTTCAAGATGAGGTGCTCCTTCAGCCATCTGAGGCACTGTAGTTGTCAGATTCCTCCTGCTGAACCTTGAAGAGCTCATATTTTGAGTGAGAAATAAACCTTTGTAGTTTTAAACCACTGAGATTTGGGGGTGGTTTGTTATCACATCATAAAATAGCCCATTCTACTGGATGCAGAGATAAAGATAAAACAGGATAAAGTGATGGGGAGAGAGATCATTTAGATAAAGTAGTGAAAGGAGGACTTTCTGAAGAGGAGAGATTTGAGAGCTGAGATTTCAGTGGCAGAGGACAAGGATCAGGGTTCCAGGCAAGGGGAACAGCAAGGGCAAAGATCCCAAAGTGTAGTAAGTTTGCTCCACTCAACCACACAGGTCCTACACATGTGCACATGGGCACACACATGCATTCGTGCGTGCATATGTGCACACACACACTCATGCAGATACACACACACGTGCACATACATGCACAAAATGAACTACGACAGTACCCTATTTTCACACAACTGGAAAATCAATGCTACACCTGAACGGTTATTCCTCATGGGTTTGCAGAAGTGTCCTCTTACATCTTACAAATACTTAGCCTTAGAGACATCCACCTGCACTCTGCCCTATACAGTACATGAATAATCTGTCATGCTTTCCAGACTGAGAGTCTTGCAAAATGGTCTCCTCCACCTGTCAATATTAGCATACAAAGGACACAAAATCTCCAAAGATGAGCTCCAAAAATGTCAGACCCCAGTACATTATTCAGCCATGGCATCCCACAAAATTGGGACCTAATTTAACAAATAAAAATATGAGATGTCCTGTTCTCACTTACAAGTGGGAGCTGAACAATGAGAACACATGGGCACAGGGAGGGGAACAACACACACTGGGGCCTGTCGGGGGTGGGGTGGGGAAAGGGAGACCATCAGGAAAAACAGCTAATGCATGCTGGGCTTAATATCTAGGTGATGGGTTGATACATGCAGCAAACCACCATGGCACATGTTTACCTATGTAACAAACCCACACATTCTGCACATGTACCTTGGAACTTAAAATTAAAATTAAAATATATATGGGATACCCAGTTAATTTTGAATTTCAAGTAAACGACATAATTTTTAATATAAGTATTTCCCAAATATTGTATGGAACAGAGAACAGTATTGCATAGAACATACATATACTAAAATATTATTCCTCATTTATCTGAAATTCATATTTACGTGGGTATCTTGTATTTTATCTGGCAATTCTCCACAAAATGGAAAGTCTCTTTTCTCTCAAAGATAGGAAGCTGTTTGTGAACCTTCCCATCCAATTACCAAAAGACAAGTTGAAGGATTTCTCAACCTTACAAGAGACTGGATTCCTAACTTTTCTGAACTGGCTCTCCCTTTATTCGATCTGACAAAAGCTGACATAAAACCCTTGTTCTGAACTGTCTTCACCTGTCTTCTGTTTCTTTGAGGACTTCCTTCAAAACCTTCCTATCCTTAGGCCCTCCCAATTACTATACGACTCTCTCTCTACTTGTACATCAAAGATAGGGACAAGCATTGGAGATCCTAACTCAATAGCACAAGGGAGATCAGAGACCCACCATTTATTAGTCTCTCGCTTGACCCCATAGAACAAAAATCTACTCTCCTCATTTGCTGCAACCAAGTTGACCTAAGCCTGCTACCTGGAGTTAGGACATCCACGTAACCTCACAGCCCCTCAAGCCATTCAGACTTTACTCTTCCCTGATAGTACCCAGTATTTTTCTATTTCTAGATTGACGTCCTACAAAATTCTTCCCCTTCCATTTCACATGTTTTTATCCATTCTTATGACATTCCAAATAAACCTCTCCATGCCTTACCCTCTGCAAGAGGAACCTCAGATTATCATGTCCTCAAATGGGAATGTTTCTTGCCTCCCTCTAGCTTCCTTGAAACACCTTGAAACTAGTGGTCCTCAAATGGCACCAACTTTGTCCCCCAGGGAACAGTTAGCAATGTCTGCAAACATTTTCAGTTGTCACCCCAGGGTTAGGGGAGGTCCTACTAGCAGCATCCAGTGGGTAGAAGCCAGGAGGCTGCTGCACTTCCTACAATGCCCAGAGATTTGTAGAGATTCCCCACCAGAGATTCCCCCAGCCTGAAATGCCAATTGTGTCAAAAGCTGAGACATTCTGCTTAGATAATTCAAACTTACAAGTGTTTGTAAGTGAGTCCTGTTTGAGAACCAAAGAGGCTCTCTATTGCAGGATCTGGCCAGCAGCCTGCAATGCAACGGGGCTCTCTCTTTGTTCCCAGGTGGACTGGCAGGTTGAGAAATAATAGACACACACAAGATAGTGAAAGCTGGGTCCCGGGGGATCACCGCCTTCTGGTCCCATGGTGCCAACAATGCACTGGATATACCAGCATTTATTATTAAGTTTAGTGAGGGTGGGGGTAGGTTAGTGAGGGATTTAGGGTCATTTGATTATGAGGTGAGATGGTCACATAGGGATGAAGTAATTCTTTAACATAACATTTGTATGCAGAAGTACAGTATACAAAGATAAGAATTTACAATATAGTGTGTGCGTCAGTAATTTCTAACAGAGCCTTAAAACAGAAACACAATCTTTCCATAACCTATGATTAGTAAAATATTATCAGCAGTAACAGTTGCAGCAAAAGCTTGTTACAAACAATCCACAGAAACAGGACGTGAAGCTAGACAACCGGTTAGACCAGAAATTCTCAGAAGGGAGTATGCCTTAACCCTAAAGAGGCCTAGAAGAGCCGTGGCAAGATGAGGGCGTTTATAGCCCTATCTTATCCATATGGACAGGCACCCCCCATGCGTCCACTTATAGGCTCTCCATAAGGGTCGCATTCCATTCCCAGAGCTATGAACATCTGCTTTTCTGGGATAGGAATCTTGGTGATGTGAAACCTCCCTGACTGCATGTCCATTCATAGGCTCTCTGCAGGGGGAAGCACATCACGCGCTGTTGGCTCATTCTGGCAGTCCAACCTGGCATTGTCTTTACACAATCCTGCATGCAATTTTGTATTTACAATAATCAGGAGCATTTCATCTTTTATTCCATAGCAATAGTCTCAGGGGTTCTCCCTATAGCTCTCAACTCAATCAGTCTTGCTCAAATCCAATCTCCTCTGAAAGGCCGAAATACTAAATTTGGTCAACAAATTATCAAAATTTTAGAATTTCCTAGGGCCTGTCAATTAGCTAGAGATATAAGATCAAATGTCTAGAGATACAAGATCAAATGTCTACACAGACAGCAGATATGCTTTGGGGATGGTCTGTGATTTTGGTAAGCTTTAGGAGCTTCTTATTTGCAGCTGGCATTTTAATTAAACATGATAACCACACCAAAGGCCTAGTAGAGGCCTTGCTTCTCCCAGATGAATTGGCTCAATTAATGTTGTGGGACTTACTCAAAAGCAATCTCAAAAGCAAAGGACAATCCTATAGAGATTATTATTATTTTGCTAACTGAGCATTCCCAAGCTTATCACCAACAGGTCCAGGTCACTTTCCCCAAAGATAACCCACAGGAAACCTGCATGCCCTTTGGGCAGGAGACCTGATTTACTAGAAATGAAAGCAATGGAAGACTGTGCCAGAAGCTCTTAGGAAGTCACCTCCAGAGACACCGTTAACCAGTATCCTCTGTAAGGACATTAGAACAAGCCCCATGGGACTCTAGTAACCCAAAGTAAATAAATGTGTTCCAAGGACCCCGCAGCCTGGAGTGTAAGCTGGTCTTTCCAACTAGAATCAGGGGGTATCCTCTTTACCTGTCTCCTGAGTTATGTTTTCTGAGTCCCTCCACCAGGGGACCAGCCTGGCTGGTTTATAAAACACAGGCTAACAAGACGTGGCACATGGACTGCAATGTCCTATTATGTAATCACAGACATTTCTCTGCTAGGAAGTCAGATATTGTCTCTGAAACATGCTAACAACATGGTTAGATGTCTCCAGCCAACAAAAGCTATTTGCTTAACTGACTGATCTGCAAGTGAAGGGGGCAGCAAAGGATGCTGTGTGTGATTTTCTCCACACCCTCACCCACCATCCACATACACACAGTGATTTATTGCACATATTCAGTGCAATTCCTACTAATGCTAAACAGAAAAAACACCTAGCCATCAACTCAGCATTCCCATGTAAATTAAATCATCCTTTACTGTTCTTCTCATTATCCTCCCAGCCTTCTGACCAGGACATAGAAATATACACCCTCAGAGAACCAGAGGATGCCTCTAGTTTAAAACACACTGGCTTGTAGGGTCATGTGGATCAATTTTGGCCAGTGAGTGGTAAATAAAGCAGCGTGTGTCAGGTCTGGACTGATCATTTAATTGCTAGTGGGAGAATTTCAGGGCTCTCTTCCCCTTTGGCGTGGTGAAGGATGACAGTCAGGATGGTGGTTGCTTTGTCTAAACTCACAACAACGAGCAGAGTCCTTTGCCAACTCATGATCAAGCATGGCTAAGATGTAAACGGGTCTCCTGTTCACCACTGCACCTGTCAGTCATGCCTGCCTCAGGCATGTTCCTGCTAGCCACCGGCTGCTCAACCCCAACTCCTGGCCACCTGCTGAGCGGGAACTCTTACTTGAAATGATTACCTAAAGCTTCATCAATAAATGAGTTTTTCAGACAAAGTCAAACTCCTAGCTTGATCAATAACATCTCAGAAATCAATTAAAGTAATAATGCAGCTCAATTTATGCTTAGGTAAAGAGAGGAAGAAACCCCTGGTTCAGAAGAAGAGGGCCCGAATGACTTCACAAAGAAAGAGATACAGATAAAAACAGTCTGGACAGTCCACAGTCAACACTTACCGAGGGTTCAAAAGGAACAATAAGTATCTGTGGCTCAAGACTCTACTCAGTCACCACCCAACTCACTTTTCAACAGTCCACAACTTTTATAAATCTCCTGGAATAAAGTATGGAACCTTGGAAGCCTGTAAGGATAAAATGATGTAGACAGGAAAGCCCCCATACCTTGTCAAGACCACACTAAATGAAATCGGCCTGAAATATTCCTCAAACTGCCAACCCCACACCCAGCACAGGCCATGAAAGGAAAATCCCAGATTGCTATAACATTGAATGGCATCCTTCAGTTGAAAATAATTGAGAGCATCACTCTCCAACTTGGGCAGAACATCCAAGCTGAGATTTGAAGTGCTTCTTACCTAGACACTTAAAGTACTGCTTGGCAAGTGCTTCCACGTAGGTCAACAGCAGGGCAATGAGGAAGGAAAGTGCTTCAGTCTCCTTGGAGGACAGCAGATTTAGGGCAGCCCAGGCTGGGTAATAGGGGGACCCCACCTCTCCTGGAGCTTTGAAATAAAGGTAACCATCCTTTAAAGAGGAAGCCGGTAAGACTCTAAATTAATCAGTGCATTTCATCAACCATGTTAGAGACCTACAAGACTGCCTAAATGCATGGTTTAAAAATGTGGGCAACAGCAAGTCCCATCAAGCTAATGAGGGAGGCATGACTAGAATATGCTTGTTATGAAAAGCACTGAAACCTAATCAATGATACCGTTCACAGCCTAAAGAAAGTCTGCACTAACAGAGAGTGGTCCTCGCAAGGCCTACAGAAAGAAGTGGGGGTAGAGGAAACTGAACACTTGACCTCCTTCTGGAGGGGATTCTGAACTAGCAGGAGGTAAGCTCCCAGCACGTGAAGAGCACCTGAGAATGAAGGCCAGAGAGAATGCAGCAGTGCTGGCAAAGGCAGGGAGTGACAGGGAGGATTCCATCACATCAAGCCCTAGGTCTAGCCAATGCACCGCATTTGCCTCCTGGGTTGCCCCCATCCTTGAGCCAATGTATTCTCTCTAATATTTGGTTAAGCTGATTTAAGCCTCTACTGCTTGCAACAACAACAAAAACTGGCATACTAATGTCTGAGCATTAAAGCCTATCATGAGATAGAGATGTGGTATTTTATGATACATAAGTGGCATTATTTTACTTGCCTCATAATTTCAACTGTGGTGACTTAACTGGCATTTAACCATATTTCAACTGATGTATAGGGAAAGCCAGAGCAATAAATTGTGTCAAGTGCCAGGCAAACCTCCTTTCTTAAAGCCTAGTACTTTCTTCCATTGGTAGCCTAATCTTTCCAGAAAATGTACTGGAATGCCAGTATAAAACCTCCCTGAAATGGCTAAATTACGAAGTCTTACAATTACACATCTCTCAGCCCCATTTTATAAGCTTATTTTGAAATCCAGGGAGGCTAATTTCCAGTTTTTTCTGTTTCAAAAACTGGAGTTAAGTGGCTGGCATCCCACTGTGATTCAACCAAGTGAAGAGCCCACAGGATTGATGACAATGCGATTCCAGGAGGACATGACATTGTGTTGTGTTACAACTTCAGCGAATCTCAATGAATTAAGCTCCTTTAGCAGCCTCTCAAACACCTTGCATATTAAATGTTCACAGATATCCTTTAAACAACTGCAGTAAAGTACTGAATTTTTTAAAAGGATCTTAATATTAAAAGACCAAAACATATTCATGAACTACCACCAAAGGAATGCTCAATGTCCTACCAGCCTCAACATCATTCCAAATGTACTAATCCCAGTGCATTTGTGATATCACAGGGATGGTCTATCCATTCTGCCCTGTGTCCTCAGCAGGGGTTTAGTGCCATGAAGGGATGAGCAGGCCCAGGCATTTCTGTCCACTGTTTACACAAAGAAATCTGAGCACTGTAACCTGGCAAATCTGCAGTGATCCCAGCAGGAACCAGGATTCCACTTATACTGGTTTAATGGAATAGAAATGGATGAAGTTAATTGTTGCATAGGTGCATGTGTGAATAAGAGAAATAATAAGGGATGTCAATGAATAAGAGAAATAATAAGGGATGTCAAAGAACTCAGAGATGAGCAACAACAAAAAGCTGCTATCACCCTGAGTTGGAAGGGTCAAGGGGAAGAAATAGGGTCACAAAAGTCCCTTGAGGCCTGGAGCCATGGAGGAGGGGCCATCCAACAGGAGCTACAGCCTTGGAGGGACACGGCCATTTCCAGGGAAGAGGGGGAGGAGGGACACAGCCATTTCCAGGGAGGAGGGGGAGGAGGGACGCAGCCATTTACAGGGAGGAGGGGGAGGAGGGACGCAGCCATTTACAGGGAGGAGGGGGAGGACGGACACGGCCATTTTCAGGGAGGAGGGGGAGGAGGGAAGCGGCCATTGCCAGGGAGGAGGGGGAAGAGGGACGCGGCCATTTTCAGGGAGTAGGGGGAAGAGGGACACGGCCATTTTCAGGGAGGAGGGGGAGGAGAGATGCGGCCATTTTCAGGGAGGAGGGGGAGGAGGGACGCGGCCATTTTCAGGGAGGAGGGGGAGGAGGGACGCATCCATTTCTTCCAGGGAGGAGAGGGAGGAGGGACACAGCCATTTCCAGGGAGGAGGGGGAGGAGGGACGCATCCATTTTCAGGGAAGAGGGGGAAGAGGGACGCACCCATTTCCAGGGAGGAGGGGGGAGAGGGACGCATCCTTTTCCAGGGAGGAGGGGGAGGAGGGGCGTGGCCATTTCCAGGGAGGAGGGGGAGGAGGGGGAGGAGGGATGCAGCCATTTCCAGGGAGGAGGGGGAAGAGGGGGAGGAGGAACACGGCCATTTCCAGGGAGGAGGGAGAGGAGGGGACGCATCCATTTCCAGGGAGGAGGGGGAGGAGGGACCCAGCCATTTTCAGGGAGGAAGGGGAGGAGGGACACATCCATTTCCAAGGATGAGGGACATGGCCATTTTCAGGGAGGAGGGGGAGGAGGGACGCGGCCATTTTCAGGGAGGAGGGGGAGGAGGGACGCATCCATTTCTTCCAGGGAGGAGAGGGAGGAGGGACACAGCCATTTCCAGGGAGGAGGGGGAGCAGGGACATGGCCATTTCCAGGGAAGAGGGGGAGGAGGGACGCATCCATTTTTGGGGAGGAGGGGGAGGAGGGACACGGCCATTTCCAGGGAGGAGGGGGAGGAGGCATGCATCCATTTTAGGGGAGGAGGGAGGTGCCCATTTCCAGGGAGGAGGGGGCGGAGGGACGCATCCTTTTCCAGTGAGGAGGGGGAGGAGGGGCGTGGCCATTTCCAGGGAGGAGGGGGAGGAGGGATGCAGCCATTTCCAGGGAGGAGGGGGAAGAGGGACACGGCCATTTCCAGGGAGGAGGGAGAGGAGGGGACGCATCCATTTCCAGGGAGGAGGGGGAGGAGGGACGCGGTCATTTCCAGGGAGGAAGGAGAGGAGGGGATGCATCCATTTCCAGGGAGGAGGGGGAGGAGGGATGCGGCCATTTTCAGGGAGGAAGGAGAGGAGGGACGCATCCATTTCCAGGGAGGAGGGGGAGGAGGGACGCATCCATTTTCAGGGAGGAGGGAGAGGAGGGACGCATCCATTTCCAGGGAGAAGAGGGAGGAGGGATGCGGCCATTTCCAGGGAGGAGGGGGAGGAGGAACATGGCCATTTCCAGGGAGGAGGAGGAGGGACATGGCCATTTCCAGGGAGGAGGGGGAGGAGGGACGCATCCATTTCCAGGGAGGACGGGGAGGAGGGATGCGGCCATTTCCAGGGAGGACGGAGAGGAGGGACACGGCCATTCCCAGGGAGGAGGGGGAGGTAGGGTACATCCTTCCTGCTGCCTCTCTTCTGTGCTCATGTGCATGCAGAGAAGCAGAAGGAGGGGCTCACTCTACCTCCCCCTCCTCCTGCCTGCCCTCTGGTCTCCCATCAATGCCAGTGCACTGGCAGCGCCCAGCCAGAAGCCAGCAGCAAGAGAACCCAGGTGAAGCCATGGATTGGTATGAACCACCCCCACCCCAAGCACACAGCAGGGAAGAAAAGAGAGGAAGGTGAGTGGAAGTGAGGGCCAGTGGAGAAAAACTAACATGCTGGGTAGTCGACGTTCCCTCTGGTGTGACCCCAAGCTACCTTCCAGATTCACCCCCTGCATCCTCTGTCTCCACTCTGCAGGGAACCACTTGGCTCCTCTGAACTACATTTCCCCATATCCCCTTTCATGTGTGTTTCTCGTTAGGGTTGGCCACAAGAAGATTCCTGGGAAATTCTGGAGGGCAGAAGGGGGCATGTTGAAATATTAATCCAATGCAGGTTTTGCACATTGAAGATGTCTTCCCCTAGATGTTTTTTGGCCTTAGTTTGAGCAATCACTAGCTGGGAATGCCCTCCTCAAAGTGCTCCCAGCAGTCTGGCCATGGCTCCAGCAAGCAGCATTGTGGAGTGAGACCTCCCAGTGTGGTTTTGAGGACTGCATGAGCTAAGGTGTGGAGCGCCAGGCCACTGCCCTGCAGGTGCTCGTTATTTATTATCAAAGGTTTCCAGGTCGCAGGTGACGTGCCACCTGCAGGGGTGGAACTCCGTAACTCCACTAGTCCTGATATGGAGTGCCACCTCCCTTTCTCAGAGTGCCTGGTATTTCTCATTCACAAGGCTCTTTGCCATTCGTCCTTAGATAGTTATCTATCTTCACGGGTTTATTTTCATCTCCCTTCCTGGACTGCAAGCTCTTGAGGGTGGAACTGAGCCTTTGGTTGGCGCTGTGTCTATCCCTGGAGCCTGACACAGGGCCCAGCCCATTTTGGAGCCAAGTGAGATCTGCGGGCGTGGCTGAGTGGCTGAGTGGACAACATGCAGGTTTCTTCACAGGACAGACCCTCCCAAGGGTGCGCCCTCCTGAGCCCAGGGACAGAGCACAGGCCGGGCCACCACTGCCTTCCTGCCCCTCTCAGACCCCATGCCTGCCCTGCTGGGACCCGAGGCTGCCGTAGCCTCCTCACCCAGGGCCCCTGGACGCACCTGCCTCCAGGAGTCCTGGCTCCTGTCCGCCCTGTGCAGGAAGCTGGCTGGGAACACCAGGGGAGGCCGGTAGGGAAAGGCCCTGGGGAGGTGGCGGCACATCCCAGGAAGGAGCAGTCGGGGCCCCTGCAAAGCAGCCGTGCAGTCCCCTTCCCTTACCCTCAGGTTTCAAGAGGGAAATTCACACCCAAGCTGCAGACAACAGATGCATGTGATTAGCTGTGTCATGGCATGCAGCAGTGTTTGGAGGACACGCGAGAGCCCGCTAAGGAATGGTGAGCAGCAGTCACTTCAAGAGACAGACGAGGAAGGCTGAGCTGCCACGGCAGGTGTAACTTGCACAGGAAACATTTGCACAAGTGGCCAGCGAGCCCCTTATGCGCCCCAGTACCCCATTTCTGCAAGGTGAGGAGCGGTGGGGGCGGGCAGCAGGGCACTCTCACCCTTCCCCAGAAACCCAGATCCCCATGACATGGGCCACTTTCACTCCACATAAGCAGTATTGATCCTCCTTGATTAAATTTTCCCCTTTTCCAGTAATACCCTGAAAATCCAATTTATGAACTTGGCTTAATTGCCATCTCAGTAGCTGGCTTTGCAAACTCCCTTTATCCTAACTGTGTTTCCCAGAGAAGGATATCGGCATTTCCATTTCTGCTCATTAAAGCTGGTCAGTTTAAATATTGTGTTTATTTCATCCAAAGTGGCCTCAGGTAAAAGCACAAAAGAAATTCCTCAGTCTCTGGAGCACGTGATGCACTTTGATGCTGTTTTCTGCCCTTGCCAGGGTGCACGGCTGGGTGGAATCAAACAAACAAACGCCTATCGATCCATCGAGCCAGTGGGTTGGCCCATACTTGACTAATGGACCAAGCTCAATTAGGCTCACATGGGCCAGCGGCAAATCATAGCAGAATATTCCACTCCACAGTGGGTTCTCTGGTGTACAGGAAGCCATATCTGAGACAGTGAAGGTAGGTAGAGGGTTCTCAGCTCTTGCAGAAGTAATTTGAATTGAATATGCCAATGGCACACAGGCAGCATTGTCTGCAGATGCAGTGAACATCATGGCCATGGAGGAAACCCTTGGTGAGCTGCGGCTTTGAAGGAAGTTTGGTTAATGATGGCCCTAACAGCTCAGGGTCTGTGATCACTCAGATAGGTTCACTTGGGTTTATCTTTACCTTGAAAAAGCTTTGTATTAGTAATTAGTAATCCAAAGCTTTGGATTAGTAAGCCTGGGCAACAGAGTGAGACCCCATCTCTAAATAAATAAATTTTTTAAATTAAAAATAATTAAAATAAATAAGTAAAATTTTAAAAATAATAATTTAAAAATATTTATATTAATAACACAGGCTTTTGCTAATAGCAAATTATCCCAAAATTTAGGAGATTAAAACAATAAACATGTATTATTTCACAGTTCTGGTGGATTGGAAAGTCAGGAGCAGCTTAACCGAGAGGTTCTCGTTCAGGTCTTTCATGAAGTTGCAGTCAAGCTGTCATCCAGGGCTGCAGTCATCCAAAGGCTTGACTGGTGCTGGAGGATCCACTTCCAAGATGGCACACCCATATGGCTATTGTCAGGAGGCCTCAGTCTTTCACCACATGGGCCTCTCCATAAAGCTGCTTGAGTGTCCTTACACCATGGTAGCTAACTTCCTCCAGAATGAATGATCCAAGAAACAGCAAGGAAGAAAGTGCAATGCTTTTTGAGACCTAGTCTTTTAAGTGGCACATTGCTTTCACCATAGAGTACTTTACAGAAGTAAGTCACTAAGTCCTGCCTACACTCAAAAGGAAAGAAATTGGCCGGGCGCGGTGGCTCACACCTGTAATCCCAGCACTTTGGGAGGCCAAGACGGGCGGATCACGAGGTCAGGAGATCGAGACCATCCTAGCTAACACAGTGAAACCCCATCTCTACTAAAAACACACACAAAAAATTAGCCAGGCGTGGTGGCAGGTGTCTGTAGTCGAGCTACTCGGGAGGCTAAGGCAGGAGAATGGTGTGAACCCGGGAGGCAGAGCTTGCAGTGAGCTGAGATCAAGCCACTGCACTCCAGCCTGGGTGACAGAGCAAGGCTCTGTCTCAAAAAATAAATAAATAAATAAAATAAAATAAATTAAGTTTCACCTCTTAAAGGGGAGTATCCAAAGAACTTGTACATATGTTTGAATACTACCACAGGCCTACTGAAAAAACATCAACAAGAGTTGAACTTTGAGGCTGGGCAGATACGGGTATGAATTCCCCTTCTGTCTTTAGTTACCTTGGGTTTAGTCTCTTCACGCTTCAGTTTCCTCATCTGTAAATGAGGATAACATCTACATTGCCAAGTTATATGAGAATTTAATTAGTAATATATGTAAAGTATTCAACACAGTACCTGGCACACAGTAAGAATTCAACTTAATGTCGTTAGTATTTTAGTTACTACTAAGAGGCAAGGAAAACCATTTAGCATTCTTTACAGAGTTAATCTCTGGAGTAACTCCCCCCAACATAACTAAAACATCATACGTGGAATTTATGTAGCTAAACAATAGATAATTATTTTTAATTGATAACTGATAAGTTTGAAGAGTGTCCTACAAATGACAGTATCATATAAGGTCATTGATAGTCCCAACACATTCAACCTCCAAAATTCTTAGAAGTTTTTATGTATATTCTGCCTCTGAAGGTTCCAGAACCAACTGAGAATTATACTGCAGGCCTCTTCCATCTTGGACCATTCAAACTGGCTACCTCTCCCTTTGAATGGAAATAAGTCAGAAAATATTTAATGTGATATTACAGGAGAATTGATCCAGATATCAAAACTCCCAGCTTCTAATGTGATAATAATACTTAAACTAATGGCCTGGCATGGCGGATCATGACTGTAATTCCAGTACTTTGGGAGGCTAAGGTGGGTGAATCACTTGAGCCTAGGAGTTCAAGATCAGCCTAGACAACATAGCGAGACCCCATCTCTACAAAAAGAAAAAAATTAAAATTAGCTGGGTTTGGTGGCATACGTCTGTAGTCCCACCTGCTTGGTGGAGGCTAAGGCAGGAGGATCACTTGGGACTATTCAAGGCTGCAGTGAGCTATGATTGTGCCACTGCATTCCAACCTGGGCAAAAGAGTGAGACACCCATCTCTAAATAAATAAGTAAATTTTTAAAAAAAACTAAAATAAATAAGTAAAAATTTTTAAATAATAATTAAAAAATATTTATACTAACAACACAGGTTTTTGCTATATGTGAGTTGTGTGACCTTGGACAAATCACTTAACTTCTCTCAGCCTCAGTTTTCTCAACCATAAATGAAGGTGCTAAATACCTGATTTCTTATATTTTGTCAGTCTCTAACTATCTTAATTCTCTGAATTTATCTGCTGGTGATATCTGAGATTGGATAACTAAAAAGCTTATGTAGGCAAACCCAGAGAAAATTAAAGAGATCATTGCATATGCAAATGTACTGCTAATTGCAAATGTATTGCTTTAGGGAAAAAGCCTCTCAGGACCAGTATCTGGTAAAAACAAAATGCTGATTGGTATAAATAAATATACACTTACATGTGATAAAAACCAATTTTTCCAATTCAGCCTTATTCCGAAGATCTTTAAAATAGGCTAGAATTTCATCTACGAATGTTGAGTTTTGTCCCTTATTTTCTAATCTGCATCAGTTAGGTTTCTCTTTGTCATGAAGCACCTCAAAATTCAGTGGCTGAAAACCACAGTCAACCATCCGGCAGTTTGCCATAGGTACACGAGTGGGCTAAGCCAAGTCCAGAAAAACCTTCCCAGCCCAGCTCAGCCCAAATGGCAGACCCAGATAATTAGATGCTGTATTAGTCTGTTTTCATGCTGCTGATAAAGACATATCTAAGACTGGGAAGAAAAAGAGGTTTAATGGACTTACAGTTCCACGTGGCTGGGGAGGCCTCACAATCATGGCAGGAGGCAAAGAGGAGCAAGTCATGTCTTACATGGATGGCAGCAGGCAAAGAGAGAGCTTGTGCAGGGCAGTTCCCATTTTTAAAACCATCAGATCTCATGAGACTCATTCACTATCACGAGAACAGCATAGGAAAGACCCGCCCCCATAATCCAATCACCTCCCACCAGGTTCCTCAAACGACACATGAGAATTGTGAGGGTTATAATTCAAGATGAGGTTTGGGTAAGGACACAGCAAAACCATACCATATGCTAAGTAAATGGTTGTTATCTTAGAAAACTTCATTTTAGGGTGATTTGTATCAAAAACTGATTTATAGACTTTATGACCCATTTCTTTTCCATGTCTTATTGCCTTGGCTAGACATTCAGTACAATGTCAGAACAATGATAATAATAGCCTTCCTTGTCTTTTCCCTAAGTTTGATTTCCTATTAAATATAATGTTTATTTTAAAGTTCTAGAAGATACTGTCTATCAAATTAAGAAGTTTCCTTCTATTTCTACTGTGCTAAGAGCTTTTGCATAAATTAAGAGCTAAAATAGAAGCTGTTTTCATTCTTTAAGCATGGAACAGCCTTTTCCAGACAAACAGAAAACTTCTTCAACCAGACCACCTTGGGAATATCAGGACTGGTTTACAATGGAAGAGACAAAACCAAGACACAGGAAACATTTAATCATAATACAGGATATAATATGATCACATGATATATATTAAAGATATGAACTCAAGTCCAATAGAAGTTCAGAGGAGAATGTGAGACTGGCCTTGAAAAAAATGTAGTAGGTGAAAAGCATTTTGATGACAGCACAGCAAGAGACAAATAGCAGACGTGTAGAAAATGGCAAAAACATGTTTGACACTCCTCGATGTTCACCTCGCCATTTCTGCTTCCTGGGTACATAGGAAGGATACATTTCCAAGCCTCTCTTAAAGCCATGTATCTGCAGCCTGACGGATGAAATGTGGGTGGAGGTGATATAAGCCACATCCAGTCCTGGCCTTTGAAAACATCTTGTGAGATCTTCCAGGGTTTCCATGGAAACTTCAAGGATGGCATAGCAACAAGCATAGTTTCCAGATGACATAGACATAGGACAGAAGTGGCTAGCATCGCTGATTACTACTTGGACTTGTTTGTAGCTACTTGGATGTGGCTCAGAAACTCCATCCAAGCCTCATTACACTGTGTTAAACCACTGAGATAGAGGGTTATTTGTTACAGCAGCTAACATTAATTACCCTAACTAGTACAACGAGCTATAATAGTAGAGGTCAAAGAGTTCAATAGTATCCTAGTAAATTTCTTAGTGACAAGCCACACTGTGTTATACCCATTGGACTGGAATTCTGGCATTCTGCTTCCCATTTTCCAAGACAGCCTTCATTTTGGGAGCTAAGGAAGAAATAACCTTTTTGCATTTCCTGTGAAAGGAGATGTACCTGTTATAATAAACAAACATCTATCAAGGCTATCGAATAATGGGTTCATGAAGGATGTGCTAAATAGTATTTCAAAGTAAAAAGTGCAGAACAGACTGAGACCTTCTGTTCTCAAGCAGATGAGAGCTTCCACAGTCAAAGGTAGCAGATTTCAGGTTCCTTATGGTTTCGGAACAAATTTTACAAGAACAACAATCCAGTAATGTGAAAGAGAACAATGCTACTCAGGTCTGCATACATTCCTTGAGGTCTTCAGACTGTTCAGTTCCCACTCAATCTCCTTAACTTCAGCTAAGAGAATAACATAAGCTTAACATCTATCAACAATGGCTCTACCAAAAGGAAGACGGTAATTAAATCCAATGAAGATATTAAGTCAGTCAAAAATAATTAGGACAGCCAGCAATCATACACGTTTGTCTCCTGACACTGGGAAATAGGATTTTACAGTGACCGAACCCTCAGAGGGTCCTAGCAGTGCCTGGAAACTTGATATTTAGAAGTCAATATCATTCAATGGCAAAATAATTTTCCGGGGGGTGGGCCAGAAGTAATTGTCACAGCCTTGCAGGCCTTCAATATAAATTCTCAAAGCTTTTAAACATAATACTAAAATGCACTGAGAGCCCCTGTTCCTTAGACACAGACAACTTCCCATCTGCAGCAGAAATGTGTAAGACCAACCACCTTGTTCTAATAAAATCTCAAAAATATGTCTCTTGGTCAAACTATCCTGACTTACCCAAGGTGACACAGCCAACAAATGGCAGGTCCAAGATTTAATCCCAGGCAGTTTAACACCATAGACCTTACTCATAACCAATACACTATAACACCATGTAATAAGGCACTAACAAGATGGGGCACTAATACTATAACACACTAATAATATGATACAAAATGATAATATGCCATAATAAATCAGAGATCATGCCAGCCTTTATACCCATGCCCTCTTCACTCAGAAATCATCCTGGCTGTCTCTTCACCAAGATCTTGTTGCTCAAATACATTTATTTTAACTGGACAGGTCTAGGACTTAGACGAATGCAGCATAATGAAGCCATAAGTGATATTTCTTCCAGAGGTAATCTTATGAGTGTCTATACCACCTCTACTCTGCCCACAACTGTCCTAATACACACACACATACAGAGAGAGAGAGATGCATTATTTTCTTGGTCTCAGGCAATTCCAACATTCTTGCCAGTAGTTAGACTGCACGGTAAGTGGATTCTGTAGTTGACAGCTAATAGGAATAAAAAGAAAAAGACATCGAGGTGGACTCTAATTGGTTCTTCGAATCAAAGATGGGGAGAAACAAAAGCTTAATGTCATTTCTAGTGAGCAGAATAAGTCAAGGTGCCAATGGTAGCTGTGTAGAGTATTTACTTTCAGTCCATCCTGCCTAACCCATCACAGTGAACACTTAATATTCAGATTCCAAAGCTTCCGGAGAATATACCCAGAACTGTTAACTTAATGGATGGAACTACAGTAACTTCAAAGAGCTCTAAAATGAGATACCCGGTATGGGTTTTGGTACAAAGAAGAGAGAAACAATTCAATTTGATAAAGAGGTGTTGGGTATCACTAATTGCCAAGTCCTGGACTTGGCATAACAGGTTAGAGGAGGAATTAGACCTAGTTCCGGCACTAAGGAAGGTCATAAGGACGTGAGGAGAATTTGTCCCATCTAATTACATGACAGTGTGCTAATATTTCTAATAGTGGTGATACTGTGTAGGTAGCACCAAAAACTCAGTAATTAATGCTGCTGGCAGGGAGTTGTGGTGGCGGAATGAAAGTGAAGGACAAATAGAACTTTGCCAAGGGGAAAGGGGGAAGAAACAACATGCAAATGGGACTCATTTCACCATCACACTTTGCGGAAGTCAAAAATATGAACATACAGTTAAAATAGAAGGCCATTTATAGAACCACAATTAGTCAGTTGCTCAAGCAAGAGACACCAGACTGATTTTCTCATTAGGTGGAAATCAAAAAAGAAGTCTTTGGTGTCTTCTTTCATGAACTTCAGACATTGCCCTGAGACTATCTTTTGGCCTTAGTAAAAACAGTCTTGTGATAAGGGACCCCATCATCCCATGTTTCAGAGCCATTATCCTGACTTTCCATAGTAAATCCATTAGTGATCTTTGGTTGTAAGCAACAGGCACTGATTCTAACTTGAGCAGAAGTTGAGTTTTTGGAGGACACCAGCCTACCAGTTTAAGAGAAAAGGTGGAAAAAAAATAGGTCTAAATAGGGTGCAGTGGCTCACACCTGTAATCCCAGCACTTTGGGAACCCAAGGTAGAAGGATTGCCTGAGCAAAAGAGTTTGAGATCAGCCTGGGCAACGTGGTGAGACCCTATCTCTACTAAAAAATTGTTTTAAAAATTAGCTGGGCATGGAGGCTGAGGGGGGAAGATTGCTTGAGCCTGGGAGATCAAGGCTGCAGTGAGCTATGATCACACCGCTGCACTCCAGCCTGGGTGACAAAGCAAGACCCTGTCACAATAATAATAATAATAACAATGAGTTTCAGAAACAACATAGAGACCAGGACAGCTCCAGAGTCTGGGTTACATAACAAATTAACAGCCTCACCAGTTCCAGAGATACAATGATATGCTCATACTGTCTTGTCCAAGCCTGCAGCAATCTACTCAAGACTCAAAGTCCCAGGAGGGAGCATCTGATCGGCTGACCATCGGTCAGCTCCTCACCCCTTGATCAGTGCAGAGTAGGACGCCTTGATTTACAGCCCCAGCCACAACCCTCATGACAAGAGAAGCCCCTAGAAGGAAATCAAGGAGCCACTACTAAAGGAAGCAGATATGGTTGCCAAGAGGCCCAGCCCCAACAATGTCCTCACCATCCATGTGTTCATACATATCGTGTGTACACTGAAGTTGGAGAACATTAGATTATGCAGATAATACCCAACAAGAGGGGTAAGGTGTAAGCAAGGCACAGTGGCTCATGCCTGTAATCCCAGCACTTCGGGGGGCCAAGGCAGGCAGATCACTTGAGGCCAGGAGTTCGAGACCAACCTTGCCAACATGATGAAACCCTGTCTCTACAAAAAATACAAAAAAAGAGGGGTAAGTTGTGAAAGAACACTTTCTTAGGGGTGCCTGCTCAGCTTATAGCCCACTTCTCTGAGAAAGGCTCCCCGCAGGTTTAGACTCCAGCAATTATGTTCATGTTAGGTTAATCCTTCCTCCCTCCCAAACCAGGCCATACCTGATTGGACCCGATCAACCTCTGACCCATAGGAAGCCAATCCATTGGCTGGAAACAAGGCAATCATATTTTTCTTTTGATAGACTGAGTTTCAAGACACAAAGAATAAGATTGAGAAACGAGTCAATATTAAAGGCACAACCCTAAAGTGAGTTTCCAGGAATTCCTTCCTCTGAGGTCTTTAAAATTACCCTTGGTGTTTTTCCTTCCTGATACCCATTCATTCATTGAATCTCTGGATTTCATGAGCAAATCCAGCATCCTCCTAATAAATTCTCTTCTTGCTCATGCCTCTGTTTCTATTCTTCTCAAAGCAATAGTCCCTGTCTAGTTGAAGACAAAAAGTTCACCCCATCCTCAGCTAACAGGAAGACAGATACCAAATTACCTGGTGTTTCTCTTTGCAAAAAAATAACTCAACCAATTAACAAGACCAAATTGCTTTTATCTACACCTTATTTTTTTTTAGTTACATTGTTTTTTTCTTTAATGTTTTTGACCCATAGTTGGTTAATCCACATATTCAGAACAGACAGATATGATGGGCTGACTGTATACACATACAGACTGTAAACCACTAAAACACAGCATAATACTAATAAATCTTATTAGAATATTTTCCAATCACTATTTTTTCTCACATATTTCACTATTCATTGTTAATGTTTTTTTTATTACACTTTAAGTTCTAGGGTACATGTGCACAACATGCAGGTTTGTTACATGTGTATACATGTGCCGTGTTGGTTTGCTGCACCCATTAACTCGTCATTTACATTAGGTATTTCTCCTAATGCTATCCCTCCCCCAACCCCCCACCCCACGACAGGCCCCAGTGTGTGATGTTCCCCGCCCTGTGTCCAAGTGTTCTCATTGTTCAATTCCCACCTATGAGTGAGAACATGCGGTGTTTGGTTTTCTGTCCTTGCGATAGTTTGCTCAGAATGATGGTTTCCAGCTTCATCCATGTTGCTACAAAGGACATGAACTCATCCTTTTTTATGGCTGCATAGTATTCCATGGTGTATATGTGCCACATTTTCTTAATCCAGTCTATCATTGATGGACATTTGGGTGGGTTCCAAGTCTTTGCTATTGTGAATAGTGCCGCAATAAACATACTTGTGCATGTGTCTTCATACTAGCATGATTTACAATCCTTTGGGTATATACCTAGTAATGAGATCACTGGGACAAATGGTATTTCTAGTTCTAGATCCTTGAGGAATCGCCACACTGTCTTCCACAATGGTTGAACTAGTTTACACTCCCACCAACAGCGTGAAAGTGTTCCTGTTTCTCCACATCCTCTCCAGCACCTATTGTTTCCCGACTTTTTAATGATCGCCATTCTAACTGGTGTGAGATGGTATCTCATTGTGGTTTTGATTTGCATTTCTCTGATGACGAGCATTTTTCCATGTGTCTGTTGGCTACATAAATGTCTTCTTTTCAAAAGCGTCTGTTCATATCCTTTGCCCACTTTTTGATGGGGTTCTTTGATTTTTTCTTGTAAATTAGTTTAAGTTCTTTGTAGATTCTGGATATTAGCCCTTTGTCAGATGGGTAGATTGCAAAAATTTTCTCCCATTCTGTAGGTTGCCTGTTCACTCTGATGGTAGTTTCTTTTGCTGTGCAGAAGCTCTTTAGTTTAATTAGATCACATTTGTCTATTTTGGCTTTTGTTGCCATTGCTTTTGGTGTTTTAGTCATGAAGTCCTTGTCCATGCCTATGTCCTGAATGGTATTGCCTAGGTTTTCTTCTAGGGCTTTTATGGTTTTAGGTCTAACATTTAAGTCTTTAATCCATCTTGAATTAATTTTTGTATAAGTGTGTAAGGAAGGGATCCAGTTTCAGCTTTCTACATATGGCTAGCCAGTTTTCCCAGCACCATTTATTAAATAGGGAATCCTTTCCCTGTTGCTTGTTTTTGTCAGGTTTGTCAAAGATCGGATGGTTGTAGATGTGCGGTGTTATTTCTGAGGCCTCTGTTCTGTTCCATTGGTCTGTATCTCTGTTTTGGTACTAGTATCATGCTGTTTTGGTTACTGTAGCCTTGTAGTATAGTTTGAAGTCAGGTAGTGCGATGCCTCCAGCTTTGTTCTTTTGGCTTAGGATTGTCTTGGCTCTGGGGACTCTTTTTTGGTTCCATATGAACTTTAAAGTAGTTTTTTCCAATTCTGTGAAGAAAGTCATTGGTAGCTTGATGGGGATGGCACTGAATCTATAAATTACCTTGGGCAGTATGGCCATTTTCACGATATTGATTCTTCCTATCCATAAGCATGGAATGTTCTTCCATTTGTTTGTGTCCTCTTTTATTTCGTTGAGCAGTGGTTTGTAGTTCTCCTTGAAGAGATCCTTCACATCCCTTGTAAGTTGGATTCCTAGGTATTTTATTCTCTCTGTAGCAATTGTGAATGGGAGTTCACTCATGATTTGGCTCTCTGTCTGTTACTGGTGTATAAGAATGCTTGTGATTTTTGCACATCGATTTTGTATCCTGAGACTTTGCTGAAGTAGCTTATCAGCTTAAGGAGATTTTGGGCTGAGATGATGGGGTTTTCTAAATATACAGTCATGCCATCTGCAAATAGGGACAATTTGACTTCCTCTTTTCCTAATTGAATACCCTTTCTTTCTTTCTCTTGCCTGATTGCCCTGGCCAGAACTTCCAACACTGTGTTGAATAGGAGTGGTGAAAGAGGGCATCCTGTCTTGTGCCAGTTTTCAAAGGGAATGCTTCCAGTTTTGCCTATTCAGTATGATACTGGCAGTGGGTTTGTCATAAATAGCTCTTATCATTTTGAGATACGTTCCATCAATACCTAGTTTATTGTGCTTTTAGCATGAAGGGCTATCAGATTTTATCGAAGGCCTTTTCTGTGTCTATTGAGATAATCATGTGGTTTTTGTCTTTGGTTCTGTTTATGTGATGGATTATGTTTATTGATTTGCATATGTTGAACCAGCCTTGCATCCCAGGGATGAAGCCCACTTGATCTTGGTGGATAAGCTTCTTGATGTGCTGCTGGATTCGGTTTGCCAGTATTTTATTGAGGATATTCGCATTGATGTTCATCAGGGATATTGGTCTAAAATTCTCTTTTTTTGTTGTGTATCTGCCAGGCTTTGGTATCAGGATGATGCTGGCCTCATAAAATGAGTTAGGGAGGATTCCCTCTTTTTCTATTGATTGGAATAGTTTCAGAAGGAATGGTACTAGCTCTTCTTTGTACCTCTGGTAGAATTCAGCTGTGAATCCGTCTGGTCCTGAACTTTTTGTGGTTGGTAGGCTATTAATTATTGCCTCAATTTCAGAGCCTGTTATTGGTCTATTCAGCAATTCAACTTCTTCCTGGTTTAGTCTTGGGAGGGTGTATGTGGCCCGGAATTTATCCATTTCTTCTAGATTTTCTAGTTTATTTGCGTAGAGGTGTTTATAGTATTCTCTGACAGTAGTTTGTATTTCTGTGGGATCGGTGGTGATATCCTCTTTATCATTTTTTATTGTGTCTATTTGATTCTTCTCTCTTTTCTTCTTTATTAGTCTTGCTAGTGGTCTATCAATTTTGTTGATCTTTTCAAAAAACCAGCTCCTGGATTCATTGATTTTTTGAAGGGTTTTTTGTGTCTCTATCTCCTTCAGTTCTGCTCTGATCTTAATTATTTCTTGCCTTCTGCTACCTTTTGAATTTGTTTGCTCTTGCTTCTCTAACTCTTTTAATTGTGATGTTAGGGTGTCGATTTTAGATCTTTCCTGCTTTCTCTTGTGGGCATTTAGTGCTATAAATTTCCCTCTACACGCTGCTTTAAATGTGTCCCAGAGATTCTGGTACGTTGTGTCTTCATTCTCATTAGTTTCGAAGAACATCTTTATTTCTGTCTTCATTTCATTATTTACCCAGTAGTCAATCAGGAGCAGGTTGTTCAGTTTCCATGTAGTTGTGCGGTTTTGAGTGAATTTCTTAACCCTGAGTTCTAATTTGATTGCACTGTGGTCTGAGAGACAGTTTGTTATGATTTCTGTTCTTTTACATTTGCTGAGGAGTGTTTTACTTCCAACTATGTGGTCAGTTTTGGAATAAGTGAGATGTGGTGCTGAGAAGAATGTATATTCTGTTGATTTGGGGTGGAGAGTTCTGTAGATGTCTATTAGGTCTGCTTGGTGCAGAGCTGAGTTCAAGTCCTGGATATCCTTGTTAACCTTCTATCTCGTTAATCTAATATTGACAGTGGGGTGTTAAAGTCTCCCATTATTATTGTGTGGGAGTCTAAGTCTCTTTTTAGGTCTCTCAGGACTTGCTTTATGAATCTGGGTGCTCCTGTATTGGGTGCATATATATTTAGGACAGTTAGCTCTTCTTGTTGAATTGTTCCCTTTACCATTATGTAATAGCCTTCTTTGTCTCTTTTGATTTTTGTTGGCTTAAAGTCTGTTTTATCAGAGACTAGGATTGCAGCCTCTGCTTTTCTTTGCTTTCCATTTGCTTAGTAGATCTTCCTCCATCCCTTTATTTTGAGCCTATGTGTGTCTCTGCACGTGGGATGGGTCTCCTAAATACAGCACACTAATGGGTCTTGACTCTTTATCCAATTTGCCAGTCTGTGTCTTTTAATTGGGGCATTTAGTCCATTTACATATAAGGTGAATACTGTTATGTGTGAATTTGATCCTGTCATTGTGACATTAACTGGTTATTTTTCCCATTAGTTGATGCAGTTTCTTCCTAGCATTGATGGTCTTTACAATTTGGCATGTTCTTGCAGTGGCTGGTACCGGTTGTTCCTTTCCATGTTTAGTGCTTCCCTCAGGAGCTCTTGTAAAGCAGGCCTGGTGGTGACAAAATCTCTCAGCATTTGTTTGTCTGTAAAGGATTTTATTTCTCCTTCGCTTATGAAGCTTAGTTTGGCTGGATATGAAATTCTGGGTTGAAAATTCTTTTCTTTAAGAATGTTGAATATTGGCCCCCACTCTCTTCTGGCTTGTAGGGTTTCTGCCGAGAGATCTGCTATTAGTCTGATGGGCTTCCCTTTATGGGTAACCCGACCTTTCTCTCTGGCTGCCCTTAGCATTTTTTCCTTCATTTCAACTTTGGTGAATCTGACAATTATGTGTCTTGGGGTTGCTCTTCTCAAGGAGTATCTTTGTGGTGTTCTCTGTATTTCCTGAATTTGAATGTTGGCCTGCCTTGCTAGGTTGGGGAAGTTCTCCTCGATAATATCCTGAAGAGTGTTTTCCAGCTTGGTTCCATTCTCCCTGTCACTTTCAGATACACGAATCAGACGTAGATTTGGTCTTTTCACATAGTCCCATATTTCTTGGAGGCTTTGTTCATTTGTTTTTACTCTTTTTTCTCTAAACTTCTCTTCTTGCTTCATTAATTTGATCTTCAATCACTGATACCCTTTCTTCCACTTGATCAAATCAGCTACTGAAGCTTGTGCATGCATCACGTAGTTCTCATGCCACGGTTTTCAGCTCCATCAGGTCATTTAAGGTCTTCTCTACACTGTTTATTCTAGTTAGCCATCCGTCTAATCTCTTTTCAAGGTTTTTAGCTTCCTTATGATGGCTTTGAACATCCTCCTATAGCTCAGAGAAGTTTGTTATTACCGACTTTCTGAAGCCTACTTCTGTCAAATCGTCAGTCATTCTCCATCCTGCTTTGTTCCATTGCTGGCAAGAAGCTATGATCCTTTGGAGGAGAAGGGGCGCTCTGGTTTTTAGAATTTTCAGCTTTTCTGCTCTGGTTTCTCCCCATCTTTGTGGTTTTATCTACCTTTGGTCTTTGATGATGGTGACCTACAGATGGGGTTTTGGTGTGGATGTCCTTTTTGTTGATGTTGATGCTATTCCTTTCCATTTGTTAGTTTTCCTTCTAACAATCAGGTCCCTCAGCTGCAGGTCTGTTGGAGTTTGCTGGAGGTCCACTTCAGACCCTGTTTGCCTGGGTACCAACAGTGGAGGCTGCAGAACAGCAAATATTGCAGAACAGCAAATATTGCTGCCTGATCCTTCCTCTGGAAGCTTCATCTCAGAGGGGCACCCGGCTGTATGAGGTGTCAGTTGGCCCCTACTGGGAGGTGTCTCCCAGTTAGGTTACACGGGGGTCAGGGACCCACTTGAGGGGGCAGTCCACCCATTCTCAGAGCTCAAACACAGTGCTGGGAGAACCACTGCTCTCTTCAGAGCTGTCAGACAGGGACTTTTTCTATCTACACTTTAAAAGGAAGCAAATTAAAAATCCAAAATACCCAGATAAGTATGTTTGAACTTTACCCCAAGACCTCAAAAGTTGATCAATATTAACTAAAGTTGAAAAAAATGTAAGAGTCTCAAGACCAAAAATGTAACAACTGTGCCACAGAGTAGGAAAAAAAAAATTTAGGTTCTTGGGGAAAAAAATTACGGAATTTTTTCTTTGAGAAAGCAAAATCTGTTGAAGAAATAGTTAACTATCTTTGCTAAAGGACTCTTCAGAATTATCTCATAAGGAAAGGGGTGGATTGAGCCAGAGAGAGAGAATATGCACAGTAAATCAGAATAATTACATTACTTGGCTGTCTGTATCACTCCTTTTTCTCCTGATAAATTTTTAAAATTATGATAAGATCAGTTTTGAGTTTGAATCTTTTCATAATCCATTCAGACACCTTTAAGTGAAAGTAAAATATATTGTACTCTTAAAAAAGGGAATATATATATATATTCACATTTGATCCAAAACCCAGTGAGAAGTAAAATGCGCAGTTGATAAAGACATAAATTATCATTTGCATGGGGCTGATGAGAGCCTGGTTCTAATAGAACTGGTATTAAATCAGAATTGCAGTAATGTTTTCCTGAGCCTGATTATAAGCATCTAAGCATCCTCTACTAAGGTATACTCAGCACTCCATATATTACAGTTGGCTGTCCACCAACAACTACCAATCTGGGTGGAGAGGAAGATTTTTTGTGTTGTTTCACAAAAATCACTGCCCACCACTGAAGCCTTATCAATGAGAATAAAGCTCAGATTCCATTCCCGTCTCCCACAGAGCTGCATCCCAAGAAATGCCAGCTTTACACAGTCCTACTTCCCAGGAGAGCCATCCAACTGGCATTCAGGCCTGAGCACTAAGGTATCTGTGGCTATGATTTTCAAAAGTCACTCCTGGAAACAGTTTGGCAGCTCCTCAAAAAGTTAAACATAGAATTACCATATGACCTGGCAATTCTTCGCCTAGGTTTGTACTCTCCCCCAACTCATATTAGCAACTCATATTAGCAACTCAACCCCACCAAAACATATTAGCACTCAGATACTTGAACACGAATGTTCAGCACTATTCACAGTAGCTAAGAGGTAGAGACAACCCAAGTGTCCATTGATACAGTAATGGATAAACAAATTGTGATTTATCCATACAATGGACTGTTATTGAGACATTAAAAGGAATGAAGTTCTGATCCCTGCTACAGGGATGAAATCAAAAGCATTACACTCAGTGAAAAAAAGCCAGACACAAAAGCATATTGCATGGTCTCATTTACATGAAATATCTAAAATCAGCAAATCCATAGACACAGAATGCAGGTTGGTGGTTATCAAGAGCAGGGCAGGGAATGGAAAGCCAATCCCTACCTGCTTAAAATGTCCTGGAACTCAATAGAGGTGGTGGAGGGACGACACTGCAAATGTACTAAATGCCACTGAATTGTTCACTTTAAAATGGTTAATTTCATGTTATATTAATTCATCTCAATAGAAAAATATAATTTTCCTTACCAAAATGGCCAGTTCTTTCCATTTTTAGAACAAACAGACTCATACATCCAATTTTTCTTCTTTTAACACTTTTTGGCTACCCGGCTTCCCCAAACATTAACTCAAACACATCATGTTTTAATTACAAGGAGCAAAAGCAGAAAGCAGGGTTACACATCCAACTAATACCAATGTAAAAAAAACAAAGCTAAATTTCACACTCTTATGCTCAAGAATTATATCAGCAATACTGAGAAAAGTTTAACTGATGTCTCAAATGATTCCATAATGGTCTAGAGACAGGAAACAAGATCATTTACTTCTCACCATCCCAAAGAAAGGTATAGGAAGAATTGGCCTTGTATTAGTCAGATTTCTTTAGAGGGGAACTAATAGGATAGATATCTATAAAGGGGAGTTTATTAAGGAGTATTAACTCACATGATCACAAGGTCCCACAACAGGCCATGTGCAAGCTGAGGAGCAAGGAAGCCAGTATGAGTCCCAAAGCTGAAGAACTTGGAGTCCGATGTTCAAGGGCAGGAAACATCCAGCACGGGAGAAAGATGTAGGCTGGGAGGTTAAGCCAGTCTAGCCTTTTCATGTTCTTCTGCCTGCTTTATATTCTGGCTGTGCTGGCAGCTGATTAGATGGTGCCCATCCAGATTAAGGCTGGGTCTGCCTTGGCCAACCCACTGACTCAAATGTTAATCTCCTTTGGCAACACCCTCACAGACACACCCAGGATCAATACTTTGCATCCTTCAATCCAATCAAGTTGACACTCAGTATTAACCATCACAAGCCTATTTTCTCCATCTCTCTCCTTAGGCCAGCAGCTATTTGGAAAAAATATGCATATTGCTAAGTTTTGCTATAAATAAAATATTATAATAATGTTGACAATAACAATGCTAATGATACTAACCTAAATTACAATGTCCATTGATTGTTTGCGAGTCAGGCACTGTGCTGGGTCCTCTTCCCCCCAACACACACACACACACTTCTAATTTATTCAAATTTTCCTCTAAACATGTCACCCGGGTAAGGTGATATCTACCTGTAATCCACCTCCCCCTTCTAGTTACAGCACCTGATTCTCCTTAAGGGCTCCACTTCTTCCCACACTCTGTCTACATGGTTCAGGTGGGGCTAACTCGGCCCCATCTCTGCCCAGGTATGAACAATCAGCACCCATGACACCCATTTCTGGGGCTTTCTTTAGAGTCCATGAAAATAGGCACATTCCCAGAGGGATTGTTGCAAGACCAGAAGTGAGCCTGGAGCTGATGGCAGCCCTCTGCCAGGCGCAGGGGACAGCCCACTTCAGCATAACACCAATCCACAGTAGGCAGAGCCCAGAGACGGACAGAGGATGTATCCTGACAGCAGGTCAGGTCCCCCTGGATCCAGCTGTGCCTAAAGCCCATCCTGCGCTTGTCAGTTAAATCAGCCAATCATTTCCCTTTGTGCTAAGGTCAGTTTCAACTGATTTTTCTGTTGCCATCAAGAGAATCTGGCCTGGAACACTAGAGATTAGCAAATAAAATAATGACATAAAGAAAATGCTCTGCCAGGCATGATGGCTCATGACTGCAATCCCAGCACTTTGGGAGACTGAAGCAGGAGGATTACCTGAGCCCAGAAGTTCAAGACCAGTCTGGGAAACTTGGGAGACCCCCTCTCTACAAATAAAATATTTGCCAGGTGTGCTGGCACACCTGTAGTCCCAGCTACTCCAAAGGCTGAGGTGTGAGAATCACTGGAGCCCAGGGTTTTGAGGCTGCAGTGAGTTATGATTGTGCCACTGCAGTTCAGCCTGGGCAACAGAACAAGACCCTGTGGAAAAAGGAAAGGGAAGAGGGAAGGGAAGGGGAGGGGAGGGGAGGGAGGGGAGGGGAGAAAGAAGGGAGAGAGAAAAGAGAAGAGAAATGAAAAGAAAAAAGTAAAGAAGGAAGGCAGGAAGGCAGGAAAGCAGTCAGAGAGGAAGAGAGAAAGAGAAAAAGAAGGCAGGAAGGCGAGAGAGAGAGGAAAGAAAATGACAGAAAGACGGAAGAAAGGAAGGAAAGGAAAGGAAAGGAAAGGAAAGGAAAGGAAAGGAAAAAGAAAGAAGGAAGGAAGGAAGGAAGGAAAGAAGGAAGGAAGGAAAGGTGAGCTCAATCTTGGAATTAGTTTAAAAAAAAACACATTGCTATTTTTTCTCTACTATCAGGATAAGGAAACTTGGATCTCTATTTCTTGAAGCTAACAAAAAGAAGAAAAAAAAAACTTGACTGAATCCCCTGGCTTTGCTAAGGCAAAGAAATCTTTTAGGGAACTTAAAGAAAAAAAACTCCTTCAACAGGAAGTTTTTGGATAAACCCCATATTGTGTGTCTGTGTCTTTTTAGTCAACTGTGGGACCCTTGAGAGCTGGAAAGACCTCTAAGCCATCTTGGCATCTCTCAAAGAATGTGGGGCAGTGCTATCCTCCCAGATTACTTGTGGAATGTGTGAAGCAGCAGCTGGTGTGGACTGTGGAAATGGAAACTCCACAGGAGAGTCCCATGAAAGAGCTGTTGACTGGCCCAATACAGAATGAAAATATACTTCAACTTATACAATTACAACACACAAAGTTTGATTCATTAATTAAGTCACTGAACATGTATTAGACACTATTATAAGCCACACACTTTGATAGCTGCTGGGAAGTCAGTGGCAAACAAAACAAGCATATCATCTACCTTCATGGAGCTAACAGAATAACTGGGGAGACAAACTTTGCAGAAAGAAAAAAAGAAAGTAAATAATATACAGTTACAAATAGGAACAAATGCTGTGGGACTATAAGAAGATACTTGGGAAAAATTAATGGTGGGGGGTGGGCCTTTTGGAAAAGTGGTGTTGGAGCAGAGGCCTATAGAAGGAGGGGGACCCACCAGGTGAAGAGGGCAGGGAATGCATCCTTGGAAGGGGGAACAGCAAGTGCAAAGGCCCTGAGGTGGGAATGAGCTGACCATGGAGGCAAATGTAAGGAAAGCCAGTGTGTCTGGGGCACAGAGAGTAAGGAGGAGGGTGCCAGATAAACCTGTGGCTCCAGTCTGGGACAGACACAAGCCACCATCAGCCATGGTGGAGCAGCTGGCATTCACTCTGAAGACAGATGACGGGTATTATTCACTTTATCTCAGCAGCCAAGGTAGTATTCTTTTAGCTGAATGTCAAGGCTCACACGTGGAACTGAAAACATAACTGGACTCACAAACACTGCATTTCTATACTTTGTTTGCGTGACTACAACAAAACACTTTAGACTGGGTGATTTCTAAACAACCGAAACTTATCACTCATAGTTCTGGAGGCTGGGAAGTCCAAGATCAAGGCACCAGTAGACTTGGTGTCTCCAGAGGGCCCGTTCCTCACAGGTGGTGCCTTCTCAGTGCCTCCTTACATGGCAGAAGGGGTGAACAAGCTCCCTTAGGCCTCTTTTATAAGGCGCTGGTACTATGCATGAGGGTGGGGCCCTCATTATCTAATCACCTCCTCTGAAGACCATCACATTAAGAATTAACTTTCAACATATGAAAGTTGGAGAAGGGAACACAGATATTCAGACCACAGCACACATTCTCCTCATAGAGCAGCAGGTCCTTCTACTGCAGGTCCTAGAACAAGATTCTAAAGAAACTGTTCCAGCCCCCACAGACAATGGGCTGTGAGGACACCTAAGTATTAAGGTCAGACCCGTGGCTCCCTGCAAAGACCAACCCCACGTCCACTGGGGACAGGATGCCTGAATTATCACTACAGTGGGAGCTGAAAATGCAGAGGCCGTTCTAACTTTAAAATCATCTGTGATTATCACAACAAGAAGTCAGCCAAAGTCAGGAGCTTGCCAACCACACATCCTCAGATGCTGGGTGATCGCTGTACCCCCCTGCACTGCTGTGGCTGTGTCTACACAGAATATAAACCATGGAGTTTCTCCAATCATCTGGATTATTCACCCCATCTCAAGACACTGATTCAGCCTCAATTTGCTTCCCAAGAGTTTACTAGAATTGCTTCCCTGAGTCTCCTCTCTCCCTTGGGGACCTGAGGCTAGGATGTTGGAATAGCCATTCATTCCTTAAGTCAATGAGTGCTTATTGAGCACCCACTATGTATCTGAGACTCTGCCAGGTATTAAGACCACAAGGTTGAACTCTATCCCAGGGAACCTCCCTCTCAAAAGGCACTGTAGAGCTGCTGTTAAGACCATAAGATCTGGAATCAGACCAAGAAATGAATCGTGCCTTTACCCTGTACCCCTTGTGTGACTTGGACAAGTCACCTAACCTTCCCATCAGTGACAAGGGGATCATAATAATGCCAGCTTCAGCAGGACATTTTGAGGATGAATGAGACCACATATGCAAAGCCCTTAGCTCTGATAGTCCTCTGGAAATGTCAACTCTCAGGTCCATCTCCAGGCAGTTCATTAAAAGGCAAGGCTAAGATCTCCAATATGTCAGACTCACTGTTTAACCCTGACTGAGCAGGGCGCTGTACTCCTGAGAGCTCTTCCCAGACAAAGCACATTCAGTCAGCGGCTCCCTGCAAAGACCAACCCGACGTCCACTGGGGACAGGATGTCTGAATCATCACTACAGTGGGAGCTGAAAATGCAGAGGCCATTCTAACTTTAAAATCATCTGTGATTATCACAACAAGAAGTCAGCCAAATGCTCACTGCCAGAAGGAAGCAAGGGTATGGTCACATGCTATGGCCCTGAACTGGTGTGGCTGGAAGATTTAATGACAACTCTGGTAATTACCTCTGTGAAAGGCCAAAGTCTGTGTTCATAGTTTCATTTTTATTTCATCTCTAACAGGACACATCCTGTCCCCCATACATATGACCACACCCCCGGACCACAGCAGCCCATGGCCCTCACACCAGAAAGGACTCTGTCCCGCATGGGACTGAAAACATAGAGAGATCACACAGAGAGATATTCCACTCGGCAAATCCCCTGAAGTGAATGCAGCAGACAGGCTGGAATGATTGAGCTCATGGGACACCAGGAGAGGCTCCATCCTTGCTGCAAGCAGGGGACATCAACACAGTTGCTGAGGCACAGCCCCACATGGGCGCCGGCCAGCTCCCGGCTGTCCCAGGGCTGCAAGGGAAGTTGTTGAGGTACGACCTCAGGCTTAACCAGAGCTGGTCAGGTCGAGGTAATTTCGGTGCAGCCGGCCAAGGGGGTCTTTCTCCCCTGAGCCTGATCTCTGTGAGGATGAGCGCTTGTGGCAGTGCAGGGGAGACAGGATTGCTGAAGGAGGGAAAAATGACTCCCAGAGAAGAATGTTCACTTAGAAAGTGTCAAAGGAGCCAAACCATGTCCTTATTCTGACCCATGAGCATATCAGTGAGCCCAGGAGTGAGGCAAACCCCCCAGGAGTGACCCCTGGTGTCTGGATTGGGTCCCCAGCCTCATTTTCAAAGTCACATTAACTTGGGACTTTTCTTTACAATTTTCTTTGCTATTTCTTTTTGCCCAATCTTGAATACCCACTAGATATACCACTGGGATACAGCTAATAAAGAAACTGGGTTTAGTGGAAAGAAAGTGGGTTTCCAGAGGGGAAAGCCTCGGTTAAACAAAGACAGACTGCACTTTGGATCATGTGTCACTTAGATCCTCCACAAGACAGACACAAATGTGGAGTAAAAAGTTGTATCAAGAGCAAGAAATAAAAGGAGAGGTAGCAGGAGAGGGCAGGGAGAGACTCCAACCGCAATGCAGAGCTGAAAAATTCTCCCCTAGCCAGGCTCAGGACTCTGCAGCAAAGACCACTCTGTAGTAGACAAGTCTTTCCTGGGCCAGAGACGGCCAGGCCCAGAATCCCCACTGTCTGCAGTTGATGGTTGGGGCTTGAGAAAGAGTGGGCCTTAGCTTAGCTCAGCAGCTGAGGTGGGAACACTGGAGACTGTTGGTGCAGCTCACTCCTCCCAGCAAAGGACAAGCTCTCTCTTGAAAGGAGATGTAAGCAGGCCCGTCATGGCTGGCTCAGAATTATCTGTACAATCCTCAGCATAGAAGTCCAGCTCAGCCATGGATGTCCCCAGCTATAACCAGCAAATGGGACTTTCAACCCGCATGTGCCTTTCAAAAATGGTCACTGGAAAGCAAAATAAATTGTATTTTAATATTGGGAGTGATGCAGCCTCCCTGCCTTGGTGATGACCCACTGCTAAACAGCATTTCCTAGAGCAAATCTGTCTTCACAACACACCAGAGAACCATCTGGTGTATGGATGAGGCTTGTGCTGTGAGGCATGGGGAACAATGCTTTCATCATGATTGCAGCACTCTGCACACAACCCTCTCATGAAAATCAGAGAAAGAATACTTTTATGTTACAGCTGAACACACACAACAACTACCAGGCAACTGTTTCAACAAGCAGTTTCAGTTAAAGGAATTCTCCTGAAATGGCACAAAATGAAACCTAAAAGCTCTTCATTTTGAGGGGAGAAGACACCGGGCTGGAAACCGGGTGACCTGAGCTCCAGTGGAGACTCTTCCCTGCCTCGTGTGACCTCATGTGATCTCATGTGATCTTGTCCTCTACTTCTCACTGGCCTCATCATCAAAGACCCAGGCACACCTACTCCCCTCCCAAGGCAGCACAACACAAATGTTCATGTATTTGTAAATGGAGATACTTGTCAAAATCACCATAAATAATATTTGTTTGTTGGCTGGCACATGCTAAGCCAATATGTATTGACCAACTGTATGAATGAGAATGAGGTCTTTTAAGGTAGAAAAAATAACATCACTTATAACTTTGAACAATTATAATCTTATATTTGTAAAGAGTGTTTTGGTTACAATGGCAGAAACGAAACTTAACATGCCTTGAGAACTAGGAGTAGAGGGAAATTACCTCAATCTAAAATAGCCCATATGTGAAAAGCCCACAGCTAACATCATACTCAATGGTGAAAAACTAAAAGCTTTTCCTCCAAGATCTGGAACAAGGTAAAGATGCCCATTCTCACCACTTCTATTCAACAAAGTACTGGGAGTCCAAGACAGAGCAGTTAGGCAAGAAAAAGAAATAAAAGGCATCCAAATTGGAAAGGAAAAAATAAAATTATCTCTGTTCACAGGTAATATGATTTGATAGGTAGAAAACCCCAAGGATTCCACACAAAATTGTTGGGACCAATAAACTAATTCAGCAAAATCAATGTATAAAAATCAGTTGTGTTTCTATATACTAACAATGAACAATCTGAAAATGAAATTAAAACAATCCCATTTACAATAGAATCCAAAATAATAAAATACTTAGGTATAAACTTAACCAAGACGGTTAGAGGATTGTATGCAGAAAATTTTTTTTAAAACCATTGAATAAATAAATTAAAGAAGGCTAAATGGAAAGACATCCCATGTTCATGAATTGAAAGACTTAATATTATTAAAATGTCCATACTGCTCAAACAATCTACAAGTTCAAAATATGTAATCAAAACAGTATGATACTGCCATAAACACAAACATATGCACAAATGGAACAGATTAGAGAGCCCAGAAATAAGCCCTCACGTATTGGTCAAATGATCTTAAACAAAGCCACATACACTATGGGGAAAGAAGAGTCTCTTCACCAAAGGTGAAATTCCTGGAACATACATTGGGCTTCCCCACCTCCATGATTTCATTCATGCTGTTCCCTCAGTCTGACATTATTTCCCTTACCATTACCACACGTCAAAATCTGTTCATCCTTCAAAAACACAACAAATAAAATTATTCAATGCAAGTGACAGAAAATACAGCCAAACTGGCTTAAGCACAAACAGACATTCATACCCACTAAATGGCTTTGATCAGAAAAACAGAAAAGAAAAAATATTGACAAGGATGTGGAGAAATTGGAACCTTCCTACATAGCTGGTGGAAATGTAAAATGGTGCAGCCCTGCAGAAAACAATTTGGTGGTTCCTCAAAAAGTTAAACATAGAGTTACCATATGACCCAGCAATTGTACTCCTAGATACATATGCAAGAGAACTGAAAGAATACATCTACACAGAAATCTGTACATGAATGTTTACAGCAGCATTATTCACAATAGCCAAAAGATGGAAATAACCCAAATGTCCATCAACAAAAGAATGGATAAACAAAATGTGGTCTGTCCATAAAATGAATAATATTAGGTCATAAAAAGGAATGAAGTTCTGATACATGCTATGAGAAAATATTATGAACCTTGAAAATATTATGCTAAGCAAAAGAAGCCAGATGCAAAAGTTCACACAGCTTATAATTCCATTTACATGAAATGTCCAAAATAGGCAAATATGTAGAGACAGAAAGCAGATTAGAGGTTATGAGAATATGAGAAAGGAGAATGGGGAATGATTACTTACTGGATATAGGTGTTTTTACAGGGTGACGAAATAGTTTTGTAATTAGAGTGAATAAATGGTTCTACAGCAATGTGAATATACTAAATACCACTGAACTGTACACTTTAAAATGTTGAACTATGTTATGTGACATTTACCTGAATTTAAAAATTACACAAAACAAAAGCATTTCTTCACTGATGTGTAGGAGGACTCATGAACCACAGTACCTGGATCTAAGCCAATAAGCATATCTCATTTCTCTGCCCACAGGAATGGTTCAAAGACTCAGTGCTGCTCTTTTTCCAAAGGAGAAGAAGAAGAGGGTGGGGGAGGAGAAGGGGAAAAGTGAGGAAGAGGAGAAAAAGGAGGAGAAAGAGGAGGAGGAGAGGGGAGACAAGGAGATGATGTATCTAATAGGGCTTCAAACAGGGCTGGATCCAGGAACTTCAATAATATTCCCAGAACCTTTGCTTCACCACTTCCCCATCCCCAACCCCACCATCTCTCTCCATCTGTCTATCTGTGTCTCAATTTCTCAGCTCTATTCTCTTCCTTGTCTCCATTCTGAGGTTCTACATGGAGGCAGGATGGCTGCCAGGACTATTTGAATCCATAAAGGAGAGGGAGGGTAGTGGTTGACAGAGGGAAAGAAGGAGAAGTTCTTCTCCCCAGCAGTACAACAAAAGCCTTGGGATGTTCACTGGCAGTTGGACCATATGCCCATCCCAGCATCAACTGCTGTGATGGGTGCAGGGACAGTCCCGAGATGTCTTCTTTGATCCATCGCGAACAGTGTGCCAATCCTCCTTAGAGCATCACTGTGCCTTTACATTAGCCTTAAACTTCATTTGTTTGTTCACATGTGTGTCCTCCACCTGACTCTGAGCTCCTAAAGGTGGAAACCCCTCGATAGCCAACACCAGGTCCAGACTAAGCCCTCAATGACTCATTGTCACAGAAATGCATAAACAACTGGACACTTGGTGGAAACCTACAGGTGTCTGCAGAAGGCAGAGCCCCAGCACAGGCCCAGGATCTGGACCATCTGCCATTCCAAGTGATAAGAGCCCTCCATTGCTCAGGTTTTGATATTCCAGCATTTTCTTCCTTTCTCCTCAACTACAAAGAACCTCTTTTTCTACTTCCAGTCATTCTCCTGTGAAACATTCATAATTCAGAAACGCCAGCCTGGCCATGGAGGTATCTACAGTCTGTGAATCATGTCAGTTGCTCTGCATAGCAGAACAGTGATGCTCACAACAGGAATGAAAGCCTCACAGAGGGGCACATAGAAATCCATCACTCAAGCCTTCAATTAGTGCTTTGGTTGTCCTGGTGAGAACTACCTGAAAAGGTCTGTATTTCATTTTCCCTTCCCCTCCGATATCAGGGAACAGAGCGATTTCCACCATGCTCTGAGCTGCCTTCTCACAGCAGGCATTTTATTAAATGCCAGTGGCCACCCATCCTTAGGCAGCTGCACCCTTGTTCCATCTCCTATCTGACAAGGAATGGGAAAAAACAGGGAATGGCCAGAAGTGGTCCTGCTACTGTGGGGAAAGGAGAATCTGGGGAGATGC
The DNA here is from genome assembly GCF_000001405.40 of Homo sapiens. Classification (NCBI taxonomy): domain Eukaryota; kingdom Metazoa; phylum Chordata; class Mammalia; order Primates; family Hominidae; genus Homo; species Homo sapiens. The sequence goes on along the minus strand of NC_000012.12, from coordinate 125,466,182 downwards.
TGCTAAAAATCTAATGATCTTGAAATGACATGCTTTAAATATCCTCTATATACTGGTGGTTCCTGAAGCTGTAGCTCCAGGCCAGACCTCTCTTCTGAACCCTGGCGTCTTAGGCCATTTTTGTGTTGCTATAAAGGAATACCTGAGACTGGGTAATTTATAAAGAAAATAGATTTATTGTGGCTCATGGTTCTGCATGCCCTACAGGAAGCATGGTGCCAGCAGCTGCTTCTAGTGAGGGACTCAGGAAGCTTCCAGTCACAGCAGAAGGGGAAGAGGAGCCAGAATGTTATATGGCAAGAGCAGGAGCAAGAGAGAGCGAGGCAGGGGGCCCCAGAATTTTAAACAACCAAATCTCATGTAACTCAGTAATTAAGATAAAGAATTGTTTATAAAATGACTGACCAAGTGTCTCGATTGATGGGTTGCCCAGATATCCTTCCACAAGACTGTATTGACCAGATGGCCTATTAAGCAATTAGCCCAATAAAATTGCAATAAAGTATGTAAGATTGTGTCCACTGGAGATGCAGCTAAGAGCCAGAGGCTGTCCGTCCAGGGGGCACACCCTAGGCCAGTGTCTCTCAAGGGAGTAGGAAGCCAGGTCCAGGCTTGCCTGCAATAATGTAAACCAGACTCTAAGATACTTTCCTGTTAACTCTTTAGCAGTGGATTGAGTTGGATAGGACATTGTCACTGAGCAGTTCATTTCTAGATACCAGGTAGACACACAAAGTCATAATGCATTAATAAGAGGAGTTATTGCCTTACCTGATGAAGGCATTAATTATTTAGTAACTGTCTTGTTCTCCTTATCAATCTCATCAATTAGAATAATATCAACACTAGTTAGAAGTGTCAGCACTTTTCATCATTGGACCTTACTGAAAATAATAGGCAAATTACAGCCTTAATTTCCATATATTTTCTAGGTAATTTCTGATCATTGAGAGGACAAAAGAATGAACCCACTTATTTTACAGAGTAAATTCAGGTCCAGAAATGTTAAATAACATGTCCAATACCATCCAGCTACCTAGTAGCAGAGCTAGGATTTTGAGGGATTAACATTTGAGGATTTTGAGGGATTAACATTAGAGGCTTTTCCAAAACACAATTATCATACCTCCAAAAAATAGTTTGGAAATGTTCCTCTTTCACAAGTGACATTAGCAAATTGGAAAATCATTTCAGACCAAAGGGCACTGCAGAGTATTGCCAATAAAAGTGTACAAAGTCTCATTAATGAGATACAATGACATGGAAAACAACACAATTCTTTTCCACAGCAAAACTACTGTAATTAAGCCAGAGCATGTCTGTGTTATTTAGCAAAATAAATGATTACCCCATGCCCTTGATGCTGATTGCTAATTTGAGCACTGAATTCACATTCTTACAGTCTGGTCTGGAAATCAATTTCAGAACTCATGCTCAGGGCAATTGAGTAACTTCAAGAAATTACAATGGAACACCAAAGTTGCCTGGTGCACCCCACACCACACAATGCAAATGATGCCAGTGTATGCAGAGATTGACTTTAATCACGAAGACAAGAAAGTTACTATTAATACTTCAGTCACTGAGCACCTGCTCAGGGCCAGGCCCTGCAGTAGATGCTGTGTGTACCAGGGTGACAGCTCCCCAACCCTGAGAAGCCCACAAGCCCATCAAGGACATTTGCTAAGAAGCACAGAATCTACTTGGGGAAATGACAAGCAACAGTCTGTATCAGAGAGGGCCTAAAGCAGTTTCGACCCATCCAACATTTAAACCAGATATAGGCACACCCAGAGGAAGCCATGGCTACTTCCTGCCAATTGCCAACCCAAAAGCTAAAGAGGGAGATGGCCTGCCCCAAGAAGACATGTGGCATTCTAGACCGAGTCAGAGCAAATCCCACAGAGTCCAGTCATCTCTTGTCCCACAGCTGCCCAAGGCTCACTGATATTCTGCTCCAAGAAGACATGACCCCTGGCTGAGAGAGAGTTCAGTTGCTATCAGGTTAATATTATTTACCATTAGTTTTAGGGTCACCTTTTAAATGGATGGTGACATGATTTGGCTCTGTGTCCCCACCAAAATCTCATCTCAAATCATAATTCCCATGGGTCAAGGGAGGGATCTGGAGAGGGGGGACTGAATCATGGGGTGGTTTCTCCCATGCTGTTCTCATGATAGTGAGGGAATTCTCATGAGAGCTGATGGTTTTAAAGTATAGCACTTCCTTGCTCTTGCTCTCTTTCTCCTGCCACCTTGTGAAGACAGTGCCTGCTTCTCCTTCACCTTCCGCCATGATTCTAAGTTTCCTGAGGCCTCTCCAGCCATGCAGAACTGTGAGTCAATTAAACCTCTTTTGTTTATAAATTACCCAGTCTCAAGTAGTATATTTATAGCAGTGTGAAAATGGACTAATAGGGATGAATATTAACAGAGCCTTTCCTGGAACAAGGAGAAAAAGAATACCTTGCCCTTCATTCACCATCCCTCTAATTCTATTCCTCCCAGCAATGAGAAGCTGGAGGTAGGTCATGACCCAGAGCTTGCTGTCAAACCAGGGAGAGCTGAGATTCCAAGGACTCTGCAGTGGGTGACTACATATTGCTTCTGTTAATCTCTCTCCAAGTGCACGGTCATGGAGTCCCAAAGACAATCAGTCCAGGCAATCACAATCGTAAACAGAGAAAATGCAATAGAAATAAAATTGATTTTATAAATGAAAAATGTGAATAGTTACCAGCACAAAGAGGGGGAAAGCTATAAGCAACTAACAGAGAGCTTAGGGAGAAGAAATTCTACTCTGAAATGCACATCACACTGACAGCACACCCCATTGCCATCCATCCCTATTGTGACAATAAAAGGATGTAGCAATTCAGACCACAATGCGAGTTCCTACTCAGTCTCAAGGGATGGTCAGCTAACAGAGGACTATGAATATTGCACTTTTAAAATATCCTGCCACTGATGAAAACCCATTTGCTTCACAAGTAGAATTTGAGTAAAGCAGTCTGTCAGGAGAGGATCAGAAGTATCGAGTGGACGCTTCATTCAGCTCAAGAGAAGTACTGCCATTGCTTTTAGTTTACTTAATATTTGAGAGATAAATTATTACCCTGCAAACTTTCACACAATTGGAACATTTGGAACATGATGCCAAGGTTAAAAGCTTTAACATCATAGAGACCAGTTAGCTTTCTAGAGGAAACCTCCATTCTTGGGTCCCAAACTCTATCCTAAGCTTAGCTACTCAGCAAATTAACAGGGGCCCTTGGGTCTGGGTCATGAGGCTTTGTGCATGGCTCAAACAAACAAACAAATATGCCAACATAATTGTATAGAGCACGACCAAAAGTTCACAGGTTGCTGCTTGTGGATTAGTCAAGTTTTCTTCCAGAGAGAAGAACCAAATTTTATTGGTAGTAATCATCCTCAAGAAGGTCATAGAAATATTTTTATTTAGAAGCCTTTATGGAAACTGAATGCAGGCTGATAGATATGTCAACATCTACTCCGAGTTCAACCAGCCCATAGTCCAGCCACACCTCAGCTCACCCATGCCTCACTTCGGGGACATCTATTTATCGTGCAGGGCTCAATTTGACGTCACCTATTCAGAAAAGCAACCTTTGACTTGCCAGGCTATACCAGATATCTGTGTTTTACACACTCTAACCTCCTAATATTTCTCTTTTTCATGGCATTTCTCATAATTATAATTAATTATTTGGGTACTTATTTATGGTCTAGCTTCACTGCCAGACTCGCCCCTCCATGAAGACAGAAACAGTCTTGTTCTTTCTGTTCAGCACAACCAGGCATAGCACACATAGCTGGTCCTCTATGAATACAAACAAAATTATTCATTTGAATAAAGAGATAATATAATATCTACTTAGGAATCAAATTGGCTAAGAGTCCTGGTTCATACATTCTAAAGGCTAAATGGTCAATCAGTTTGAAATCCAAGTGTAGGGGACATATATGATTTTAGTCAACCTGCGATCTATTCCCTTTATTCTGATTAACAGTACACCACATTTCCTTTGGCAAAAATACCATTCCACACTTTTAGTCCACGTGCTTCAGATGGAGTTGACTGCCATTGCAATCCCAGGGGCTGTCATGTGAGCCAGCCCAGCCAATCAGCATATTCCATGAATCACAGTGACTGGTTCAAATATGAGCACATGACTCAGCCTGGGCCAATGAGATCCAAGCTGAGACTTTCCTGAAATCATTGGGAAATAAAGTTTGCTTTCTATGAAGATTGAACAGCACAGCGAGGTCGAGAACCAGGCTTGTGGACGAGGCAGGGAGCAGCTTTCCTAACTCAAGGTGAGGAGACCAGCGGGATGCAAAGGAAGAAGGCAAGGGTGGCCTGGCAGCGCCGGGAGGAAACGCCCTGGACGTAAGGACTGGGATGAGATTTGAGGTTCATGAGAGAAGAAAACAACAGAGTCCAAAGTGCCTGTGGCAGATGATGAGAAAGAGCCGCTTACAACCAGTTCGAGGATGAAGTTTGCAAACTGGAATGAAGATGTGTTTTCTGTTGCCCTGCATGGTGTTTCTAAAGTGTCAACATTCAAAAATTGAGAGATTCTACCTCAAATCCAGATGTCTGACTTCTCTTGAAACAATCAACAGAAGTTGGTGTGGTCCCGGCCCCACATCCCTCTGCAGCAACTATCAGCTGAAGCTGAGGGCATCTCCTGGTTAGAGGGGCAGGGGCTCCCGGGGCCAGTACCAGCCCTCCAGTCTCATTACCTGTGATCAGCCTGGTGACAGTGAGCATGTGTGGGTTTGACCCTGATTGAGAGGAACTCCTCCTCCCAGGCCAGCACCAGCCCTTCAGTCTCAGTACCTGTGATCAGCCTGGCCACAGTAAGCATGTGTGGGTCTGACCCTGACTCTGAGAATCTCCTCCTTCCATCAGACTCACAGGCTCCAAATGCATCTCCCTGAATTCAGGGAGGACTCATAGCCCCGCCTAAAGAAGGTCCATAAGCTCCCAGCTCTGGCTCTCCTGGGTACTGCCAGTGCCTCCCCTGCTGAGTATTCCAATCTAACTTTGCTATTATTTCTCACTGAGATCACCTTCCTGAACATCTTTATTATTCAAATACATCAGAAAGCCCTTTGCAGCAAACATTCTCATAACTCAGATTATCCCACTGGGGAGAGCCACGCACCTTTCCTTTGTTTCATTAATGAATACAGGACATGTGGGAAAATATGAAGACAAAAATAACTTTCTGAGAGGAGCAAAATTGTAAAGATCTTTTTTAAAACTTTCATGATGACAACAAACAATATGTTTCATTGTCTTCAAAAGACCAGAAGTAAAAGATTGTAAGGAAAGGCCAAGATTTGATTTTGTGAGAATTTTCCAGGATCTTCCCTGTAGATGAGCAGCTAATAGTGGGTCCTCAAAAGAAGTGGCTGCCAATGACATACACACGCTGATGACACTGGCCCCAGTGGTCTGGAATCAACTGTTTTATTTCATCCTTTGACTCTGGTCTATGGGCTGAGAACAATGAAAAGGCCGCAGATACTCAAACGGTTGAGCAGTACTGTTGAAGAGTGAAATGCGTTGGACTGAAGGAGAGATGATTTCTTTAGCTTAAGAACGAAAATTAAGATGTATTCTTGGTAGATTTTTTTTTATTTTTTACTTTTTATTTTTTTGAGATGGAGTCTTGCTCTGTCACCCAGGCTGGAGTGCAATGGCATGATCTCGGCTCACTGCAACCTCCACCTCCTGGGTTCAAGCAATTGTCCTGCCTCAGCCTCCTGAGTAGCTGAGATTACAGGCGCCCACCACCATGCCCAGCTAATTCTTGTATTTTTCAGTAGAGATGGGGTTTCACCATGTTGGGCAGGCTGGTCTCAAACTCCTGACCTCAGGTGATCCACCCACCTCGGCCTCCCAAAGTGCTGGGATTACAGGCGTGAGCCACCGTGCCCTGCCAGCTTTATTTTTTTATGTTAACTTTTGTGGGTACATAGTGGGTATATGTGTTTATGGAGTACATGAGATGTTTTGACACAGGCATGCAATGCATAATAATCACATCAGGTAAAATGGGTTATATTAGTCTGTTCACACACTGCTGATAAAGGCATACCTGAGACTGTGTAATTTATAAAGAAAAAGAGGTTTCATGGGCTCACACTCCCACATGGCTGGGGAGGCCTCACAATCATGGTGGAAGGTGAAAGGCACGTCTTACATGGCAGCAGGCAAGAGAGGGAAATGAGAGCCAAGAGAAAGGGGAAACCCCTTATAAAATCATCAGATCTCATGAGACTTATCCACTACCGTGAAAACAGTATGGGGGAAACTGCTCCCATGATTCAATTATCTCCCACCAGGTCCCTCCCATAACACATGGGAATTATGGGAGCTACAATTCAGGATGAGATTTGGGTGGGGACACATCCAGACCATACCATGGGGTATCCATCCTCTCAAGCATTTATCCTTTGTGTTACAAACAATCCAATTATACTCTTCTAGTTATTTTAAAACATACAATTAAATTATTATTGACTACAGTCACCCTGTTGTGCTATCAAATAGTAGGTCTTATTCATTCTTTGTAACTATATTTTTTGTACCCATTAGACATCCCCACCACACCCTACTACTACCCTTCCAGCTTCTGGTAACCATCCTTTTACTCTCTATGTCCATGATTTCAATTGTTTTGATTTTTACATCCCACAAATAAGTGAGAACAAGCAATGTTTGTCTTTCTGTGTCTGGCTTATTTCATTTAGCATGATGATCTCCAGTTCTCTCGGTAGTTTTAGAAAACGTGCCCTCGTCAGCAAGACCCTAGACAAGCATGCAGGATAACAGTGGGAGGCAGCAGTGTTCATACTCCTGGGACCTCCAGAGTGACTTGAGCCAAGGACATGCTGGCGGTTCCCCACACGTAGAAGAGGGTCCCACTATTTGAAAGGTGAGGCAGCCTGCCCAGCTGCCCCAGTTTCAGCCCCTCCTCGTGTTCAAACCACACAGGCATGGACACATGAGAAACAGCAATTAGCAGGGAGCCTCAGGGGCCTCGTTGGCTCCACTCAGGCATAAGATGGACGGGGGTGCTCTGAAAGGGGCTTTGCTGTGGACAAATGGTGATGTCACCCGAAGATGCTAATTGCACATGGGGGGACCACAGGGAATCTGAGCTCCATGACCACACACCTATTTTGTCTCTCCCTGATGGACTTGGACAGGGCAGATAACATTCATGATTCCACACTGCCACATCTGTGCTGTCAGGAGTGTCATAGCATGGAACTAAAATAAAGACAGCCAGGTCAAGTGATGACAGGACTCATTCTCCTGTTGTGGTGCCTTTTGTGTACAGGACCCCAACATCTACTCTCATTTGTCCTCAGATGCTGAGTGTCCACGTGAGTCACCCTGACAACACCACCCAGTGTGACAGCAGTGCAGGCGGGAACATCTCCATTGGCTTCCCAGCCCTGGCCATTCTCAGAGGCAGGGGACACGGACGCTGGCCGCATGGATGTGAGTCTCATTTCCAGGGGTCCTGAGCCAGCTCCATGTGTGATCTGATCTCCACCTGGCTGCTCTCAACATAACCATCCCCCAGCCCTGAGGGAGCTCTGAGAATTGTGCAGCCCTCAGCTCCCCAGGACCTGCAAGGCCCCACTGAAACCAAATGACCCCTGCTGGTCGCCTGGGGTCCCAGCCTGGTTTGTTTCCTTCTCTCTAGAATCACAGACCTGTGCTGCCTGCTTAGTGTCTGAAAACTGCTGTTTCCTGGTTTCTATTCAAGCTCCAAGTTGTTTATGGCAGAGGTAGGGGACCAGTCTGGCCAATTACTCTGTCATGGACACAAGCTCCTGAGCTGCACTTTATAATAAACGCACATGACTAGGACTTGTGTCCCAGGCTCCATCCCTTGTCCTTGGACAAGGGCCTTGTCCAAGGCCCTTGTTTTTGGCCTCAGGGACGCCACTGCCTCCCACTCAGCTCCATCCCCCACACAGATTCTGTCCCTGAGTCCTGCTGGTTCTAGCCAGACCTGTCTCTGGAATCTGCCTTCTCCTCCCACTCGTCACACCTTACTCACCTTGCCTCATGACCACCCTCTGCCTCCTTCTTCAAACCTCTCCAGGGATCACCTGAGACGTACACCCCATCCTGATACAGCTCTGTTTAATCCTTACCCCACATTGTGACCACAGCAGGCCTTGCTTTCCATTAGGAAGACACTTGGGTCACCTCATCTCCACCTGCCTGTCCAGACCCAGCTCCTGCTGCTCCCATCACACTCACCTGGACATGTACACCTGTGGCCTTCTGCATCATGTTCACCTAGACGGGTACACCTGTGGCCTTTGCATCATGCTCACCTGAATGTGCACACCCACAGGCCTATGCTTCATGCTCAGCTAGACAAGCACACCATTGTCTCCTCTGCCCCAGGATGCTCTCCTTCCAGCCCTTCCCTTGCAGAGCCCCAGGCAGCTTCACCGTCACCTGTAGGATCCTGTCACCAGCCAAATCAACTATTCCCCTGCCCCAGCCTCCCAGTGGGATGTGTATAGTGGCCTCTCCCCTCAGAGTTGTAAACACATGGAGAACAGGAATTGCATTTTATTTTGTCTGTTTCCCTAGAGGCCCCTGCAAGGGTCCCATCCAAACTCAACGCTCACATTCTGGCTGACGTTAATTATGCCCAGATGAGCTGTAAGAGCTGGCCGTGATTAATAAAGAGATCAAGGAACCCCAGAATGCAGATCCCAATTCCAACTCTGAGCACAGGAGACCGATTCACCCTCCACCCCAATTAGGAGCTAAAATGGTGGAATTAAATTGGCAAACATGAGTTGGAAAGAAAATCCTCAAACTAAGCAAAATCAGGAGAAAAAAAGACAGTCTTAGGGGAGAAACTAGGAATCCCTGCGAAGGAGGTGGAGAGAAGGAAAGAGCTGAGACACGTTTCCTGGGTCACTCCCTGTCCATCAGCTTCCTGTCACTTGCTGTACATGCAGCTTTATCATCAGAGCGAGTGAATAAACAGCCCCCCTGAGCCACAGAATGAGCCTGAGCTTTCGAAGGGCAGGTGGGCAGGTTGCAGGCAGCAGAGCCCACTCAGGAGCATCTCCAGCCAGACCTGCCTGCAGCAGGGAGGGGAGGACCTCGGGATTTGGGCAGCATGTGTGTCTCCAGGGCTGGGAAAGAGAAGATCACAAAGGAAATGGGACAGGAGAGCTCCAGAGAGGGGTTCCCAGCCAAAAGAGAATGGGGATTTTTCATAAAAAATAGAAAACATACATTTTGCTACAGAAAAACAAATAAAATTCACAAAGTTCAGATGTAAGGTTTGGGGGTCCACAGGTCTTTCTGAAGCCCCTGCCATGTGCCAGCCTCTGAGGACACAGAGACAAACAAGACACAGTCTTTGCCTCCAGGGAGCACAGAGAGACTGCAGTGGGGAGGCCTGGGAATAAGCAGAACCTGATGCAGCCTGGTGAGTGGCCAGGTAGGAACAGCCCAGGTCTCAGAAGGAACCTGTAAGAGAGTAACGAGGCAGATTTAAAGCAACAAAAACCCTGCACCTCCCTCTTCCCTTTAGGGCTGAAGGCTCCTCAGCAGGCAAAGCCCCACAGAGGGTGGAGGCAGGATGAGCCCCCTAGATCCCGGCTCCCAGAAGCAGGGCCCCGACAGTGAGTGCCCTGGCAGCCTCTTGAATCCTTCATGCAAGGAGGCGTTTTTAGACTGTTTCCTGGGACCTGTTTTGGAAGCTTTGGGAAAATGCACAGTTATCAGCACACAGCTGGTGATCAATAAATGCAGGTTTAACTGTAATGGTCTGGGGATTCGTCCTGGCCATCTTCCCAGGAAAGCTGCTTCCTTTATAAAACCAGAAGCACAGTTGGCTCCTTTTCACCTTGTGTCAGTCAAATAGGCTCGGGGGTGCTGTGGTAGCAAACGCAATATTTGGGTGGCTTTAAAAATAAAACCTTATTTCTCATGGATATGCTGATACATGTCCAGCGGGAATTGGATGGGTGCTCCACTCTAAGGGTCACAAACTGCAGCCCATGGGCCAAATTCGGCCTGCCACTTGTTTTTGTAACTAAAATGTTATTAAACACAGCCACGCTCATTCATTTACTGCTTCTGTGCCATAACAGTGGAACGTAGTAGTTGCAACAGAGCATGGCTTCCAAAGCCAGAAATATTTACTATCTGGCCCTTTACAGAAAAAGTGCACCAGTCCCTGGTCTACTCCACATCTCTTTACTCCAGAATCACCCTGAGGTAGAGATCTGGAAAGTTCCACAACAGTAAGTAAACGCTGTGGCATAAAAGCAGCAAATGCAACAACTTCCACTTACAACTCCCTGGCCAGAAATCATCACATGGCTCCACCCAACCACAAGGGGGCTGGAGCCGTGATCAAATCATTAGTGAAACATACAAGTGATTACACATACCTTCAGATTACTTAAAAAAAAAAAAAAATCCAACCCTTGAAGATAATCCATCCCTGGACAACGACGTGTAGAAATGATCTGGTCCAACAACCTTTTCAGGGAACTCAGAAAATAGTAAAGAAAGAATAAAGACACTGCCCCCACCAAAATCACACAAATCACACACAGTTCCTTTCTCTTACTAGTATTTCTTCTTATTTAAACCTCCCGTCACCAACATCTCCTTGCAAATTTCTCTCGAGCTCTTTAGGAAAGTCCTCTGTGCCTTCCTGGGCTGGGCAGAATTTCAAATCTGATTTACTTTAATCACTAAGCACAGGCTGTGATTCCCACAAATGTCCCCAAATGCCAGGCTTTATCCTCATCAGCACTTTGTTCTTGCCTCGAACTAAGCCCCTCGGTTCCCAAGATAGCATTCACCACTAGTACTTTACGGTTTCCTGCATTCTTCTCCTTCCCTCTCCTCTCTCTCCCCCTAGTCGGGTCTTTATTCTTACTCCTTCCACCTTTCATTTCCTCCACCCCATTGTTCCCCCTCCTGAAATGTGCAGTTGCCTCTCCTCCACTCCAGACTCCCCTCCCTTACCCCCCAATTAGGAATCACTCCAGAATTCCCTTGAATCGTCAATGGTTGTTTGTTGCACTCTAGTAAACTCAAACTGCGTATTTCTTCTTTTAAGACATAGAGCACCTTCTGTTCAGATTGCTTGAGGGCCTTGGATGGTGAGGTGTATTTTAAGTTTTTAATGAGTCCAATTCAGTGCAGGAATTTTAAGTTCTACATTTAAAGTTCTCTTATTAGCTTCTCAGGGACCAAAAAAGTATCAGTGCATAGCACTTAAAATTTCACTTCTTAACCTAGAGATAGTTCACAGTTTCTATCATGATTGAAAATAAACATCAAGCGAGGCATCATATCCACTTGTTAAAGAGAAAAACAGCCAATGAACTAGGAAAGTCCTCAGATGCAAAGCAAACAAATGGAGAAACCTAACAGGATCATCCAGAATGGAATGGTTTCTATCTTCCTAAAACTATATTTATAAATCCTTTCCTAAGAGATAAATAAGCAGATTTCTGGATGACAGAAATGTTTTCTCTTTTGAGCGCTAAGCAAGATGTTTGCTATCACAGCTCTGTCTTTGCAAATGCCTATATGAAGACCTTAAATTACTGAAGAGGCCAAGCTATCTGCTAGCACTTGGTTTCATTACAGAGGGGGTGTTCATTCTCATCACCTTCATATGCAGAGAAATGCTAGGAATTGCCAGAAATGTCACACACACACACACACACACACACACAAACACACACACACACACGGCTGGCTGTAGGCAGGCACTTCCTTTTGCCATCTTTCTGCGTAACTGTTGCCATGTATAGGTTCACAATGGAAAACTGAGCCAGGGAGAAAAGGTGGAATAAATTCAAAGCCAGTGTCCTTATTTTGGTTATTATTTTATTTTAGATGCCAGACTGAAGCCAGGCTACAGTGCTTTTTCACTGTAAAGTTGTCATAATGATAACTTTGCTGCCTCTTTCTGAAAACAGAAACGTGGCATTCATCACAGGGCATCATCTACATAGGTGGGTCTAAGCCAGAGCCCAGAAATCTCTGTTAAAACGGGCCCTACTTGAAAGCTCCATTCAGCTCTCCAGAGCCATGTGCAGAAGCAAAACAATAGTAAATTCAGCAAGGACAAGAGATGTCTTCTGTTGAGTCTGGCCCTGTTCCTAGGATAGGGGATTAGGACAAGCTGCCCAAACAGTAATTAACAAGGCAGGACAATCCAAAAAGGCACCGTGATTGGCTGTGGCATGGTGACAAGCAGAGTCGGTACACACCAGGCTGAGCATCCTGCATGCTCTGGGGTTTGGTGACAGGCATCTGCCCCTACAAAATGGCAGGGTTTAATAAGCTAATGTGTGTTTGGAAATCTCCAAGAGAGGAATAGGAATAGAAAATGCACTATGAAGCAGCTCTCACACTGACTGGATCACCTATCCTTTACACTGGTGTTTCATGGAGCATCTCTAAACAGACTAACCTACTGTAATTGGCATTTAGGAAATAACTATGCTAAAGAAGGTTTTCAGTGATTTTTTTGCACTTGGTTTTCAATGTATAATTTACTTTCAAGTCAAAGGCCTTAGGCAATACTGATACAAATCTTTTCAATGATTACATTTCATCATGATAATATTATAAATGTATGAGACCTAGAAGAGAATTTAATAATTGTACATTAATGCTCTTGCTTTGAGGTCGACAAAAGTAAGGCCCAAAGAGACAAAATGTTTGTGCATGGACAGACACACTGCGATCCATTTTCCTCTGATACTTGGCCCAGCATCCGTCACCATTCCATGCTGACACTTCTTATCATCATTTTTCTCATTAGAGAAAAAAACTAGAAGGAAAAAGAAGAGATATGATGGAAAAAGGCAACTCCTTTTGCAGTCTACAAAAAGGTCACCAAATGCTCTCATTTAAAATTCATATTATAAAATTTGAAAGTCAAATACAAGGAATGAAAGCCCACAGAATGTGAGTGAATTAAAAAAATTTAAGTGTTGGATTATGTGTGTGTGTGTGTGTGTGTGTGTGTGTGTGTGTGTGTTTTACTGAAATGCAAAAAACAAACAGGATTATTTTTAAATTATAGGAGACAAGCCTTGAGATTTTAGTGTAAGAGATAAAGTGCAAAGCCACAGAATATAAGATTGATAATTAAACTACCGCAATACTTACAACGTAAGGCAAAAGACTCCATGAAAATGTGAAGGGAAGTGACAAACTAAAGATAATATTTGATACATAAATTTAAAAGAATGAATATCCAAAATATGTAATGAATACATATAAATCAATAATGAAAAATCAGCTAGTGGGCAAATGACACGAAAAGAGATTTCACAGAAAAGGAAATACAAATGGCCAATAAACATATGAAAAGATGTTCAATGTTGTTGTCAGTCACCAAAATGAAAATTAGACCAATAAGGGGATATTTTTGTCACTCATCACATTGGCTACATTTCAAAGATTATATAATGTCAAGCACTGAGGAGGCTGTGGAAAAATGAGAACTCCTATGCATCACTGGTAGAGTATATACTACTACTGTCATTTTGGAAAACTGTGGCTGCTCCACTACCATTTAAAATGTTCAATAGCTATAACCTAGCATTTCCATTTCCTGATAGCTAGAAAAGTACTTTTACATGTACACAGGGAGACACATGCAAGTATGATTAACCCATCATTATTAGAAACAGTACAAATTTGGAAAAAACTAAATGTCTGTCAATGCAAGAATGGCTAAGTAAACCATGATATAGCCCTATTATCAAATACTTTATAGAAGTTAAAAGAATCAAGTTGGGAGACTTTTGCTTTCAGTAATGGCAGTCTCAGTGACCCCAAGAAATTCTCCTGCTGGGGACAACAAGAGAAACTAGTCAAAATATAAATATGACTTACAGCAGACATCAAAAAAAATTTTAAAGGTAAAAAATTACACAGCTGGAATCCAGGGGATGAGATAGGTGCATGAAGATGAGCCCAGAACTGGGGGCCTCTTTTCTTCTGTGGGCATTTGCTAATACCAGACGGGGGTCAGCTAAGAGGCTAAGAACTTTCGACAACCTCACAAACCTAAAACAGACACCAGAATCCAGAGCCCACAAAGTGGAAGAAGCCTCACAAATCTTTCAACATCCTTCCCCCAACACACTTTAATTTGTTTGGGAACCCCAAAGAACCACACCATGGGAATAAGAGTGAATCAGACATGGACAGTCAGTCCCTGAACATGAATTAAAGTGATCTGAGTTTTTTCCTGATATCCTGGAATGCTAGTGCCTCTGGGCACATGCAAAAGTAAACTAACTATTCATGCTATTCATAAATTCTCTCTGGAGAAAAGTGCCTTCATCTAAGGACTCAAATTAATTATTTCCACAAACATTTCTGAAAACACGATGTCTGACACATAATGAAAAATACCTACACACATGAGGAGACGAGGTAACTGCCAAAGCATGAATAGTAAAAAAAAAAAAAACAGTAGACCACAGAACTGGACCCACAGGGGAATGTAATACTGGAGCTCTCAGGCATAATCTTAATGTTTTAACATCTTATTTAGAAATAACTTCAAACTTACAAAAAAGTTGCAAGAATATTACCAAGAATACCCAGATTCATTTATTGTCAATATTTTATGCTATTTATCATTTTCATTGTTGTTTTCTTATTCTTGTGCATCTACATGCACTCACTCTCTTCATTCTCTGTCTCTCTCTCTCCCCCAATATATACATACGTATGTATACACTTTTTGTACTTTTTCTGAACCATCTAGAAGTAATTTACTTATGCCATGGCCACTTACCCCTAAATACTTCGGTGTGCATTCCCTAAGAATAGGAATATTCTAGAACAGAACCATAGTACAGTCATCAATTTCAGTAAATTTAACATTTATACAATACTTATATCTAATTAACTGCTTATATTCCAGTTTTATCAATTGACCTAATAATGTCCTTTATAGCAATTTTTTCCCCAGGACAGGATCTCATGTGGTGTCTGTTATTGCATATCCCTTTAGTCTCCTTTAATTTGGAACACTTCTACAGTCTGTCTTTGTTTTTTAAGACATTGACACTTTTGAAGAGTACAACATACACACACACACACATACACACCCTCACTGCCTTTTAAAAAATAGATCTCTCCTGATTTGGGGTTTGTCTAATGTTTCCTCATGATTCAATCCAGTTAAATCACACATTGCTAGCTGGAATACTTACATAAGTGATGTTGTGTCCTTGTCAGAGAATCAAACCTGGGGGCAATGGGTGTCCATGTGCCCCTCATTGGTGATATTAATTTCAGCTACATAGTCAAGGTATTGCTCAGTTTCACCAACGTAAAATTACTATTTTTTCCCCTTATAATTAATAAGCGATCTGTTAGGAGACATTTTGAGACCATGTAAATAATGTGCCAATCATCAAAATTTTCCACTAGATTAGCATCTGCCAATAACTTGTGCCTGACACAATCTTTATTTATGCTGATGTTAAAATTCTGGGGTTTTTTCAATGCCAGCATTCCCTCCATATTTAATTGGGCCTCAGTATCTTACTGTACACAAGAGAAAGCCAAAAAGTCACTCTCCTATCACGATTTATTTATGTGCTTATTTATTTTTGTTTTATTATCTACACGGGTTTGTGAATTCCTATATTTTCAATAGTTTAGATTCATTACTGTGCCTATTTTGGTGCTCAAATTCTTCCATATTTAACCAGTGGAAACCTCTTCAAACTTTGTTCTATGTAATTAAGACATGCCATCATCATTTTTTTTATCTTCCTAATTTTTTGGCATAACTAACAAGACACAACAGGTTCACCTTGTATCTACTCTGACCAGAACTGAAGTCAGCCATTTCTCCAAGGTATCACTTCTTCTCTACTTTTAAAAGGGAAGAATACAAAAGAATATAAAATGGTAAAATTTGACTGCAAGTTATCCTCATAGCTACTGAAATGCAATTGATTCTTAGCCCTTCTACTGAACAGAGCTAAAAATATACATGTACATATAACATGTACAAATCCACATACACATACAGTTAAACATACATGCATACCCATATATACAGGTACAAATGTGAATACACAGTTTTGAAATCATAAGTCATACCACTACCTCCAGTTACAATTCAATGCCACAAGACTCTTTCTACATTTAATATTCAAATGTCATTTCTTTGGTTGGCTCCCAACTACACTAAAATGTTGACTCATTTGCTTACTCTTGAAAACTTCTAAAATTATTTCAGAATTGTTACACCCCTACCAATGCATAAAACATATTTACTTACAAGGACACCAGGATTTTTGAATTAAGGCCCACTCTAACCTACTGATACTTTAATCTTTGACTTCTAGTGCCTGGAACTGTGAGAAGTAAATTTCTATTGTTTAAGCAAAAAAAAAACCCCACAATTTGATACACTTCCATGTCATACCATACTCCCCAAGATACTAGAGAAAGATGAGCAAATTAAACAGAAAGGAGAAAACCATAAAGATAAAAGTAAAATCAATGAAATGGAAAATAGACAATAGAGAAAAGCAATAAAATGAAAAACTAATTCTTGGGAAACATTAAAAAAATTGATAAATCTCCAGCCAGACTAGTCAAGAATAAAACAGAAAATAGAAAAGTTATGAATATCAGGAATAAAATAGTATTACAGATCCTGCAAACATTAAAAGGGCAATAAGAGAATGTTATAAGCAATTTCATGCAAATAAATTAATTCAGCAAATTCCTTGAAAGACAAATACCAAAGCTCACACCAGACAAAATAGATAAACTGACCAGATATTTCCTCAAAGATATATGAATGGGCCAGGCGCGGTGGCTCACGCCTGTAATCCCAGCACTTTGGGAGGCCGAGGCAGGCAGATCACCAGGTCAGGGGATCAAGACCATCCTGGCTAACACAGTGAAACCCCATCTCAACTAAAAATACAAAAAATTTAGCCGGGCATGATGGTGGGCGCCTGTAGTCCCAGCTACTCAGGAGGCTGAGGCAGAAGAATGGTGTGAGCCCAGGAGGCAGAGCTTGCAGTGAGCCGAGACTGCGCCACTGCACTCCAGCCTGGGGCACAAAGCGAGACTCCATCTCAAAAAAAAAAAAAAAAAAAAGATATATGAATGCCAAATAAGCACAATAAAAGATGCTCAAAATTTTAGTTATTATGGAAATGTAAATAAAATCACAGTAAGATACCCCTATATACTTACTAGGATGGCTAAAATTGAAGACTGACAATATCAAATGTTGACAAGAATGAGGAGCAACTGAAACTCTCATACATTACTGTAGGAAGCATAAAATCATACAATCACTTTGAAAAACAATTTGGGAGTTTCTTATAAAATTAAATATATACTTACCATATGACTCAGAATTCCCATTCCTGAGTATTTACCCAAATATTTGTATGTGAATGTTCATAGCAGCCTTATTCATAATAGCTTGCAACTGGAAACAAACTAAATGTCAATGAACAGGTGAATAGACAATAAATTATATCTATACAATGGAATACTACTGGGATGGGGAAGTTGAATACTGATATACACAGCATCATGGATAAACCTTAAAGCATTCTTCTGAGCAAAAGATGCCAGACACATCTTTTCATCTTTATTAAACTGTAGGAAAGATCCATTCAATCTATAAAAATGAAAAGCAGGTCTGTGGTTGCCTGGGAAGAGGAGTAGGAATGTCTGATTGGGATAAAGCACAAAGAATACTTAAGATCAGACAGTATGGCACTATTCTGCATCTAGTTGATGGTGATTAGTTGGGTGAATAAATTTGTCAAAACTCATCAAAATGAATTTTTTTTTTTTTGAGACAGAGTTTTGCTCTTGTTGCCCAGGCTGGAGTGCAATGGTTGCAACCTTCACCTCCTGGGTTCAAGCAATTCTCCTGTCTCAGCCTCCTAAGTAGCTGGGATTACAGGAACCCACCATCATGCCCAGCTAATTTTTGTATTTTTAGTAGAGATGGGGTTTCACCTTTTACCAGGCTGGTCTCAAACTCCTGACCTCAGGTGACCCACATGCCTTGGCCTTCCAAAGTGCTGGGATTACAGGTGTGAGCCACCGCAAGTGGCCAAAATGTACATTTTAAATGGATATGTTGTATTGTATCTAAATTATACCTCAAAATATTTTGATTCTTAAAAAGGCAGCCACAGAAAGAAGAAATATTACCATGAAAGTAAAAATAGACTGACAGCAACTTCTCAACAGAGACAATGTAAGCCAGAAGACAATATAATGATATATTCAAAGTGCTGAGAGAAAATAACTGCCAACTTAGATTTCTACTGCCAGGGAAAATATTATTCCAGAATAAAAATGAAATAAAGTCATTTTCAGACAAATAAAAACTGACACCATTTACCTGTAGCAGAGACTACTAAATAGAATACCTATAAAGGCAGAAGAAAAGTGAACCCAGATGATTAGAGATGTAGGAAGAAAGAAAGAGGCAAAAAAGAAGCAAATACATGTGTAATATATGTGAGTGTTGACTATTAAAATAATACTTATGTCTTATCATTTATAGAAAAAGAATATTAACCTACACAACAATAATGGCGTATACAGAGCATGATAAATGGAATTAACATATTATAAGGAATTGTCTGGATATGTGGTAAAGTTATCAAATAATATTAGATTTTCATAAATAAAAGTGACGAATTCTCTAGGGTAGCTACTAAGGCAATAAAATGGTATATAACTTTGAAGCTAATGAGAATTTTTTAATTATTTAATTATTTCATCCTTCCATTTAATTCAAAAAAAAACAGAAATAAATACAGAATAGAATAGGAGTAAACAAGGGAAAATACATAGTAAGACCACAGATTAAAACACATATATTAGTCTTCACATTAAGTGTAAATAAACAACATATGCCAATTAACAGACAAAGGCTGACAGACTGGCAAAAATATAATTAAAACACAAGAGACATATCCAAAATATCTGAAACATAGGTTGGAATTAAAAGTTTGAAAAAATATATATGCCACATAAATAGTAATCAAAAGAAAACTGGTATAAAATAGCAATATGCAGTAGATTTTAAGACAAAAAGCACAGATATAGATAAAGAGGGTCACTTCAAAGCAACAAAAGATCAAATTAATCAAGGATTCATTGAGTCATGGTAACTCATTAGTTCTTAAGTAGAGTAAAAGCAAATCCAAAATGCAATACTCTGGTCCTTTCATGGTTGCTAGCCAGCATGTGATGGTAAGTAGTTAAATGACTTTGTGCCTTGGTTTTTATTCGGCTGCAATACCAGTCTTGGTGGCTTCCTGAGGTTGTTAAGAATGCCAAATGAGGTACTTCATTATGTGTGAAAGTGAATATGACTTGAACTGGAGAGGACAAAGAAACATTTATGGAGTGCCTACTATGTAGGAGAAACTGCCCTAAAAGCTTTATTATTCTTCATCTCTTGTAGTCTTCCCAGCAACCCTAAAATACATTTATTTTTATTTGCATCTATACAAATGAGAAAAAAGGAGTCTAGAAGAGACTAAAGGTCTTCCCCAAAATAAGCAAATTACAGAGCCAGGATTCAAATCCAACTTTTTTTTCTACTCTAAAGTTATGCCTAATCCTGGTTACTTCTTAATGAACATTAAGTTAGGTCTTCTAACTAGATATTCTGTAGGCCACTTTATTATATTACTTTCTAAAGCTCTATTTTAAGTTCACATCCTTAATATATAAATAGCTCATACAAATCAATAAGAAAATATTAAGATGCCAAAGGTAATAATAACTAGCATTCATTGAGCACCTACTATTTGCAGTCTGTGATCCAAGTGCATTGTATGAGTCACCTCACAACAGTTCTGTGAGGCCAAGCATCAGCTGGAGTCCAGTCAGTAATTTGAACAAGAAAAAAAAATTTAAAACAAATAACTATTAACTATAATGGGGAAGAACTTATCAAGATAAAAAGAGAACTCAGAAGAATACTGTGGAGCTGATGAAAAGTATCCAAGAAAGGAACAACTTGGCGGGGGCCTGGAGAGACCTCCCCAAGACTGGGATTCAGACTTTGTTGGAGAAAGCGAGGTTGCAGCCCCCAGGATAGCAGAGAATTCCACTGGGATGCCCACCCCAGAGCTGTCTCCCTGCGAGGCAAGGAGGGAACTCTATCCTGGGATGAAGGATTGAGGCTGGTGGGTGGGTGGGCAGGGGTGAGTCACAGTGTTGAGAGCCACTCCCCAGGAGGGTAGCACATGGCCTGAGGTGTGAGATGTCTGTCTCCAAGTCAAAGGAGCCAACTCTCCGCGGTGCAGGCTGGTGGGGTAAGCAGAGGGTGTCAGGGCAGCACAAGGCCTGGGGTGCACAGTGTCCACACTAGAAGGCCCCAACAAGATGGTACCCAGGCCTGGCCAGCTTGTGAGCTTGCCAAGGGATCACACGCTCAGGGTTCACAGCTGGGGTGGAGTGACTAACACTGGATGTCCTGCCCATGCACCACTGCAGCCAGATGTCAGCAGGAAAAAGAAGAAAAAAGAGCAGCACTCCAGATGCAGATCCCTCCTCCTACCATGTTCCTCCAGTGTCCTCTGCTGACAAAGCTTAAATACCGTACTCACTGCAGAGAAGAAAGGCTTAGACTTTGGCCCATTGTCTCAGAGCAGGTGGTGAAGGGTGAATTTGAGATTGAGGAGTAATACATTTATAACTGGGAAAGGTAGGTACATTAGTATAGCCAATTTACAAATGAAGAGACTGGGGCAGCAAGGGGTTCTATGCCTAAGGTCTCTAGTGATAGGGTCAGGACACAGATCCAGAGCCCACCTCGTCAACCACAAAGCTTCACTTCCATCAGTGGGAAAAGACAATTACCAAAAGTGGAAATACAAATGATTAATAAATATCTGAAAAGTTTTTTTTTTCCATTGGAGAGGAAAATCAATGTAGCAAATAATTGACTGTATCTTTACACTTATCAAATAAGCAAAAATGTTAATGTCCTTAGACCCATACTCTGAGGATGAGATGAGTTGAGCAGTTCATATACTTCTTGGAGCAGTGTTTCAGTAAGGGTTCAACTGGAGATGTAGAACTAGTAGGGGATATATGTTAAGGGGATTTGTTGCAAAGAATTGCCTTCCGTGGTTGTGGGGGCAGGCAGCAGGGTGGAAATTCTCGGGCAGCAGCTAAGGCTGCATTCTACAAGTAGAATTTCTTCTGGAGAAGGTCAGTTCTGCTCTTAAGGCCTTTCAATTAATCAATCAGGCCCACCAGATTATCTAGGATAATCTCGCTTACTTAGAGTCAACTGATTATGAACATTAATCACATCTGCAATATTCCTCATTGCAACACCTAGATTAGTGTTTGATTGCATAACTGAGGACTACAGCCCAGCCAGGTTAACACATAAAACCGACCATCTCAAGAATTCACTGATACTTCCTGGGAAGCAGTTTTCCAGAGCATGTAATAAATCTTAAAAGTATCAATACCCAGTACCATCACTTCTTGGAATGCATCTAAGGGAATACTTTGAAAGACAAAGATTCAAAGATTATTGATAATAGCAAAATATTTAGAAACAACCTTACTGGTTCCATTAGGGAAATTAAATTATGTAACATTTATATGAAAGAGTAGTAAGAGGCTATCGAAAGATTTACAAAAAGTTTACAATTACAGTTATAAACAGCTATAATAAAATATTAAGCCAAAAGAAAGACAGGAGAGAAAACTGTTTATATAGAACATAAAAAATTCAGAAAATAAGAACACTATGGAAGTAGGGGGAAAATGTTAACAATGGTTCTTTGAACTTCATGTTTTTCAATTTTTCAAAAATGACCTTGAATTACTTTAAAAATTGCACAAAGTAACATAAAGAATGTTCCATGCAAACTATAAAACATGAATTTACAAAGTGAGATGTCGTGCCAATATTTAGGAGTGTTTTAGCCTGTTACAGATTCCAGTTCTTTGTATGTATATGAGAGCAATGACCTAACTTCACCTTTAAGAGAAAGGAGGAAAGGACTGATAGTTAAGAAACTACACTTCCTTCAACCCAGTAGTCACTCCCAAATAGATATAATGTTTCCCCACCATTGTGAAGGCAACTTTAATAAATTACCACAGGAAAAAAAAAAATACACTTTCATCACCCCTGCCCTTCCCAATTCAGCTCAATTTCACGGTGCACGACTGCTTTCT
Source organism: Homo sapiens (assembly GCF_000001405.40). Classification (NCBI taxonomy): domain Eukaryota; kingdom Metazoa; phylum Chordata; class Mammalia; order Primates; family Hominidae; genus Homo; species Homo sapiens. Next base: position 125,443,870 of record NC_000012.12, on the reverse strand, counting down.
ATTTTATTGTCACTAAGGCACCAGAGAAAACAAGTAGAATAAAGACTACCATTGTTAACAGATTTTATATTTTTAAAAAAAACATTTTTCTTGCAGTTTCAATGGGTTATTTAGCTTCAATGGCATCTGTTGACACTGAAAAAAATGTAACTACCATAGCTATAAATCTGCTTTCCTTGTAAATGTTTAATTATAATGTTTCCATTTCAATTTAAGATAAATTCACTTTCTATCTTAAGAAACTGTTACCAAGAAAACAGACTGAAAACAAATCCCACAGCAGTGATTGTTACCCAGCTCCCTAAAACCCTCTTAAAGCACAGAATCCCGTCAATTCTTCCCAGCAGGCATCCCAGAGCTGCAACTTAAGAGTCTTTGAGGGACTAACACATAATCACAGGAGAGACCAAATCAAGGCCCTCCCCACTCCCATCTTCATGAAGTTTTCTGACTCTGCTGGAGTTCACAGAGAAAGGGGCCATCCTACAATCCCTCCATGCACCAAAGTTTACACCAAAGAAAGCTTCATAAATGTTTCATTTAAGGACCTGAAAATTACAACTGGCCCTCTTCTCCCCTCAATAGTTTACGATGGTGATCTTCTCCTGAACCACAAGAAACAGTCCTCCACCTCACACCTGGGTCTCCTGCTATGTGTAAGTAAAACCGTAGCCAACAGAAGGCCACTTTCTACAATTGAGAAGAAAAATAGCAGCACCCCAGGCTGCATCACCCAAGGCAGACACAGCTCCCCGAAATGCTGCTCAGAGACTCTGTGCTCTCAGCATGCCTCTCTCAGCAAGGGAGGTCCCTCAAGATCTGAGATGCTGTAAGGGAATCATAATTCTACATGAAAGTCTGCATGTGTCCTGGGATAAGGAGAAACTGGAGAACCACATCCATCGTTTAGCCCACTTTCTCACACTCAGAGGGATGGGCTAGTATCTTAGAACTGTCGACTAGCGACCAGGGGCAACCCTGACCACCACATCAACTTCATTTAACCTGCTCAGTATTTGTCAAAACTAAAATAAGTCTCAGATATGTCACACAAAGATATGCATTTCTATGTGCCTGAAACTCAACTCCACTTCCAGGACAGACTATTATTTTATACAAGATCAAAAGGTGCCACAGAAAAACACACCTGCCGTCATCCTGGCTCAGGGCAGTAGAGTCCCTTATCTGATACCTGATCATCGTCCTGAATAGAGCATCTTCTCTTATCTTTTTGAGGATGTAATTTAATAAGGGCTTGTTCTGTTCCCGTAAACTATACTAAATACTACTTTATATAAATTATTTACTTAATCCCCATAGCAAACCTCCAAGGAGGTATTATTCTCTTCCTTGTGTCACAGATGAGAAACTGAGTCACAGGGTCTGAGTCACCTGCCTGAGGCCACACAGCTAGTAAATGACAGGGCATGGATTTGAGCTCAGCTCTGACCCCCAAAATGGTAATTTTAAATAACTGTAGTATTTGCCTCCCTCTAGCAAATTCCAGGAGATCACAAAACATCCCCCAATGAGTGGATAATATTCAAATTCCTGATCCTATGGTCACTAGCTGACATAAAATTTAAACTATCTGTTGGTTCCCTATTTCATATATTTCCTGCCTCTATTTCCTCAAAGGCAGTAACAGCACACGGACAGCAGATTTCACAGCAATGTTCTCTCCTGAACACCTTCTAAACCTCCTGCCTTTTCTCCTCCTCAATAAATCATGGCCTAGGCCTCTGGCAAAGCTGTTGCTGTGTTTGTTGTTGCCTTTGAAACAGGTAAAAGTGGAATCCAAAAGAGGGGAGAAAAACAGAATGTACCTTGCAATTCTCTTGACGGATCCATTTTCATTCCCCTAATGGTGTATTTTGGGTTTTAAAAGAATATAAATTTTAGAGGAAAAAAATCTTTCAAAAATACTGCATTTGGATTTAAGTCTTTAGGGAGCATATCTGCTGAGGGAAGAAACCATCAAAAAGAACATTTACAAAGGCTGGGTTGCTTTTCATTTTCTATTGCATTTAATCTCCACCATAAGCCTGCAACAAAATCCCCATTTTACAGAAGAGATTCAGAAAGAGTTTGTTATCTGACTAAATTCACACGAGTGATCGGAGATGGAAGAGCCACCACTGATTCCAGCTCTCTGCCTTCAAATCCCAGGCTACACCAGCCTTTTAAAAAGCCTCTTTCCCCTGGATCTGAGTCACTTCTTTCTGTAACACATTGGGCTACTCTGTCAGACCCCAATAGGGTGGGAGGGACCTAAGGGCCTGGAGGGGCCAGCAGATAACTTCAAAGTGAGACCAACACAGGTTTAACACAAAAGTGCATCCAAAGCAAAACTCGCCATGTTTGCATTTAGAAAGAAACCCTGGTGAAATCTAAGCCCTTTCACTGGTTCATTAAGTGTTTCATCATACATCCTTTCTGTGTATTTATCACGGAGGTACTAAGGTTTATTTATAATGGGTGTTTTACATTGTTTCTTTCAACTTGGAAACCTTTTGTTTGCATATTAATCATATAGAAATACTCTTCTTTGTTACAAAGAAATGTGCTTTTTCACTTATCTGAAAACACATCACTCTTTGTCTATCTCCCCCCAACTTTTGATCTAGACATGGATGCTAATAATATTAATTCAATCAATATTACAGGTTATTTATTCTGTGCCAGACAATGTTGCAAGCACTTTACATTGATGAAATCATTTAATCCCACAACAACCCTATCATGTAGAGACAAAATTCTCCCTATCTTAAGGTTGAAGAAACTAAGGCCAAAGGATTTTAAATAACTTGTTCAAGGTCACATGGCTAATAAGTGGTGATATCAAGAAATGCTTCTCTGCCAGAAGAAAAACACCACTGTGCATTTCATAAACGCCAACTAATACCCAGCTTCAGTTTTTGGGGAACAGCAGGGAGCAGAGGGGATTGTGGGAAACGAGAGAGCATAGCCCCTTCTACACTGAGCAGCCACAGTCAGCTCTAGCAGTTGTGCCCATTCAAGGTTGACTTGAGTTTCCGCTTTCTCCAGAGACACCTGAAATATGTATTTTTAGTCAGATCTCCTGATATTTTTAATAAAAATAAATAAACTGAAAGAAAAAAACACTTAGCAAAACAAATGAAACAGGTTTATGGGCCACTGATTTGTTGCCTACATATTGGAGATTGCAACTGAACCAACACTGAGTAGCAATAGTTCACATGTTTAAACAGTTCAGGAAATCTGGTGTCTCCTTGGAAGCAAAGACTTCTTTGCTTAGCAACTGTTTAATCAGGGGGGAGATGCAAGGTACTAGTTCATTTATTAACGGGAAAATAATCGCGGGTCCTAATGAGTCACTCAGCATCAAAATGCATCAAATTCATCATCTGTTTCAGTCTTTGAAAATGATTAAACATCACTTTCTTTCCCTTTATAGCAAGATCCAAGTGATAACCAATCCATCAGCTTATCTGCCAATATTTAACAACAGCATTTTGCATTCATTATGTCCTACTTAAATCATTCTTTTAAAAAGAGGAATAATTTAATTCTGTCTCTTGACAGCAGAGACATTAAATGGTGTGAGTGTTTCTCTGACAAAACACCAAGAGCATATCCATGAAATCAAGCCAGAAGAATGCCAATCCAGAACAAGAAATACAACAACTAGCTTCCAGAAAAATCTTTTCATTTTCATATCCTGATACTAAAACCTGGAGGAGACACAACAAAAAAAGAAAACTTCAGGCCAATATCCTTGATGAAAGGATTTTTGCAAAAATCCTCAACAAAATACTTGCAAACTGAATCCAGCAGCACATCAAAAAGCTAATCCACCATGATCAAGTAGACTGCAACCCCAGGATGCAAGGTTGGTTCAACATACACAAATCAATAAATGTGATTCATCACATAAATAGAACTAAAGACAAAAGCCACGTGATTATCTCAATAGATGCGGAAAAGGCTTTCAATAAAATTCAACATCCATTCATGCTCAAAACTGTCAAAAAACTAGGTACTGAAGGAACATACCTCAAAATAATAATAGCCATCTATGACAAACCCATAGCCAACATCATACTGAATGGGGAAAAGCTGGAAGCATTCCCCATGAAAACTGGCACAAGACAAGGATGCACTCTTTCACCACTCCTATTCAACACAGAATTGGAAGTCTGGGCCAGAGCAATCAGGCAAGACAAAAAATAAAGGGCATTCAAATAGGAAGAGAGGAAGTCAAACTATCCCTGTTTGCAGATGACATGATTCTATACCTAGAAAACATCATAATCTCAGCCCAAAAGCTCCTTCAGCTGATAAACAACTTTAGCAAAGACTCAGGATACAAAATCAATGTGCAAAAATCACAAGAATTCCTACATACCAACAGTAGCCAAGCCAAGAGCCAAATCAGGAACACAGTCCTATTCACAATTGCCACAAAAAGAATGAAATACCTAAGAATACAGCTAACTATGGAGGTGAAAGAGGTCTACAATGAGAATTACAAAACACTGCTCAAAGAAATCAGAGCTGACACAAACAAAGGGAAAAACATTCCACACTCATGGATAGGAATAATTACCATCATTAAAATGGCCACCTTGCCCAGAGCAATGTGCAGATTCAATGCTATTCAATGCTCTTCCTATCAAACCACATTCTTCACGGAACTAGAAAAAACCATTTTAAAATTAATATAAAACCAAAAAAAAAAAGAGCCTGAACAGCCAAGACAATCCAAAGCAAAAAGAACAAAGCTGTAGACATCACCTTACCTGACTTCAAACGATATACTACAGGGCTACGGTAACCAAAACAATTATTGAAGATTTTGTGTGTAAGAATAGGCACTAAGATCTATAATAGCAAAAATTTTAAATAATGTTACTCAACAGAAGAATGGGAAAATAAATTATGGAATGTCTGTATCATGGAATATTACACAGCAAAGGGATAAAAGAACTAGAACTACATGTATCAATAGGGATTAACTTGGGAAATGCTACCTTCAGCAAAATAGGCAAATTGCAGAATGATTCTTTTAGCACAATGCCATTCATATAAAGTTTGAAAATACACCAAAAAACACGGCCTGTGGAAAGGTACCTCTGTAGTAAAATTATATAAACATTCATAAGATTGATAAACACCTAAATCAGGATAATGGTTAACCTTAAGGAAGGAAGGAAGAAGGAGGAAGGAGAATGCAATAGAGAGTTTTGTTTCTTGCTTTCTTTTTTCCAGCTCTGCAGCGTATTTTGGGAAATATTAAACTGTGACACAGCTGTGTGGTAGATAGGTGGATGTTTGCTACAATATCCTCTACAGTTTTAAGTATGCTTGAAATAGCTCTTAACTTTTTTTAAAGAAAAGAAAAACAACTTGTCCCTTTAAAGAAGAGAAAACAATTAGCTTATTTGCTGACCTGGCCATACCACGCACCTGCATGTATAGCAGATCGTGGGCACCAGCTTATTGTTGCCAGTTTTGCTTTGGTTCTTAGAAGTGGGTGCTTTAGCTTTGCTTCCTTAGTCTTTAAGAGTCTTAGTCCTTAAGAGTTACACCTCTCTGGAATTAAATGCAGAGCCGTTGCCAATCTCCAAAAACCTCCTTCCTTACAGAGTTACTGCCCAGATGGACATATCAGCCCTGATGGTATTAGATATTACCTTTGAATTCTTAAAAATATGTTTAATTCTTGGAAAGTCTCAATAAAGGGAGAAGAATGCAGTTGATTCTTGTAGGAGTTTAGTTTGAAAGACTACATGGAAGGTGAAAAACTACATTAGAAACAGCCTTTGAATATCCCTTAAAGTGGCCATAAAGCACATTACAAGAGACTTTTGCAGAGAAAAATCTTCTCCCCCTTTTTGTTGTTTTATTTTTTGTTGTGGTAAAATAAATAGAACACAAAATTGACCATTGTAAAGCAAGCAAGTCAACGGCATTAAGTGCATTCACAATGCTGTGCAGTCATCACCACCCACCTCCAGAACGTTTTCGTCACCCCAAGAGGAAAACCCATATTCATTAAGCAGCCACTCCCCCTTAGCCCTGCTCCTGGCACTCTGCTGTCCGTCTCTATAGATTTGCTTATTCTGGACATTTCATATATATGGAATCACACACCATGTGGCCCTTGATGTCTGGCTTCTTTCACTCAGCGTCATGTTTTCAAGGTTCTTCCATGTTGTAGCCTGTGTTGCTGCTTCATTCCTTTTCTTGGCTGAATAACATCCCAATATATGGAGACGCTACGTTTTTCTTTATCCATATGAGCATGTGGAGAAATGGAAACCCTCTTACATCGCTGGTAGGAATGCAAAATGGTGCAGCCACTGTGAAAAACAGTTTGGCAGTTCCTCAATAAATTACACATAGAATTACCATATGAACCAGCAATTCCACTGCTAGGCACCTACCCAAAAGCACTGAAAACAGGTGTTCAAACAAAAACTTATACAGGGTTGTTTATAGCAGCACTATGCACAATAATCACAGATGAAAACAACCCAAAAGTCCATCCCTTTTGTTTAAAGTAGCTGCCTTGTGTTGAAGTCATGTTACATTAAGATTTCAGATCCGCCAGCATCAGAATCATAGTCAGCGCATCGGAATGTTCACACCACGAGCAGGCCAGGGAAAGCGGATCCAAACCTGGGAGGAGCGGGGTCACTCTGCCCCAATCCCATGCTCCCTCCCAGGCAGCCCCTCCTGAGTGGATGGTGGGTGCAAAGACATCTGTCTTGAATTTTAGGTGTTATCTGAGTCTCTCTCTTTTGTAGAAGCTCATAGCCAAATCCTATCAGCTAAACAAGGGTGTGGTATGGCCCTTGAAAACTGCATCCATCAGAATTATAGACCTGAACACACCTGTGCTCTAGAGATGACCTGGCTTGAGGGTCAAAAGTCACCTGGCATCCAGAGAGGACACTTGCAGGTGGCAGAAGGGACTTGCGTATTCTGGGGAGATGCTTCTGAGACTTGGAGAAGATGGGCTGGAACCATGCCAGCCACTTGACTATAAATAGTTCAGCCATAGTTCTATGTTCCAGGGAGGTGGACCAAAAAAGATGAAGGCAAGTGGATTGGCCTCTTGGGGCTGCCGTAACAAAGTACCACCAATTGAGTGGCTTTAACCACAGAAATTTATTCCCTTGAAGTTCTGGAGCCTGGAAGTCCAATATGAAGGTGTTAGCAAGGTCTCCCCATTCTGAGAGCTGTGAGGGAGAACCTGTCCTGTGCGTCTCCCTTTGCTTCTGGTGGTTGCTGGCAATCTTCGAAGTTCCTTGGTTTGTAGATGCATCACGCCCTCTGCCTTCTTCATGCGACGTTCTGCCTGTGTGCATGTCTGTGTCCAAATTTCTCCCTTTTTTAAGACACCAGTCATCTTGGATTAGGTCCCACCCAACTCCAGTGTAACCTCTTCTTAAATAATTACAACTCCCATGAGCCTGTTTCCAAATAAGCCTGTGTGTGTGGTACAGGGGAAGAGGTACGATTCCATAACAGGAAGAGAGCATGGCAAACAGTGAGGCTGAGATGGACTGAGCACCTGGTGTGCTGGGCTTGTAGCTTCCACACTCACTCCCTTGGCCATCCCAAGACACCTGTGGTGCAGCCATTAGGATCCTAATTTTAACAATGAGCTTCATACAATGTGCTCATGCTCACACAGTTAGCTGAGAATGCAGTTCAGACAGTTGGACTCCGGAGCCCAAACCCTTTCTACTTTCCACTGGAACATGACCACGCACAGGGACCAGATGGAAAGAGGCAAAGACCGCAACGCCCACCAGATGCTTTGCCTCGGAACAGAAGGGAGGAAAGGATGTCTTCAAAGCTCATAGGAGACTGTTGTTAGGGAAGCAGAGGACCTCCCTGTGGGGCACCGAGGGGCAGGATGGAGAGGCAGACATCAGCACCGAGACCCTCTGACACTACCTCTGCTCCATCTGCTCTAGCTCCACAGGCCTCCCTGCTGCCCTGGTTAGGAGAGGTCCCCTCCATTTAGCTCCTCCTGCCCCGGGGAGTCCACTTGTCCCTTCCCTCCCATCTCTCAGGCCTCCAGTCCAGCACCTCTTCACAGTGAGCTCATCCCTGACTTCCTGCCCCCAAATCAGGGATTTCCCTACACCGGCATTCTCCATTCTTATCTCCTGCTTTATTTTTCTCCCTGACACTTTCTTCCATCTGTTAGTAAATCTTTATCATTGTCTGTTTCCTCCCACTAGAATATAAACTTCATGGAGGACATTGACCATTTTGTTCAGTGCGGTAAATTCAGCACCTATACTAGTGCCTGGCTCTTGGGAGGGCTCTGTAATACGCGCTGAAGGAATAAATGTTTCCAAGCAGTCCTGGATGCTGGGGCTGGTATGTCCTTGCTTGGCGACCAGGGAGGATGTGTCTAACCCCTCCCCCTGCAGAAAACTTGGGGGCCGTCCCAGCCCCGGGTGGGTAGGTCTGAGGGCTCCACCCCTTCCGCACCCCAGTCTCTCTTTAATTATGGTCCCCGTGACAGAAATTCTAGGCCCTTCCTGGCAACTGACCACAGCTCTCATCTGCCTTCTTTGGACATCAAGGGATCAAAGGTCTGCCTTGTTTATTCATACAGACATAATTCAGAAGAGCAAGTGGGGTTTTCCAGCCAGGGATGTGAGATGGGGGTTTCACGGTCACACATTTCAGTCCTCAGTTTCATTTTGGAAGGAACACCTTGAGCAAGATATGTCAGGGAACAAGAGACAGTGGTCACAATCTTCTCCTCCCCCTGCTCCCCTTAAGAAGAGACAATCTGTACAAAGCAGAGGTGCGGAGGATGAGAGGACACCTGAGCCCCCACAAAGGGGATTTTCCCGAGGGTTTCCCCAAACGCTTAGTAAGAGAGAGTACAGGGCTGGTTCAGGAGGCCCAGACTTCTCTCCTCATGCACTCTGAGTTTTACACGGAAAAGAAGTTTCAGCATGAGGAGGGGCTCTTCGCTCCTGACCCCGCTGCATCAGACCAGTGTGCGCAAGAAACACACCACTTCAGGGGTTTACAATAAAAGGAATTCGGTGCAGGGAATTGGTTACCCAAGCAAAGGAAAATCTGAGAAGGCAGACAGGATGGTGAAAAAACACAGAGATTAGAACAGCAAGAAGTCGCGACCACCTCTAGGCTGAAAGGGCAAGGGAGAACTGGCAGTGGCCAGAGCCTGGAGACCCCTCGATGGAACGCGACGTCTGACCACAGCCGGCGCCTCCTGTAGGGGCTGGAATCAGGTGTTGTGGGGAGCCACTGCCAGGGCGGCCACTGAGGCTGGGATGGGGAGGGAGGCCCCGGCTTCCCCCACCCTCCCACCCTCTAATCTCCCACCATGGCCTCCCAAGGGCCAAACCCAGATGGAAGCCAGCTGACCCCGGACAGGCCAAGGACACACACATTACAGACTGTGAATAGGCAGAATGGTGGCCCCATAAGACAGCCACGTCCTAATCCCCAGAACCTGTGAACACGGTGCCCTACATGGTCAAAGGGACTTTGCAGGTGTGGTTAGATTAAGGTTCCTGGGGTGGGGAGATTATCTGGATTAGCAGGTAAGCCTGATGTGACCACACTGGTCCTTACTAGAGGGGGACAGGAGCGTCAGGGTCGGAGAATGAGACGTGACCGTGGCTGCAGAGGTCAGAGGGATACAGGGCCACCCGCCAAGGAATGTGGGCAGCCCCTGCAAGCGGGAAAAGGTGAAAACACAGACCCTCCCAGAGAGCTGTCAGGAGGGAGGCAACTCTGCAATGCCTTGACTTAACACCCCGCGAAATTTATTTTAGACTTCTGACTTTCAGAACTAAGAAAGAATAAACATATATCCTTTGAAACCACAAAGTTTTTGATAATCTGTTATGTCAGCAATAGGAAACTAATACACCCACAAATATCTCATATGTAATACTCAATTTGCAGAGCCCCCTTCCAAGGCGAAATAACACATACGAAAGGAAAAGAGATAATTACATGGCATTACATTGCGAACTTTAAGAAAAAGGCTTCGGCGTAGGCAGAAGATAGAAAATACAAAATATCATTTTTTATGGCTGCATAGTATTCCATGGTGTATATGTGCCACATTTTCTTAATCCAGTCTATCATTGTTGGACATTTGGGTTGGTTCCAAGTCTTTGCTATTGTGAATAATGGGTGGGGGGAGGGGGGAGGGATAGCATCGGGAGATATACCTAATGCTAGATGACGAGTTAGTGGGTGCAGCTCACCAGCATGGCACATGTATACATATGTAACTAACCTGCACAATGTGCACATGTACCCTAAAACTTAAAGTATAATAAAAAAAAAGACAAAAAAAAAAAAAGAAAATACAAAATATCATTGTCTAGACTGAGGGTAGCGTTCTAGGGAGGGCAGTCAGCTGAGACTCGTGGCACAGAAATCCCAGTTGAGCCGGAGAGTGTTTGAAAGAGGAATGACCCGAGGGTCCTTCCAGAAATAAAGCCATTTGGAGTTCAAGTCGGGGGACACCTCCTTCTTAAAGGCTTCCAGCATTGCCCCGATGACCGTGACGTTCCACAGCCAATACCTTTACAAGCATCTAGGGAAGCTTCACTCATTCCAGTCCTTTAAAACTAATGAAGGATATGGTGATCTCTGTGGCCAGGTCTAAATCCTGTAAACCTGCAGTTATTAAAAACATTTAAAAATAAGCACACCGCAAGGACCCTGGCTGTGGGGCTGACTCAGAAGTTACTGGCAGGACTCACCATGCACAGCGTGGGGCACGCGGCATTCTTAGAAGACATAAAGTGTCTGCTCCGACACTTGCTTAAAGTAAGATGCAGGTGCTGCTTAAGGAAAGGCCTCCTTCTCGTTCCCACTTTTCTTGGCCAAATTGGCATTCCACTCTGAGGTGCTTTTGTCCACTGCTCATAGACCAAATGAGTGAACTACGAAGTGTGTCTGTGGAGCCTAGAACTCTCTTGGGAAGGGAAAACATTCTCACATAGCAGATTAATCTGAGTACAAACAGTGTCGACATGTGTGCACCAAGCATCACACCAACAGATACCAGATGCCGATTCCACCAAGGCCGGCCCATCAAAGGGACGGATGAGCCAGTGCTTGTCAGTTTTCATGCTTTTTAATGCACTGCTTGTTAAGTAAGCAAGTTGATATATCAAAAATGAAATTCTAAAAATGCTCCCAACCAGCAAAAGTAATGCTCATAAACAACAGGCCCCATCCCTTGGCTAGGCAGCAAGCCATGGGCATTGCAGGCCACATTCTAACACTCTCTTTCTCTCTCTCTCTCTCTCTCTCTCTCTCTCTCTCTCTCTATATATATATATATATACACACACACATATATATACACATACATATATATACACATACATATATATACACATACATATATATACACATACATATATATACACATACATATATATATATACACATACATACATATATATATATATATATATATATATATATATTCAAGGAATTCCCTTGGCCCATTCACTATTGTCTTTCAACAAAAGAATGCTTCCTCCAGGTTCCAATTTCCCAAGCTTGTGTGATTACAGTGGTTATGTTCCAATTAAAATAAAACGATAGATGCACCTGACTGAATGCCAGAGCTATAACCAGCCTGGCAGACCATGCAGACCTGGCTGACCATGGCGTCTGCCCAACCTTGCTTTTGCTTACAGGATTCGCAAGAGTAATTCCCCAAACAGCGCATACAAAATCAAGCCCCTGTCACACCCCACCAACACCCCGGCAGCGTGGCAGCAGAGCACCCCATGATCCATGTCCCAGGATCAGAACTGTCTCCCTAGCACAGGAAAAAGGGCGTTTAAAAACACGGCCCCCTATTTCACACATGGCAAAAGCGAGAGCCAGAGAAAGGAAGTGGACACTGCAGTGAAGTCACCAGAGGTTTCCAGAGCAGAATCCAGGTCTCAAGAGTCCCCAGGCTTCAGACTGCAAGCCCTAAGAATCCCATGACCAATGGCTGTCCACCCACCACGAGCCTTCTGCATTGCAGATTGTATCTCAAGCCAACCACCCACTTGTCCCACCTCGCCATTCACTGACTCCCTGTCTGTTCACTGTGATCCCCTCCACATACCTGGGAGCACCAAGGACAATGCAGCTGGCTGCCACCATGTCTAGCACCCAAAAGCCACCGTCCTGGAAGGCTGAGCACAGCCTCTTCCCAATCGTGGGTTTTCCTGCCCAGAGCAGTAGAGTCAGGGGGAAGAAAAGCAGCCGTGGCCCACAGGAAGACCTGGTTTATTTATACTGAGACATCCACACAAAGCAATCTAGTCCTAAGCACGTCGCTCAGTACGATTTCTCGGTCCTTATCCCAGACTCTCCTGACACTCTCACCTTCTGCCCATGCTCAAAGCCTTCCATAAATCCTTCCCAGGGGGCTGGTGTCTTTCCACCGAAGTAGAGTTAGCCAGATCATTTGCTTCTCTGTCTGTTTGCCATCATTTGCTTACATGCAGCGTTTCTCATCATGTCATCATTAACACGAAGGGGACCCCCCATTACCAAGGCAACAAGCAGAAAGGCAAGTTCCATTTCAATTACAGCCCCTGGATGATGGCGATAGCCCTCACCTGGGCTCCCAGGCTCCACCCTTGCTCCTCCAAGCAGATCTTTCAAAAAAGGTAAAGTAGATCACATCACTTCCCTCAAAGCCCTGCAGTAGCTGCTCATCCCATGCAGAATAAAATCCAAAGTCTTTTCAGAGCCTATGAAGTCCTATATAATTCAGCCCTTGGCCACCTTGCTGACCTGGTCCCCGCTGCCCCCTCCTTCACTCCATGCCAGCTCAACCCCTGACCATACTGGGGCCGGCCACCTCAGGGACTCTGGGGAGATGCTCTCCTCCCACATCTCTCCCTGCCTCCTCCCCACACTCCCTTCAGGGCTCTGCTCGTCAGAGAGGCCCTCCCTGACCGCCTTATCTGAAGCAGAACCTCCCAGTTACTCTGTCCATTTACCTGCCTTATTTTTCTTGTTAGCTTTTATCACCACCTGACATACAATTGCATATTCCTTTCTATAGATGTAAGTTCCAGGAGAGCCAGGACCGACTCACTGGTTTTGTTTCCAGCTGATTTCCCAGAACCCAAAACAGGACTCAGAAGGTGGGTGGCACTTGATAGACATCTGCTGAACTGAAGCACAGGACGCTGGATGCAGAGATGACCGTCGTGAAGACCTGGTTCAAGCTCGGCTGGATTCTGTGACTTCTGTGCTGCCCAGGCCATCAACCTACCAACCCAGCTCCACCTTCCCTGGGAGCCTTTGCAGATGCTCTTCCCTCTGCCTAGAAAGTCCTTCCCCAAGTCACTGAGTGGCTGGCTTCTCCTCATTCCTCCCATCTCAGAGCCAACAGCATTTCCCTAGACCGGGTTTCCGCCCACACTATCTCCAGTAGCCCCAGGCCCCTCTATCACATGACCCTGTTTTAGCTCCCTGCACATTTCATATCATTATCTACATGAGCTACCGTGAAATTCTGATCAATGATGTGACATCTAGCTCTCCAGTGTGCAGACAGCCCCGGCCAGTGCGCTCACCCGACAACCCCACAGCTACGGTCCAATCTGTTAAGGGGTGGAAGGGAAATTTACAAGAGGGCAGGTGTGCCTAAACAAATCATCCTGCATTATTCATTCATTTAGTAATATTTTATTAAGGATATGTGTCAGGCACGGTCAGGCGTGGTGTCAGGCACGGTACAGTGCTGGGTAACAGTGATTCATTGTGGAAGGAAACACAGTCCCTTCACTCCCAGAGCTCAAGGACTAGTTGCAATTAGCATCAGAAAGTAAAGTGGAGCTGCAAGAAGAATTCCAAATACATCTGTATATACTTCACCCTTAAGGAGGGAGCATAACTCCCCACCCCTTCAGCGTGGGCTGCACGCACTGTGCCCTCCTTGCAAAGAGTACAGTGTGGAAAGGGGGGAAGCAGGGAAAAGTAACTTTACAGTGGAGAAACCTTGCAACACGACATCAGGCAGGCCATCAAGGTCGACAGTCATAAATCATGTGAGTAGCATGTACCCTGATACGACATGATGAAAATGGCACCTTACCTCTGTGGCCTACCTCCCAATAAACCTATAACCTCAGTTTAGTTAAGTTAAAAATAATCGGACAAGGTTCAATAAAGGGGCCTTCAATACAACCCCTGACCAGTGTTCCTCAAGACCGTCTGTCAAGGTCATCTAAAACAGGAAAGGCTGAGAAACTGTCACAGCCAAGAGGAGCCTCAGGAGACACGATGACTAAATGTCATGTGGGATCCTAGAACAGAAAGAGGACATTAGGGCCGGGCACGGTGGCTCACACCTGTAATCCCAGCACTTTGGGAGGCCAAGGCAGGCGGATCACCTGAGGTCAGGGGTTTGAAACCAGCCTGGCCAACATTGTAAAACCCCATCTCTACAAAAAATACAAAAAAAAAAATTATCTAGGCATGGTGGTGCATGCCTGTAGTCCCAGCGACTTAGGAAGCTGAGGCAGGAGGATTGCTTGAGCCTAGGAGGCAGAGGTTGCAGTGAGCCAAGATCATGCCACTGCATTCCAGCCTGGGTGATAGAGTGAGACTCCCTCTTGAAAAAAAAAAAAGAAAGAGGACACTAGGAAAAAATTAAGGAAATTTGAATAAACTATGGACTCTAGTTAATGACAACATATCAGTATTGGTTCATTAATTGTAACAAATATACCATACTAATGGTAGGGAAAACTGGGTATAGAGTGAGTGGGAAGCTAATACAAGAAATCCCTGTAGTATATGCCCAATTTTTCTGTAAATCTATAACCACTCTGAAAAATAAAGTCTATTATTATTTTTAAAAGAGGATCATGTGATAAGACAGGGGAATATCTTCAGGGGTGAAGACCGCACACCCCTTCTGCAAACACCATCAGGTTACCCAACTAGCCACACTCAGCTACAGGCTGCAAACTGCTCATGGTCAACATAGCATGGGACCACGTGTGCCTGTACCTATGAAAAGCAACATAGGATGTTGGCCACATAATTGGATAAAATCAAATAAAATGTCATTTCAAAAGACACAGAAGGTTTCTTCTCACCCAAAAAGAGAACAATAACTGGGCACACTAGCTTTTATCTAGATTTAAAGGCATGGTGCAGGAGGTGAGCTTGGTTGGGGCAGGCTGTGTTAAATGAATACTTTCAAATCATGGAGAATTTTCTCTAGGAAACGGAGAAAAAGGAAGATGGAGGGTTGGGGGCAGAGGCAACCACTCAAAGGTTCATTTGATTGCTTTTGTAAAAGATTTGCAGCAGATCTGAGGAAGGCTTCATAATGACATATATAATAATGATATAATATGATATAATGTCATAATAATAGTGACATAATGGCAATAAATAGGTCAAAACAATAAATGAATGAATAAATTGATAAATGCATAAAAAATAATGACATAAGAATAAAATGATTTCATGGAGAGGCCCGGGTTTCTAAAAAATACCAACACAAAAGGCCAAATAAAGAGTCATTTACAGCTGGGTGCAGTGGCTCACACCTGTAATCCTAGTACTTTGGGAGGCTGAGGCAGGAGGATCACTTGAACCCAGCAGTTCGAGACCAGCCTAGGCAACATAGCAAGACCCTGTATCCACAAAAATAATTGAAAAATTAGCCAGGTATGATGGTACATGCCTGTAGTCCCAGCTACCTGGGAGGCTGAGGTGGATCACTGAGCCCAGAAGATAGAAACTCAGTGAGCCATGGTCATGCCACTGCATTCCAATCTGGGTAACACAGAGAGACCTTCTTCCTCAGAAAAAAAAAAAAAAGTACTTTCCATTAGCATGTACTTGGCAAGTTACCCTTCGTTTGTTTCTTCAACACCCCATCAGAAATCTGATGTAAAGGCTCTGGTTTTAAGTCATCATGCCAGCAGACCTATAGAAAGAAAGACTCCAATTCCCTCTGGTTCAATTTTTTCCTGCATAAGGAAATCACAAAAGTTAAATCCTACAGTAGAAATAACATCTGCACTTGGTAAGAAAGGTCGTGTTGGAATCTCAATGCCACTTGGAGTTCTAAGAGAAACTCTATCCTCTATTTCCATTTCACAAAGGACCTACAGTGCATGAACCTGGCAATGTGGTGATTAAGGCCCAGCATCCTGTAACCTCGAGCAATGTAACTGAAATCAGGAATCTGGGGGAGGCTATCAAAATTCTACCAAAGTGCTGACCTTTGGCAAAGTTTCTCTTTGGCCCCATCCACTTCTTGTTTTTAGATTACTCTGATACTGCGAAAAGAGCGTTGGACTTAAAACATTCAACACATACTTGTTGAGAGCCTACTCTGTGCCAGGCACTGCTCTGGAGCCTTGAAGCCTGGGTTCAAATCCCAGGTCCACCAGTCCTAGCTACATGGCTATGGGCTCTTAACATCTCTGACCCTCAGTTTCCCCATCTATAATGGAGCCAAGAGTGGTATCTTCTTCACTGGCTATTTTGATAATTAAAGGGGATAATATAGAGCATAGGACCTGGCACACAGTAGTGCCCAATAAATGTTGCATCAGGAAGGTCTGCTTCCAATGAATCCTGAAAAGTCCTCCCTCTTTGCATAGACTGCTCAAAGAGGCACCCATCCAGATGCACCCTCCCATACTCTAAGATCGTCCAGCCCCACTATCAAGCCTCACCTGTGCCACATCAAATTTTTGCATTTAAGAGCATTTTGCAAGACGAATATAATATAGTGTTAATATTACATACAGAATGGTTTAATAGGTCACCTTCCCAGAAATGTGTATTTCTAAACACTTTTAAACTCTTGCTCATGCTTTAGGGACCAGTTTAAATGTCACCTCCTCTGAGAAGCCTTTTTAGATTCTCTCCATACGGAACCCATTGTGTTCTCTTTGTTCCATCAAACTTGGTCTCTTGTCCTATGACTATGGGGAGCGCTGCCTACTGGTTCAATTCACTGTCTCAGCGTCTGACTCTTGCACTAGGGTTTCCAGCATCTCGAACTCTGATTCTCAAAAGGACTGTAACAGTCCAGCCAACTGCTTAGATTTACTGAGATAGGCAACAGGACCACTAGGTCGTGACGAAAGCTGTTTTAAGAAGACTAGACTAGCAGCTGGATGGATTAGTGGGGAAAGACCCGGTCAGAAACACCTTGACGTGGCCACACAGACATTCCAGGAATGAGCTGTATGAACCTGCATGTTGCCAGGGACATAGCCCTCAGCCAGTGAGAACCTCCTGGTCATCAGGAAGACTCAGGGGCCAAAAATAAGACTTTTTTTTAACAAACACACCAGAACACCCAAGTATGCTTTCTTCTGCTCTAAATCAGCCATCTTGAGAATTAGAACTTTAGAACTTTTTAGTCATCCAAAGGTAGTCACTTGAAATCTATGAACATATTATGGAACTGGCATCACCACTCAAAATGTATATTTAATCATGAGAATGAAAAGACAAGCCACAGAATAAAAATAGTTGCAAAACATATAATAAAAAAAAAGAACAACCCAACTTAAAAAATGAGCAAAAGACTTGAACAGACACCTGACCAAAGAAGATATATAGACGGCAATAAGCACATGAAAGGATACTCAGCATCATGTATCATTGGGGAGCTGCAAATTTTAAAAAATGAGGATACCACTACACAACTATTAGAATGGCTAAAATCCAAAATACTGATAACACTAAATGTTAGCAAGGATGTGAAGACACAGGAAGTCTCATTCACTGCTGATTGGAATGAAAAATGCTACACCCGCTTTGGAAGACAGTCTAGCAGTTTTTTACAAAACTAAACATATTCTTATCATATGATCCAGCAATTGCGCTCCTTGGCACTTATCCAAATGAGTTGAAACCGTACATCTACAGAAAAACCTGAATATGAACGTTTATAGTAGCATTAATCATAATTGCTAAAACTTGGAAGCAACCAAGATGTCCCTCAGTAGATAAATGTATAAACTGTGGTCCATCCAGGCAATGGAATGTCATTCAGTGATAGACAGAAATGAGCTATCAAGCCAAGAAAAGACAGCGAGGAAACTGAAATGCATATTGCCAAGTGAAAGAAGCCAATCTGAAAAGAGTACATACTGTATGAGTCCAACTATACGACATTCTGGAAAAGGCAAAACTATGGGGACAGTAAAAAGATCAGTGGTTGCCAGGAGTTCAGGGAGAAGGAGGGAGAGGGTAGGTAGAGCACAGGGGGTGGTTTTAGGGTAGTGGAGCTATCCTGTGTGATACTGTAATGGTGCATAAATGTCATTATACATTAGCAAAACCTACAACACAAGGAGTGAACCCCAATATGTAGTGTGGACTTTAATAATAATGTATCAATATTGACTAATTAATTGTAACAAATGTGCCACACTAATGCAAGATGTTAATAATAGGGGAACTGGAGGGGTAAAGGATAATGTGGCAATTTGCTATACTTTCTTTCCACTCAATTCTGTAAACCTAAAACTGCTCCCCTCAAAGAAGGCTATTACATTTTTGTAAATGTATAATTGAAAATTCTTTGTACAAGTCAGGATAGATTATGTTATGCTGTGGTAACAAATAACTTCAATGGCTTAAAACAACCAAGATTTAGTTCTCACTTGCACTACCTGCTCTGGACAGGCCAGCAACGGGGCACTGCAACCTTCTCCTTAACCAAGCTTGAGTCAGGCACCTCTGAGCCCTGACTTGGTCTCAAACCTGCCCTCCACCACCTCCTCCCCATGTCTCAACCCCACCCCATTCCCCATCCGTGCTGGACTCGCATATCCCAATTTTAGGAAGGATCTGCTAAGTCTGTTTAGAGGGAATCTCCCACCCCTGATATGTGGCTGCCTTCAGCAAGAATCCTAAGTAGGCTTAGCAAGAATCCCCCTACCCTTGCTGTCTCCTCTTAGTAATTTGTCATCCGCCTACCCCTCATTCACCCTCCTCCCCTCCTCCTCTCCTTGGCTATAAATCCCCAGCTGTCTCCACTGTGTTCACAATTGAGTCCCCCTCCATACGGAGGTCTCTTTTCCACTGTTGCAGGAAGAGTCTCTGAATAAAATCTGCCTTTACTGCTTTAACTAGCGTCAGCCACTGGTTCTCCCTAACCACTGAGGGGCTCAGGCTGATGGATGGATTTTGACACAGCCTTTCTGGCATTCCGCTAGGCCTGCTCCATCCTTCTCCAGATTAGAGTCTTTGCCTTAAAGAAAACAATGACTACATTTGACAACGCACAAACCTAAAATCTTGCTAAAGTAAAAACATAGTCCAAAATTAAGGCAACCAAGTAGGGAAAAACATTCGCAAACAAACACAGGAAAAGTTATTAAATGTAACCAGAAATTACGTCGATGCAAATTATGCCCATAAGAAGATAGCCATATTTCAACTATCAAATTAATTTTTTTAAGGTAAGGCCCACTGTTGGCAAAGGAAGTGAGCACTGGACACACACGGAGCCCTGTAAACAGGCAGGACAAGCTCACCAAAGCATCCAGAACTTAAAAACGCATCACGTATTTTGACCTGCCAGTTCATGTCTAGCTTTCCCTCCTAAAGATTTATCTACAAAGATATTTGACAGACATTTTATGCTTCAAAAGAAAAAATATTTTAAAGGAACGTTTAACAGGAAAAAGATGCAACCTCATAAAAATGGCCAGTAGCAATGTTTAAAAGAGGAAAAAAATGAAATATGGGGAATGAATAGAATATACTGCTATAATATCAATAGAATATTATACTTTAAAAATTACAGATTCATTGAAGGGCTCCACAAATCTTGAAATTGTTGGAAAAAATTGTTTATGTGTGTGTATTTGCATTTTTCTGGGAAGAGGGTTAACCACTTTGACCAATTTTTGTAAAGGGCTTGATAATAATCATTATAGTTAAATATTCAATGACATGAAAATATGTTACTATATATTTATTCTTTATTAGTACAGAAAACAAGTTTTCAAAGCTAAATGAGCAAGTCTAATATGCACAGAAATAACATATTTCTGTATATAGATGTGATCACATAGAATGCCAATATACTCAAAATATTAACAGTTATTACCCTTTCAATCATAGATTTGGAGATGACTTTTATCCCCTCCATTTTACCCAATTGTATTTTCTAAATTTTCTACAATTGAATCATCTATTACTTTTGAAGTAAGAAGCCTTTTGTTATACTTAAGATGAAACTGGCCAGCAGCATAAATTCAAAGCACTTCCCACTGGTTAGAAAAAATAAGTGGAGTGTTTTTAAATGTTTCTTTTCTTTTCTCCTGCAGGCCTGGGCTTTTTGAAGGGGTCAGGGAGGAGTCCTCCATTTCTTATAGGACTCTGTTGTCACTTTCTAGCATGAATAAAAACAAACAAAAACAAACCTCCCTCCTCTCTGTTAAGTGTGGCTCTCCCTACAGGCGGGTGCCCTGTGCACGACGCATTTCCCTACATGGGATCCTGGCTTTGAACTCCTGAAGTGGCTGGTACTCAGAGGTCTTCCAAGTGTCCAGTGGCAAGTGTGACTGTAAATCTAAGAATTGTGTATCTCAAATCCATTGCTTTCAAATCCTAAAATCGTTTAAAACTAAATATCTTTATCTTCTCCTGGGGCTTAAATGAATTTTCATTCATTCATGTCTCCCAGGAATTCTCAGCCCGGGCTGCACATTAAAATCACCTGGAGACTTTTCTTCAAAGGCCAATGCTTGTAGCCTACTGGGGTAAGGGCTAGGGAATCTGCATCCAGGACTGTCTGCACTTTGTAAAGACTCCCAGGTGACTGATGGGCATCCAGGATTGGGCCGCCTCAACCTGCTTATTCAACAGGTATTCTTTACGCCCCTGGTCTAGTTTCCTGGGGCTGCTGTTATAAATCCTCTCAGACTTGTTGGCTTAAAACAACAGAGACTTATTCTTTCACACTTCTGGCAGCCAGAGATCCAAAGTCAAGGTGTTGAAAGAAACGTGCTCCTGCCGAGGGCTCCAGGGGACAATCAGTGTCTCACCTCCCCAGCTTCTGGTGGCTCCAGACGTTCCTTGGTTTCCATGGCCGTGGCTGCATCACTCGCATCCCTGTCTCTGTCACCACGTGGCCGTTTCCTCTGTGTGTCTCTTAAAACGACACCAGTCCTTGGATTTAGGGTCCACTCAGCTAATCCAGGATGATCTCATCTCAAGATCCTTAACTTAATGACCTCTGCAAAGACCCTTCTGCCAAATAAGGTCACATTCACAAGTTCTGGGGAGGAGGACATAGACATGTCTTTTGAGGGGGCATGCTTTGACCACCTACCTCCCCTACTTCCACATGCCAGGTGGCCTGCTGGTGCTGTGGGCACTGCTTTTAATGAGTTTTCAGTCCTGTGGGAACAAGAGAGCTGAAAGCTGGCTGGGCAAGAGCAGGAGGAAGTGACCACAGCTCACAGCACAGGCGCTTTGCCATGCCTTCTGAGGAGCCCAGGATGGCAGTTTAAGCATGGACTCTAAAGTCGGACTGCTTTGACCACATACTGGCTCTGAGACCTCAGGAAATCATTTAACTGTCTCAATTTACACATCTGTTAAATGGGAATAATAATAACGTTCCATATCCACTTTACAGGGTTCTAATATTTCTGATTTTTAAAATTGTATTCACCTAGAAGACATAACATAGTGCCTGGTACCTAACAAGAGCCATATGGTTTTTCAATAGATTTTTTAAATAAAATAAGAAATGGACAAACAGAATCAAACAAAATTGTCCTCAAAGACATATTACATGTTCTGTGTGTTCTTTTACCTTTCAACAAAATATTTTATAGAAGGAAAGAAACTAACACAAATGGGGTCAGGTAGGAAAAACTACTTCTACTTTGTTGAAATAGAGGCACCTGTTATAATCATTCAACTGTCTCCCTTCTTTTCTTAAACTTGAATAAGAATCCTTCAGCACAATGAAAAATTTAGGCCAGTTCATGTTTCACAAATCCATACGATGGCACTTGATATGGTAACTGTCTTATGTCAACATTGTTTTTTGTTTGATGGCCAAATGTTAAGTTTCATAAAAAACAATGAATTAGCTCAGTTAATTAAAAGGATGACCTTTCCCTCTGCTCAAATGGTTATAATATTTTTCTAGACTACAGTAGGCAATGAAAAACTCCTGAAAGATTGGATTTTCCAGATTTTCCAATATGGTAGCTGATATGGTTTGGCTGTGTCCTCACCCAGATCTCATATTGAATTATAGCTCCCATAATTCCCATGTGTTGTGAGAGGGACCCAGTGGGAGGTAACTGACTCATGGAGGTGGGTCTTTCCTGTGCTGTTCTCATGACAGTGAATAAGTCTCATGAGATCTGATGGTTTTATAGAGGGGAGTTCCCCCACACAACCTCTTTTGCCTGCCACCATGTAAGATGTGACTTTGCTCCTCATTCACCTTCAGCCATGATTGTGAGGTCTCCCCAGCCATGTGGAACTGTAAGTCAATTAGACCTCTTTCCTTTATAAATTACCCAGTCTTAGGTATGTCTTTATTAGCAGCATGAGAAGAGACTAATACAGTAAGTTGGTACAGGTAGAGTGGGGTGCTATTATAAAGATACCCAAAAATATGGAAGCAACTTTGCAACTGGGTAACAGGCAGAGGTTGGAACAGTTTGGATGACTTAGAAGAGGACAGGAAGATGTGGGAAAGTTTGGAACTTCCTAAAGATTTGTTGAATGGCTTTGACCAAAATACTGACAGTGATAGGGACAATGAAGTCCAAGTTAAGGTGGTCTCAGATGGAGATGAGGAACTTGTTGGGAACTGGAATAAAGGTGACTCTTGCTATGTTTTAGCAAAGAGACTGGTGGCATTTTGCCCCTGCCCTAGAGATTTGTGGAACTTTGAATCTGAGAGAGATTATTTAGGGTATCTGGCAGAAGAAATTTCTAAGCAGCAAAGCATTCAAGAGGTGACTTGGATGCTGTTAAAAGCATTCAGTTTTATGTATTCACAAAGACATGGTTTGGAATTGGAACTTATGTTTAAAAGGGAAGCTGAACAGAAAAGTTCAGAAAATTTGCAGCCTGATGATGTGATAGAAAAGAAAAACCCATTTTCTGAGGAGAAAATCAAGCTGGCTGCAGAAACTTGCATATGTAATGAGGAGTCAAATGTTAATCACCAAGACAATGGAGAAAATGTCTCCAGGGCATGTCACAGACCTTCCTGGCAGTCGCTCCCATCAGAGGCCCAGAAGCCCAGGGAAAAAATGGTTTCTTTAGTGGGCCTGGCCCAGGATCCCCCTGCTCTGTGCAGCCTAGGGACTTGGTACGCTGTGTCCCAGCCACTCTAGCCATGACTAAACGGGGCCAAAGTAAAGGTCGGATCATGGCTTCAGAGGGTGCCAGCCCCAAGCCTTAGCAGCTTACATGTGGTGTTGGGCCTGAAGGTGCACAGAAGTTAAGAATTGAGGTCTGTGAACCTCTGCCTAGATTTTAGAGGATGTATGGAAATGCCTGGATGCCCAGGCAGAGGTGTGCTGCAGGGGCAGAGCCCTAATGGAGAACCTCTGCTAGGGCAGTACAGAAGGGAAATGTGGGATGGAAGCCCCCACACAGAGTCCCCACTGAGGTGCTGCCTAGTGAAGCTGTGAGAAGAGGGCTACTGTCCTCCTGACCCCAGAATGTTAGATCCACTGACGGCTTGCACTGTGTGCCTGGAAAAGCTGCAGACACTCAGCACCAGCCCATGAAAGTAGCCAGGAAGGGGGCTGGTGTACCCTGCAAAGCCACAGAGGCAGAGTTGCCCAAGACCATGGGAACCTACCTTTTGCATCAGTGTGACCTGGACGTGAGACACGGAGTCAAAGGAGATCATTTTAGAGCTTTGAGTGCCCCACTGGATTTCAGACTTCCATGGGGCCTGTAGTCCCTTCATTTTATCCAATTTCTCCCATTTGGAATGGCTGTATTTACCACATGCCTATACCCTCATTGTATCTAGGAAGTAACTAACTTGCTTTTGATTTTACAGGCTCACAGGCAGAAGGGGCTTGCCTTGTCTCAGATAGGACTTTGAACTGTGGACTTTTGAGTTAATGCTGAAGTGAGTTAAGACTTTGGGGGATTGTTGGGGAGGCATGACTGGTTTTGAAATGTGAGGACACGAGATTTGGGAAGGGCCAGGGATGGAATGATATGGTTTGGCTGTGTCCCCGCCCAAATCTCATCTTAAATTGTAGCTCCCATATTTTCCACATGTGGAAGGGACCCGGTGGGAGGTAAATGAATCATGGGGGTGGGTCTTTCTCATGCTATTCTTGTGATAGTGAAGAAGTCTCATGAGAACTGATGGTTTTATAAAAGGGAGTTCCCCTACACAAGCTCTCTTACTTGCCACCATGTAAGATGTGACTTTGCTCCTTATTCGCCTTCAGCCATGATTGTGAGGCCTCCCCAGCCATGTGGAACTGTGAGTCAATGAAACCTCTTTCCTCCATAAATTATCCGGTCTTGGGTATGTCTTAATTAGCAGTGTGAGAACAGACTAATACAGTACCCTTCACAGTGAACAGCTGGATTGGATCTTGACTTCACCTTGAGTTGGGTTACAGCAACGTGGGTGTGCCTGTTTTTTTGAAGAAGTCTATTTTAGGGCTTTTGCTTGCCTATCCTCTGAGCTTTTCTCTGCCTCTATTCAAATTTTTAGATAAGAATGGGCTCTGTATTGTGGTTTCTGTCCACATAAAAAGTTGCGGTTTATTTTCTCTGAGGTTTGGGTCCCAACAGCCAGACAAGAATCATTCAAAGAACAACCTCATCTCAACCTACCTAGCTGCACGTGGCTTCCATGCAAATAGTCCATCATCTAGCTTTCGGTTCCCTTGGTTCAGTGTTATCTGTTCTGAACACTTTCAAATTTGCTTATTTTTCTAATCTCCTTCTCCTCTTTTGGCAACACCACTCTTTATCTTGTGGTTTTCATCTTTATTACTCACATTTCCTCACAAAGAGTGTTCATTAAAATATTTTAAATTAAGATTTTTACTGCCTTTCTAACTGAGCATGTCGGGTCTTCCCATACAACACATTTTTAATTCTTATCACAGAATTTCAGGCAGTTTGTACATAATATGCTATCAAAAACTCTATTCCACTCAAGGTTGTCACAATTCAGAGATTACAGCATTTTGCAGGGTGTTTTGTTGGGGATATATTCATATATTCACTTTGTTAGCTGGCAAGCACGGTCCACGAGCCTGTACTTCACACCTCATTTGATATTACAATTCAACAAAAAAAGGGATAAAAAGAAGCAATTATTTATTTAGATGATGGAATGGATTTTGCGAGATTAGGTAAGCATAAATTGTCATGCCAAAGTGACAATCCCTGCCCTTCTTAGGGCCCAAGGGAGGTCAGATACTAAATGTGAAGTAAGAGAAGGAGAAAGAGGACACTTTTTCTCCTTTATGAGACAATGTGAGAGTGTCTCATAATTATGTAACTCTGCTTATATAACTACTTTACTTTTTTCCCCTGTAACCTTTTTTTTTATCTTTTCTAAAGAGAATGCAAAACTGATTCTCACAGAACCAAAAAGTGATAGCCGTGGCCCAGGTTGCTCTTCAATTTAAAACATTACCACTTGGTCAGTCAAATATATCAACAAAATTAATTTCCTAAGCATAGACCATGGATATCACCATTCTGTACCCAGACAGTGATTTCTGAGGGCAAGGGGCCAGAAAATCCCATTTGGACTCCTGTAGCACAACAGCAGGAGGCATGAGACTAAGGTAACTGGGGTGGCGCCCACTCCATCTCCTGTCCCCATCAGCATCTGCTGCCCACCAACAATCCCTCCCCCACTCTCTGCCCAAGCTCTTCCATTAGCGCTGGTCAAAACCCCTGGTTCAGGGCTGGCTACAGTGATTGGTTCAGGGTGGGTGCACAATCTAAGTTATGCCAAACAGAGCCAGTGGTGACCAGCACTGGGACGTGTGCCTGGCCTATCTGGGGACAGCAGCTTTCTCCCTGAAGTGACCAAGTTAGCAGATGTTTGCTGGGAGCTGCTAGCAGTCATCTTGCCTCCAGGAGGGAAGGGCCTGTCTGAGAAAAAGCTAAACCAGGGAGACAGGTTGCTAAGGTTACTGGTTGAGCACCTGACCCTACATTCCTGGTACCACGCCACCCCCAAACTTCTCTACCTGCAGGGACACAAACCCACCTGATAAGCTCAGCAACCAAGAGTGAGTCTGCCACTGGGAATACAAACACACAGGGCCCCCAGGCGAAGTAGAGAATCAAGCTACAACCTTTGACAGAAACCAGCTTCAAAGAGTGTGGCAAACACTGTGAGCTGACCACCCAGTAGGCACCCATTCTCCCATCCTCATTCCCTGGCAACAGAGACCATTTCCCACTACAAAGCCCGGAAATAATACCAGAGACTCATTTTCCAAGGGTACCCTGCCTCTCGGGCAAAAGCATGAAACCCACTGCGTATTGATAAGATCTAAAGGGAAGACTTCCATGGATATTGTTGGAAAGGTTTTCCTCCCTGGTAAAAAGGGACACATGAGGAGAGACCCCCCGCCTCCCCCTTCCAGTCTTTGGATATCGTTGGGTGAGTCTATGATGCCTGGAAGAGCTGCAGACATCTTGTGACCATGAGGAACCCAAGCTGGAGAGTGACAATCAGGGCACTGGGTATACTGGAGTGGGAAGACAGAAAACACCCAGGAGACACCGTTGTGCTGCTGGATTCACCATCCATGGCACCATCTACCTCTCAATTTCTTTTATGTGAGATGACAAAACCCTGCTGCAGCAGCCACTTTGAGGTAAATATTCTATTACTTGCAACTGAAAGCACCTAAGCAATGTAAAAATCCAAGGCTCCCTAGAAACTAACAACTCAGAATTTAGGAGTGTCTAGCAGGCAGACACAAATCTGCAGGGAAACCATGGGTCAAGCAGGGTTGTGGGCTGAAAACTCTGTCGATAGATGTAGAGAATGATGACTGGAACGTAGAGTTTAGAGTAAGAGGCATCCAGATTACTTAGTTAGTGATTCCTAATGGAATGCTTTGGACCACGCTGTCTGAGTCACTTCTCACCCTCTGAAAGAGATCTTCAAAAGCAGGCAGAAGAGAGTTCTAGCTGGGGTTGGCTGGGGTCACCCAAGAAGAGACAGCGCTTGCCAGCAACTCACTGGAAAAGACCCTCCATTTCTCATGCTCCCCTCCACCCAGGCCTTCATTCATTCACAGAAGGCCTCCGCCATTCCTAATGCTGCAGGCCTTGAAGAGTTTAGGGAAGAAAGAGAACTGGTTGTGACAATATATGGTGATAAGCAACAAACTCGGAAGGGGCTCGTGTGCTCAGCTGAGGAGTCCGAGCCCCCTCCTGGGAGAAATAGGAGCCAGAGGTTTTAAAGCAGGAGGCCACATGTCCAGCAAAGCTTGTTAGCCCTCCCAGTGAAGCAATCTCATAGAAGACTGGTGTTTAATGAAACAAGAAGAAAACAGAGGCAATGAGACTGTGTAGGGAAGGCGGCTGCAACACAGGTGAGAGTTCTTTCTACCTGCCAGATGTCCTGATGTGAGGTGACACGTGATCACCTCTCTCTGGGTCCCAGGTGAGTTCAGCCTTGTAAAGCCCAAGGCTGGTGTCTGAACGAGAGAAGACAGGCCGCCTTCCAGCAATGCCAAGTTCATTCAAATTAAGATTCTGAGGCCATGTGCCAATTCCCAAGTGTGATATCAGCAAAATAACTATATTTAAGCACTAAGGGACGAATGTCCAATAGCTAAAGCTACCCTCGGTTTGCTCATTACTAAGTATATTTTCCCCTTGCCTCTTAAATCATTTTTATTTCCCCCATTTCCTTCTTCAACTCTTCGCTGCAAACAATAACAATAGTAATAATAAAGATAAAAATTTAAAACGCGGTTACCAAACCCGACGCTGTGATAAATGTGAACTCTGGTGATTTTTGAGACTGCCGACCTCAAAAATCATTTCTCATTAAACGCAGAGGCATCGCTTTATCCACACGCACATTATTTTGCTATCAGCTCTGGCAGCCACTCCCCTCCTCCCCACTGCGGAGGTGCCTTGGGGATCTCCATGCTTACCTGCTCTGCGTGTCCGGGCGATGGCCCATGCAGGTGAGGGTGGCCGACGTCTGAGTGCTGCCATTATCAATTTCCTCCTGGACTGCCCATTGGTCCTCACTGCTGACTCTCACTGCCGTTATCTTCACACCTGCTGCCGCCTTAATTCTGTGGGGTGGGAAAACAATGATATTATATATAATAAAACCATTTTAGTTTGAAACAGGTAGTAAAAGATGGCACGAGAGCAGATCACTGGGAAAGCATCTGTAACATCGCCCCCTTCCTCTGGGAGATGTGGGGGAGAGTGGTGGCAAGTGGCTTTCCTTTAAAAACTAAGTGTCTTGTAATTTTTACAAGTGCCTGGAAGTAGGAGCCCCAGCTTTTGCCATGTGCATTAATTTTCTGTTTAATCAGTGTGCTGGGAACCAGATCACTTGCTGCTCCAGGGATCCCAGCATGATGCAAATGAGACAGATGCCTCGGGCCAGAAGAGATGGATCTGCAAGGCCTATTCTTCACCTGGAGATGGAGAAGAGTCTTTAAGATGCGGGGTGGGTTGTGCAAGGCCAGAAGATCACACAGCCCAGGGGATGGAAGAGGAGGCCATTGCACTGGGCACTCTGGGAGCAGGAATGGACGGGAGCACCCAGTCCTCAGGTGTTTGAAGAACAAATGTGGCATTCAGGCAGGATAACGGGGCCAGATGCTGCCTGGTACAATGTTCACAGAACACGGTTCCACCAGGAAGAATCAAGGACCCAGGTGTGTTGCCATTGAGAAAAGGCCAAGGAGAGTTCACAGTCTGGGTTTCTTTCTTTTCGTACACTGCTCCTGAAATGATCCTCACGTTGCTACTAACCAGAAAACATCTCCTCTATAACAGTGGGGAGTCCACGGACAACATCCATGTTCTCCCAGGGCGACCTGGGGACTTGGCCCAATGCTGTGTATGCATCTGGAGGGTCACCAGGATGAAGGCAGGCCGTGGGGTGCCCACTGCTTACTATGTCTTAACTGAACATAGGTATCACCACAAGGGCCCGCTGGGACTTCTGGGGATGTAAACTAATGCTGCGAACTAATGCTGCAGAGGTCAGTGCAGGCTGGGCTGGGAAGGTGACCAGCTCCTCTCTGCTTCCCAGAAGCCTGTGGACCCACAAGAAAGGCCCAGTGAGGCCCTGGGCACCCTCTCCCATGAACAAAAAAGGGATATCAAAGGCAGCCAAATATTATGTGGAGGAGTTAGAGGATGTCAGCAAAGACAGGTGCATTATGCCAGACATCCCAGCACCACCAAGAAAAGATTGATGGGAAGCAAAGATTACCTCCAAGATTAATTAATCAAATCCACACATAGCAGCAGGTCTAGGACACTATTTAAAAACAAGTGAATGAAAACAAAAAGACAACCTACAGAATGGGAGAAAATATATGCAAATTGTCTATCTGATAAGGGCCTAGCATTCAGCGTATATAAAGTATTCCTACAAAATCAACAACAAAAGCAAATAACATAATTAAAAACTCAGCAAAGGTCTTGACTAGACATTTCTCCAGAGTTATATAAGTGGCCAATAAACACATGAAAATACCCTCAACAACATCATTAGTCATCAGGGAAATGCAAATCCAAACCACAATGACATACCACTTAATACCCACTGGGATGGCTAAAATAAAAAAGACAGATACTAAGTGCTGGTGAGGATGTAGAGAAATTGGAACCCTCATACACTGCTCTGGGGAACGTAAAGTGGTACAACCACTGTGCAAAACAGTTTTCCAGTTTCTCCAAAAGTTAAACAGAATTACCATATGGTCTAGCAATTCCACTCCTAGGTATATACCTAAATGAATTGAAAACAGGCACTCAAACAAATACTTGTACACTCATGTTCACAGCAGCACTGTGGGCAATACGTAAAAGACTGAAAGAACTCAAATGCCCATCTATGATGGAGGGATAAATAAAATGTGGTCTATCCATATGACGGAATATTATTCAGCCATAAAAAGGGATGAAGTTCTGACACATGCTACGTGATGAACCTCGATAACGTGATGCTGAGTGAAAGAAGCCAGACACAAAAGGCCACATAGTATACGACTGCATTCAGATGAAACATTCAGAAGGTAAATCCATAGAGACAGAAAGTAGACTGGTGGTTTCCAGGGACTGGGGAAGAGTGAGGATGGGGGAAATGGGGAGTAGCTGCCTAGCTAACGGGTACCCAGTTTCCTTTTGGGATGACGACAGTGTTTTGGAAGTAAACAAAGATGGTGGTCCAACGGCACTGTGAATGTACTAATTGCCAGTGAAATGGCTAATTTTATGTGATGTAAATTTTACCTCAGTACAAAAAAGAAGATGGGGGAAAAAAAAACCACAGGTGAAAAATGACCCCTCCCAGGAGTGACTGAAACTTTAAAAAAATAGAATGTATCAAAATCAAACCAAAACACCTATAAGACCCAAGGAAGGCAGCCTCTCATGGTAGAGTTCAAGCAGGAGAGAGATTCTCGAACTGGAGGAAAGCCCCAACTTTACCACCCACCGTAAGGAACCTTAAGGGTAGAATTAGGAGATTCAAATGTCTGCATATCTCATTAAAGAAAATGAAATGTTTCTGCCTCCCTTTCTCCCCTTCCTGTAGGTCTTTACACAGACTCCAAGACATCCTTCTGCTTGCTCTTGCACGCCCCAAAAAGTCACTGCAATGCCCGCAATTCCCGGAGACTCAGATGCCATGCCTTGCCTTGACTTGATCATTCTTCCGCTGAATTCTGGGGTCCAAATCTGCTACTTTCACAAAGCTTTCTTTCTTGCCGTCATGATGTTCCAGGAATTAATTTATGCAAACCACAAATAGAGGCATCCTGTTCTGTCCCTGCCCCCAGCCATCCCATCTTGTTGCCAAAGGGGCAAACTGCAGAGAATGTTCCAGAGCCATATCTAGAGAAACAGGGTCCCTTCCGCTGTCCACACACCGCCTCCTTCCTATCGGTACTTGCTACCATAATAGCTTTTCTCACTCTCCCACAGAGTTCTTTCACCAAGCAGCCGTGTGGCCAGGCCTGTCACCGTTGTTCTCAACATCCAGATGAACAAATCAGACCCTCCCACCCGATAGCGCACGACCGGCTGAAGGTCACACAGCTGGTTCTGGCAGAGCCAGGATTCGAAACCAGATCCCCTCACTCCAAACCCCACTCCTTTCCCTCCTGCACTGGCCCATTAACAGAGGATTTCTTTTATGACACACATTGCATCATTTATTGCCTGACAAATGCCTCAGTAGTTAAGTCTGGGGACAATAATGTCTCACACTTTAGCTCCTTAATTGAGCCCTCATTGCCAGGCCCCTCTCCCTTCAGTCTTAGAGATACAACACGTACCCACGGAGGGTTCTTCTGTGAGATTTTTGTTCCTTCTTTTATTCTGACCCAAAACTAAGACACAGGTCCCCTCGTCCTCAGGGGCTTCCTCATTCATCAGCTCTGAATTGATTCATGGGACTCCGTGCACGATGCTTCTTCCACTGGGGCTTCTAGCCTCTGGTTTATCCCGACAGAGACTCTCACAGTGGGCAAACGCTTCCTCAGAGTCTGAGAAGCAGAGGGTCCAGTGCGGGGAGACAGTCCAAATCTTCCATAGAGCATTTCCTAGCACGGGGGGTGCCGTGGCAGGGGCTGAGGAAACACAGTGCTTGCTGGTCCTAAACAGGTCCAGGGGACCCAAGGAAGGCAGGGAGGCAGGACTTGAGACAAGTTGACCATTAGCCAACAAATGTCAACATTTTGAAATATTTTGTCAACCAGCACAGCCTTCCCAGCACCTGCAGGCTGCACATCAGGACCATCGGACTGCTTCCCCTTAGTGAAGTTATTACATTTGAAGACAAGCAGAGGAAAGACCAAGGTGGCCCCTCCGGGTTGCCGTCTGGGTGGGATGATCGGCCCCATGACACCACAAACGCATTTCTAGCTAATTGCTGCTAAGCTCTCAAGACAGCAACCAACCCTTTACCTTCCCCCGGTCAACTGGAGCCCAGATGACAGCCCATCCTAGCAGCCATCCATTTACTTTCCTTCCCAGAGGCAGGGAACCCCTCACACGTACCCTAGAGGTTTGGCCAACTGGGCATCTCCGGTTTTTATTTTTGTTTGTTTGTTTTTATTATTATTATACTTTAAGTTCTGGGGTACATGTGCTGAACGTGCAGGTTTGTTACATAGGTATACCCATGCCATGGTGGTTTGCTGCACCCATCAACCTGTCATCTAC
This sequence comes from Homo sapiens, assembly GCF_000001405.40. Taxonomy (NCBI): domain Eukaryota; kingdom Metazoa; phylum Chordata; class Mammalia; order Primates; family Hominidae; genus Homo; species Homo sapiens. The sequence continues at coordinate 125,411,410 of NC_000012.12, read as the reverse complement.
ATTAGGTATTTCTCCTAATGCTCTCCCTCCCCTAGGCCCCCCCCCACCCTCTGACAGGCCCCAGTGTGTGATGTTCCCCTCCCTATGCCCATGTATTCACATTGTTCATCTCCCACTTACGAGTGAGAACACGCGGTGTTTGGTTTTCTGTTCTTGTGTGGGCATCTCTACTTTGTCCCCTGTCTCAGTTTCACTCCCTGACCACTCCACTCCACTCCACTCCTCCACTCACTCCACTCCACTCCACTCCACTCCTCCACTCCACTCACTCCACTCCACTCACTCCACTCCACTCCACTCCACTCACTCCACTCCACTCCTCCACTCCACTCCACTCACTCCACTCACTCCACTCCACTCCACTCCACTCCACTCACTCCACTCCACTCACTCCACTCCACTCACTCCACTCCACTCCACTCACTCCACTCCACTCACTCCACTCCACTCCACTCCACTCCACTCCTCCACTCCACTCACTCCACTCCACTCCACTCACTCCACTCCACTCACTCACTCCACTCCACTCCACTCACTCCACTCCACTCCACTCCTCCACTCCACTCCACTCCACTCACTCCACTCCACTCCACTCACTCCACTCCACTCACTCCACTCCACTCCACTCACTCCACTCCACTCACTCCTCCACTCCACTCACTCCACTCCACTCCACTCCACTCACTCACTCCACTCCACTCCACTCCACTCCACTCCACTCACTCCACTCCACTCCTCCACTCCACTCCACTCACTCCACTCCACTCCACTCACTCCACTCCACTCCACTCACTCCACTCCACTCACTCCACTCCACTCACTCCACTCCACTCCACTCCTCCACTCCACTCCACTCCACTCACTCCACTCCACTCCTCCACTCCACTCCACTCCACTCACTCCACTCCACTCCACTCCTCCACTCCACTCACTCCACTCACTCCACTCCACTCCACTCCACTCCACTCACTCCACTCCTCCACTCCACTCCACTCACTCCACTCCACTCACTCCACTCCACTCCACTCACTCCACTCCACTCCACTCCACTCACTCCACTCCACTCCACTCACTCCACTCCACTCCACTCCACTCACTCCACTCCACTCCACTCCACTCACTCCACTCCACTCCTCCACTCCACTCCACTCCACTCACTCCACTCCACTCCACTCCTCCACTCCACTCCACTCCACTCCTCCACTCCACTCCACTCCACTCCTCCACTCCACTCCACTCCTCCACTCCACTCCACTCCTCCACTCCACTCCACTCCACTCCTCCACTCCACTCCACTCCTCCACTCCACTCCACTCCACTCCACTCCACTCCTCCACTCCACTCACTCCACTCCACTCCACTCACTCCACTCCACTCCACTCCTCCACTCCACTCCACTCCTCCACTCCACTCCACTCCACTCCTCCACTCCACTCCACTCCACTCCTCCACTCCACTCCACTCCACTCCTCCACTCCACTCCACTCACTCACTCCACTCCACTCCACTCCACTCACTCCACTCCACTCCACTCACTCCACTCCACTCCACTCCTCCACTCCACTCCTCCACTCCACTCCACTCCACTCCTCCACTCCACTCCACTCCACTCCTCCACTCCACTCCACTCCTCCACTCCACTCACTCACTCCACTCCACTCACTCCACTCCACTCCACTCCACTCACTCCACTCCACTCACTCCACTCCACTCCACTCCTCCACTCCACTCCACTCCACTCCACTCACTCCACTCCACTCCACTCCACTCCTCCACTCCACTCCACTCCTCCACTCCACTCCACTCCACTCCTCCACTCCACTCCACTCCACTCCACTCACTCCACTCCACTGTCCACAGCCAAGCACCCCACTTGGCACTGAGGCTTGGGACACAATTATTTTTCTCGCTCGCCTCAGTCTTCCCACCCCTCTTAGGAGTGTTGCCCCCCCTCAATCAGCTCCTGTGCACACCACAAGCACTGCCGCCGGATGCCTCCTCACGGGACAGGGCTCCTCGGGTTCCAGTAGCCTCCAGGATCACAGTGAAGCCACACCCAAGAGGGTCCCTTGCTGCATTTGCAATTTGGAAAATAAGGGGATCCATAAATTCCAGTGTGGTTGATTTCCAGGACACGAGGAAGTCTCCAGAAACCAGATGCCTATCTCAGTCCCTCTTCCCTTGTGGCTGGCTCAGCAGGCATTCTAGGGCCCAGCAACTCTCCAAAGAGTGGACTTTCAAGCTGCAAAAGTGCCCTCAAAACTGCAGTAAAGGCAGCAGGCTTCTACACAAACTGAGGAGAGTACCTGTGAGCACATAAGTCCCAAAGTAATTCTCTCCATAACAGTTGAAGCCAAGACAGGGTTGATGCACTCCAGGACTGTCTTTGTCTTGACTTTTCAATTATTATTATTATTAGTTATCATTATCACTATTATTATTAACAATCCACTCTGGTGTATCCCCTTGTGCAGTACAAAAGTCAAAACACTTACTCAGCAGAATGGCTAAACTGAAAAGAGAGAAAAAAGCAAATGGTGGCCTGGTCATGGAGTGACTGGGACTCGTGAACATTGCTGGAATGAGTGTAATTTGGTTCAACCTCTTTGGAAAGCTATTTGGTGATAACTACAAAGCCTGAATTTCCGTAGACCCTGTAACAGCATTGCCACTCCTCGGTTTATGCCCAACAGAAACACATGCACCTGTTCCCCAAGACACACATACAAGAAGGTGCACGACAGCCCTGCCATCAGCCCAAAATGGAAACAACCCAAAATGCTCATTGCCTTAATCTGTTCGGGACAGTCTAACAAAATACCACAAACTTGGAGGCTTATAAACAACAGAAATTTATTTCTCACAGTTCTGGAGGCTGAAGTCCAAGAGCAAGATGTCAGCAGTTTCAGTGCCGGGTGAGAGCTTGCTTTTTTATAGATGCGGCTGTCATGCTGTGTCCTCGCATGGTGGAAGGGGTGACAGAGCACCCTCAAACCTCTTTTATAAGGGCATTAATCCCATTCCTTTAGGGAGATGACCTAATCTCCCAAAAGGCCCCACCTCCTAATAACTCTGCCTTGGGGATAAGAATTTCAACATGCGAATTTGTGGGGGATACAGACGTTCAGACCCTAGCACCCATTGACAACGGAACTGGTAAAGCGTAACATCTCACAGTGGAACACTATACAGCAGTAACGAGGAAGCAGCCTATCACCACACAACAACACAGCGACCCTCCAAATACACAGCTGAGTGGAAGAAGCCAGGTACCAAAAGCGCGCACTGTGCAATTCCGTTCGTGGAAAGTCAGAAGCAGGCACACAGATCTCCGAGGTGAAAGCCTGCACAGTGGCCGCCCTGTGGTAGAGGCAGTCACTGAGTGGAGTCCTGCTGGGCTTCTGGGGACCCTGCCATGCTCTGTCTCTCCTTCTGCATGCCGATTACTTGGTGGTTGTGAGAACTCATCAGTCTGTGCTCGCTTATGTGGACTCTTCTGCATGTAGGTTACAGTTCAATATGAAGTTCAAAACAGAGCAAGTGCATTGTAACAGGGACGTAAGTCAGAGCCAGGAGGACATGGTGGCTCCACCACTGCCCACGTTCACTGGTAGGTCTCCAGGTGAACCCAAATGTCACCACCCCAGACACACAGAGGCGTTTCTCCCCCAGACCTCCACCAGGTGTCCGCGGTCCCTTTGGTTCTGAGCGACAAGAGTGACCTGAGCTTTGGCCTTGTCTGTGATGGAGGACTGGATGCTGGAAAGAGTCTGAGTCCAGATGAGCATCCCTCCTGGTTGGACCAGGGAGAGAGACATTCTAGCTGCTGTAGATAAGTCAAAAGAAAGACAACTGGACTCCAGGCCAGCCTCTACCCAGCAGGGACAGACAGACAGGGCACGGGGTCACACCTTCTCCATCTCACTCCCCATATGTCTTTCCCAGCCCATAGCATCCACCACCTAGCTGGGCAAAAGGAAACCTGCTCTGTGAGTACACACCTGCATCTTTCTGTCTTCTACTTAGACCAGCCACTTTTGAACTAAATACTCCACTCTACAGGGTTTTGGGTTTGTTTGGTTGTCTACATAGTGGGTGGGCAGTAAAGGATTAACTTTGCCCGAAGAGAGGTCTGGCCTTTGCCTTCACCTCCTGAGAACTAACTTTTAAGCCTTTGGAATTTCTTGCCTGATAAGAGTGTCTTTGTTTACCTGAGGTCTTGGGCCATGCCAGATAATCTGTGCTTCAATATGATTTATAGTAGGGAGGCTTGGGCCACATGGGATCTGCTTGACCACTGGAGGGACTGGAGAGTCAGCCATGTCTATGTGACCAAGTTCCAAAAAAAGCTCTGGACACCAAGCTTGGGTGAGCTCCCCCAGTTGGCAGCACTCTGTGCCTATGGTTGCACATCAGCTCTGGGAGAAGCAAATGCTGTCCATACGACTCCACTGGGAAAGGTCAACTGGGAGCTTGCCCTGGACCTCTACTGGATCCTACTCTATGCACCTCTTCCCTTGGCTGAACTCAGTTTGTATCCTTTCACTAGAATAAACAATATTTATAAGTACAACAGCGTTTCTGAGTTCTTTGAGTCCTTCTAGAAAATTACTGAACCTGAGGGTGGTCTTGGGGACCCTCCAGACTTGCAGATGGCATCAGAAGTGAGGGTGGTCTTGAGACCTTCCCAGCTTTCCAGTGGGTGGGTCAAGTCTTTCACTGTCTGCCATGGGCGGGGGTTGGAGAAGGAAGCGTGCAATTAGAACTCACGCCATCAAGACTGTGAAATATTTTTATACCCCATATCATCCACCCAGTCCTCCGACGTTTAAAGAGGATTTCTTGAGTTTCAGGTACTACACATGAAGCACTTGGAAATGCAAAGAGGAGCATGGCTCAGTCCAGACCAGTGAGTCTCAGATGGTTTTGGCCACAGACTGAGACTGTGGCTCACCTTTCCCCGGTACCCATTTCACAGTAGAAAAAGAACTTGTTCACAAATGCTGAAATGTCTCAAGCCCCTTCTAGAAGCCAGGCACTGTCCTCCGCCTTGCACTGCTAATACACAGATGCCTCGTGCAACCCCGCAGGGGTAGTATCGCTTCTGCTTCCATTTTCCACATGAGGAAACTTGATGAGCATCACTAGACAGGCAAATTGTGTGGGTATGACCAGGGAAGGGAAGTTTTGCATTCTGCTTTAGCCAGAGGAGATAAAGAAGATTCCTGTTTGGACAGTAAAAGGTACTCACAGTCTACTGGAAATTCACTAGCAAAAAGATCTAGTTAAGCATATCTACTAACGTTTGAGTTAACCAAACAGCCCACAGTGGAAGAACTTAGTTCTTCATTAGTTCAGGAAACTGAACTAATAAATATTCCAAAAAAAAGCAAGGAAAGCTACAACCTGAATTCACAACCATCTGAAGACAATACTACCAAATGCCTTGATGATAATAAACTGTCCTGTCCAAACTCTGATGGCTGCAAGATGCCAGCAGCCATGTGCATCCTAGCGCCACTCAGGAATATTTGTGGATTATAATAGCTGAGCTTTACTGAGGCCACTCCCCTGAGCCAGACACTTTCCCAAGGGCTTTGCATAAATTTTCTCGTGCTTTACCTGTATCAACATATTTAATCCTCTTTACAGCACTATGAGTAGGTCTCATTATCCTAGACTTACAAATGCGAAATCTGTGGCACCAAACAATTAAGGAACAGGCACAAAATCACAAGGTGGAGGCAGGATGGAGTGTAGGGGTCCTCATTTCTGAGCCTGCCCATCTGGCCACTATACCTGACTGGCACAGCACAGGTATTCACACCAGCCTGCCAGGTTCAGGTCCTGGCTTTGCCATTGACTCTTGGTGCAGTACAGACTCCTCCTCTCTCAAATGATGAAAAAATAAGTGTCTATAAGGGGTTGAATAGTGTCCCCCAGGGATTCATATCTACCCAGAACCTCACAATGTGACCTTATTGAGCCACAGGGTCTTCATTGATGTAATTACTTAGGTATCTCAAGATGAGACCATCCTGGATTTAGGGTGGGCTGTAAATCCAATGAGTGGTGTCTTTATAAGAGACAGACAGGGAACCTGAGAAGGCAGCGATGTGAAGTCAGAGAGAGAGAGAGCTGGAGTTATGCTTCTATGGGCCAAGGAATATGAAGGACTGCCAGCAACAACCAGAAGGTAGGGGAAAAGCATGAGAAGGTTTCTCAACCCTACGGACATCTTGATTTTGGGCTCTGGCCTCCTGGAACTGTGAGAGAATAAATTTCTGTTGTTTTACACTATCGCGTTTGTGGCCATTTGCTGTGGCAGCCCCAGGAAGCTAACACAGTGGCCATCTCGTGAGGCTGCTGCAAGGGTTAAGTGAGCTAATACAATATAAAGTGCTGGCACAGACGGAGTGCTACAGGTGTGTTTATTATTATTATGTTACGCTGTATCTGTGAATCAAAGAAGGGAGTGAGACAGTCTGTCTAGGGAAACAGTGGCTTACATATAAACAAAATAAACTGACAAAATAAAAATAAATAAATTCTGACATCTTTGCTTTGGAGTGAAACACTGGGCATTCCTCCCTCCCTAGCAGAGCTGGATACACCCAGGAATGAATGTCAGGAAGGTGATGGAGAGAGAAGGATTAGGAGCAAGACTCCCAGAATTTAATTCCAGCTGCAAGAAGGACTAGCTGTGAGGCCTTGGATAACCATTGAACTTCTGTGACTCAGTTTCCTTATCTGTAAAATGTGGATAATAACACTATCTACCTACAGTGTTGCTATTATGAAGATTAAGTGAATTGGTGTATATTAAGTGCTTAGAAGAACACCTGGAACAAAGACGTGGATCAGCATTAGCTATTATTAATTTCCTAACAATGAACTACCATACGGTCTCCAGAGATCAGACACACAAGCATCTAAGCCTCCTACCTTGTGAGATGTCCTTTGGAACTACCCTAAGTCTCCAGCCAGGATTCTAAACACTTCTTCTCCAGATATGATTTCCTGATCCTATTCCTCTTCCTTAGCAGAAAATTCCTCTAACATCCCTAGGCAAAGGCAAATGTCTCCGTTTGCCAGAGTAGATCCATTTATTTCATAAGGGGTGCTCTAGAGAACATCCAGCCCTCAATCCTTTGGGCCCAAAGGACATTGCTGTACACCTGACAAATTCTGGACATGTCATAGCAGTTGCAATTGATTTTTAAAAATCCAGTTCTGGTGCATGTCCATGAAAACGTCCAGAGATAGGGCCAAATTCAGATGCAACTCACTATAGACGTTCAAATGTTACCTCCAGTTCCATTAGGCACTGGACCCTGTTCAGCTCTCATGCATGTGGGCTTTGTTCACCAATTCTTCTCATGGTCACAGTGTTGCTGCAGCAGCTCCAGATCTCACATCCTCATCCACAACAAAAAAGCAAAATTCTTTCCCTTAGATCAAAGATCCCAGAGCCAGGTTTTCATTGGCCAAATTAAACTGAGTGCTCAATCTTGAGCCAATCATTATGGCATCTAGGGTAGAGGGACAATGCTCATGGGCTTAGCTGGTCAACTAAGCTGGTCACTAAGGGTGAAGTTAACCCCCTCCTAATCACGTGGGAGAGGTTAGCAAGGAGTGGCTCCTGAAAGGAAATTCAAGTTACAACAGAACAAATGAATGCTGGGTATCAAAAACACAAACCTAAAACCAAACTATTGACATTTTCCTCTCTCTTAAACACAAGTTATACAATTGTTTCTAAATCCCAGTCCTTAGTCCAAATCCTTCCTAATTTTAGATTATCTTTGTTAGAACAATTTAAGCCCAGGAACATCTATGTCTTGAATATTCATTAAGTTTGTTTTAGAGAAATATCTTTAGGCTTGGTGATATTCTTAGCACTTGTTATTTAAAAATTACAATATCTAAAACTACATGGAAAAGATAATGGTCTCACCACTGTAATGAGTTTGCGGAATTTGGGCTCTGAGCATAGAAAAATATATGACCACAAGGTGGCAGTAGCATACAACGAGTTTTATTTGGGCAACGCTTTGACAGGTTTGCATGAAAGAAGCCCCTCACAGCATGAGACAGTCCAAAGGATGTGGCCTGAGGGGCCACCAGCCAGAGGGGAGGAGGGAAAGAACTCTGAAAGTAGAGGTAGATTCAAGACAGGGGCTCACATGTCTAGATAATGTCACTCAGCAGCTCAGTGGGGAGTCTCTGGGTCAGAGAGCTCTAAAGGGCAGTTGCAGCTTGAGTTCTTTTATAGCTAAAAGGTTTATCTTATTTACAACTAACAGACATTGGACTCAGTTTTGCAGGGTATGCAAAACAGGCAGGCTCCAAATGGCTAAAAATCTGTTTATTTGGGCTATGTTTAAAACAATTGGATGTGTAAAAATATGAATTTGGTGCCAGCAGGCTTTTGAGCTAACAGGTCCCAGCCTGCTGTGAAGAAACAAACAACACAGGGGCCAATGAGCAGGAACCATTTTTATCTCACTTACATAATAACCAATTTCTGACATACAGAAAAAAAAAATTATATGTATTTTCCATAGGTTCTTCATTACATAAACATTTGCTGTATGAATCCTTGAAATTATGGGATTACATACGGAAGGATAAATTGGCAGAACAAGAAACCACTTGTTGATAAATGGACTCTTCCAGATGTCAGTCCCTGCCCACACATGGCCCTTAGATGACAGCAGCATCTACCCCTGCCCACCACTTCAACATCTCTGCCATCTTGATTGGTCAGATTCTGCTGACTGCCAACTATAAATACAATGCAAAAGCAATGCAAATCCATTGCAAAGTGAAATTGCATATCTTGTAATAGTAGAGGATGGACAAATGCATGCAAAACTATCAACAAAGAGAATGAAGCCAGGGTCTACAATCACCCTTCAAGATATATTTACCAGCCAGGCATGGTGATTCATGCCGGTAATCCCAACACTTTGAAAGCCCAAAGTGGGCAGGTCACCTGAGGTGAGGAGTTCAGGACCAGCCTGGCCCCTGTCTCTACTAAAAATACAAAAATTAGCCAGGCGTGGTGGTGGTTGCCTGTAATCCCACCTACTCCAGAGGCTGAGGCAGGAGAATTGCTTGAACCCGGGTGGTGGAGGTTGCAGTGAGCCAAGATCACGCCACTGCACTCCAGCCTGGGTGACAGAGCAAGATTCCATCTCAAATAGATATAGACAGATAGATAGATAGATAGTAAGTAAACAAGTGAAGAGGAGAAAATCAGTGAGGACAATGGGTGCTTCAGAAGACAGCAGTTTCAATAGCCGAGTATCGTGAAGCTCTTGGGGAAACTGGAGAAGCCCTCAAATATTTCCGCTAAACGGATCCTTTTTGTGATCCTACTAGCAATGTCAAACATGAAATGAGAACTGCAATATTGTATAGTTATAGAAAACTGGAAGAAAAATGACAAATTATCAACATGCATTCTTTGTTCAAAGTGCACAGATCGGGAATTGCCAACCCCTAATTTTGTTTACTACAAGATAAAATAAACTTTTATTATAATCTTTATTTCATTTCTCAAGGAAGAAAAAAAAATCCCAATCAAGTTTTTTCTCACTATTTTCTACAAAATTTTGGTTCCCAATTTTAGTCAATTAATTTTAATTAGCCAAAAATACTTAAAGAAAATTTCTCCATCACACCCTTCTAGCTTTGAATTGCAATGCTCATAAAAATGTATATTTATGTGTGTGAAAATATGCTAATATTGTATGTTGGTGGGGAACAGAACACTGGCTCCTCGTGGTTCCTAAAACAGCACATTCCTTCTCGTCTCTAAACCTTTCCACCTGCCATTCCCCCTGCCTGGAAGCCTCTCCCACAGACACCACCATGACTCATTCCCTAATCTCCTTCAGATCTGGACAAATGTCACCTCTCAGTGAAGTTTTCCTAGACCACCCAATCTAAAATGGCAAATCCCTCTTATCCTCAACAACTTCTATCCCTGGTCTCCTGCTTTATTTTTCTCCTTAGCACTAAACCGTACCCAATATACACTTTGCTTCCCTTGTTTATTATCTGTCTCTCCCACTAGATATAAGCCCAAGGAGAGCAAAGATTCCGCAGTTTCTGTTTCCTGCATTATCCATAGTGCTGAGAACCATGCCTGGCAAATGGGAGGAGCTTAATCAATATTGGTCGAATGAAGGGTCTTTATCTAAGGTGTCATCCGTCTCTGGATGTCCCACGAATATGAGACTTCAAGGGCTGAAGATGCCCAGTAAGAGACATCACCAAAAAATTCCAAGGGCAGGGAAGGGGGTGAAGGCATCAGAACCCTGTGGACCAGAGGCTCTCAAACTTTCAAGCATATCAGAATCACCTGTGCCACTTGTCATGGCACAGAGATTGGGACCAAACCTCTAGAGACTGTGCTGCTATAGGTCTGGGGGGCAGGACCCATAGTGCTGTGTTTTTAAACAAGTTGCCCTTCTGAAGCACGGGGTCCTCAGAACACTCTGTGGGCAATACTGTTTGGGACACACCTCAGACATCACATTCTGTCGAGCGGAGTCATGCAAAAGAGGTTCAACACCCTTTCTGAGATAAGCCCAGCCTGGGGCACGGGAACATTTTCAGGGTGTGATTAAGGAAAACTGCAAGGATACTTTTAATTGGGGCTCTCCCACCAAACCACTTTCCCTGTGATAAATTAACCAAAGACAGAGATGCTTGCATCTCCCACTAAGCACCTGGAGGCTGGTAACGTCAGACTCTGCTGAGAGCTCCTTGCAACAGGTTACAGGGCATGGAAAAGAGAGTCCAAGGGATCCACAGAGGGCAGGAGCCTGGCCTGCCAAGATGACCATGGAGCAGGTGGGGACTCCAGTCTTACATGCTCCTGTCCAGGGGGCTGGAAACCCAGATATTTTGGGCCTCTGAGTCAGAACAGGAGCCATCCTGATGGATAAACAGACAACTGGTGCTGGAAAAGCACATCCACCAGAGAGAAGTACTGGAAATCATGAAACTCAGCTATGAGAACAGGACACCTGAAGGGGGATCTGCATGCCAGTGAGAACTTTCCCCAGGCAACACGTGCTGATTTCTAGAAGCTATTGCCACTCTCCCGTCTCATTGCTCAGTTTAATCTCTCGTCTAAGAAAGTCAAATACTAAGAAACTTATGTGTCTAGCTTTGGACAAATCAGAAATTTCACATTTTTACAAGAAAAAGAATGGTTTTAGTTATTTCAGTGCTTCTACTATAACAGCTGCCTTGATCTCATGTGTTACCTTTTGAGAGATGGCTAGGTATCAGCAACTGGGAGAGGTGATTTGTAGGCAATGGAGCCCATCAAAGCAAGAGAGAACTACAGATAAGAACAATCATCGCAGCTACAATTGTAGAAATGTCTGCTCCACCCCATCCAAGGCAGCTCTGAGTGTGAAAACAGCAGTAGGTTCATGTATGCAGGAAGCTCCATCCAGCCTGTGAAGCTGATCTGATCCTCAACCTGTTTGCCTATGCCTCAATGAGACAGTCGTTATGTTGTTTCCCCAACCAAATGATAGCTTCTACAATGCAATATTTTCTTCCCAGACTCCAGCTTCATAGACGCTTAGCCAATCTCAAACCTCAACACCTTCCACAGCCAATATAACAGAGTAAGTTTACCCCAGAGCTGCCTGTTGGATCTTTCCTGTTCTATGCTAGCTGTATTAGTTTCCCAGAACTGTTGTAACAAATTACCACAAACTGGTGACTCAAAACAAGAGAAACTTACGCTCTCACAGTTCTGGAGGCCAGAAGTCTGAAATCAAGGTGTTGGTAGGGTGGGTTCCTTCTAGAGTCTCTGAGAGATAATCCATTCCATGCCTCTCCTATAGCCCATCCCTCAATACACACACACACACACACACACACACACACACACATACACACACACACACACACACACACTTCCTTCTTCACATCTTCCACAGCAACAAGATAAGCAAGTCCAAAACTCTGCCTTGGCCCCAAGTATCTAAACCTAGCACAAAATAAGTGGACCCAGCCTACGGCATGTTTTACTTAGCCACTCATTTGGTGACAGTACATGCCATATGTATGTGTATATAAACTTTAGGATGATCTGCTACGATCCCTGGCTCCTGATGATTACAGCTTTGTAAATCTGTTTCCCTTGAGTGTGGGTAGGAACTGAGACTTCCTTGTAACTAATTAAATAATGCAAAGGCACTGGAATGTCACTCCATGACCACATTAGGTTTATAAGACCATCTCACTAGCTGACTGACTAGAACTATCTTCTTGGGTGGCTTTGAAGAAACAGGCAGTCAGGTTGGAAGACCTATGTGACAATAACCTGGGGGAAGTGGGGCTCTAGGAACAGAGGGCAGCCTCCAGGCACCAGCCAGCAAAAATCCAGGGCTCTCAGCCATACCACAAAAAGGAAATAAATTCTGCCAACAACTGAATCAGCTTGAAGCAGATTCTTCACCAGTTGGGCCTCCAGATGAGAACACTGCCCAGACAACACCTGGGCTGCAGCCTGTGAGATCCAAAGCTGAGGACCCAGCTGAGCCATGCCTGGACTCTCAACCCACAGAAACGATGAGATAATAAATGGGTGATGTTTTAAGCCTTTAAGTTTGTGGTGATTTTGCTACTCACCAATAGATAACAATTAGACCATGTCTTAAAACTTTCAATTTGATAGCCAATATGTAAGCATCAGACAATTTCACATAAAAACCCAGATTTCTGACTTTACTGAAACTTGACCACACTGAACTTGCATTCCTGCCCAGTAACAATGGGCTTGAGCTGAGCAGCAGCTGCTCCATCAGCCAAGGCCCACTCTCCAGTTACCACATCCCCCCCACCGCCAGTCCCTACTGCCTCCCTGACACTGAGGCTGACTGCTGGTTGCTACTAATTACTGCGTTTACCCTACGCTTTTTCTCTGCATTGACTTAGAAGGAAATGAAAAGACTTCTGTGTCTGTATCTATGTCAACTGTTTTCTCACATCGGTCTTCTTTGATCATTTATGCTACCAGCCTGGTCCCTACAGGCAATGGTTTTCAATCGATGAGATACCACCCCCTAGAAGGCACATATATAAAAATGAGTAGGGGTAGTTGGGATTTCCCAATAACTCAGGAAGCAGGTAAGAGGATTGTCAGCATTTAGAGGATTAGGGTTAGGGATGCTAAATGCCCTGCAGTGCACAGAAAAGTCTCATCCCACATCCAATGCCAATAGTTCTCCCATGGAGAACACTCTAGGTAGATTTTTCAGTCCCTCTCTAGATAATGCCCACCCCTGCCTGCCCCCAATGCAAATGCCGATGATATCTTTTCCAAGCAAACTGGACCCTGAACTGAGCTGCTGATGCTCCCTAACTGTTCTGTCCTTGTCACTATGTGGGACATACTCTTATTTTTCTCAGTGCATGTAAACAGAACAGGAAGCAACTTTCCTACAAACACTGGGTATTCTGTGTCACTGTCATGAAATCAACACCTGCCACAATTTCAAGTCCGTTATTGTCCCACTATCAGGAATGTGCTTTGTTCATCCACTTCACTTCTTTTCATAGCTCCAAGCATTGGTGCCCCAAGCATTGGTTCCTAACAAGAAAATCAATCCTCCTTCAGATCACATCTAAATTCTGACATGACAGAGGTTCCCCAATGCAGAAAGTCTTCTCTTCTGTCATTCTCAACCATGGACTCTGGTCCTTATGCTCCACAAAATAAGTTAATGACAATGTGCATCTCTCTCACAGCAAAATCATTAAATACACAAATATATACACACCATGACCAACACTTGGCAGGAGGTAGGGAAGTTGATATTTTCTCAGGGCCCAATAAAGGGTTTCTCATGATTCAATTAGTAGGGTAATAGTGTTTCATGGGAACCTGGGATTTGTAAATGGAGAGTAATTAAGAACTAAAAATGCTTTTGAAATGAAAAGGATTTGGAAAGAAGATTGAGTCTCAGGGCTTTGGGATTCAAATATGTCTGGGAGGCATTCCATTTAATTTAAGGTCTATTTGCCAAGTATCTGCTACCTGTCAGGCGTTAACCTACTGTGTGCAAAAGAAACAGGCAGTCCGAAGAGACACATAGAACAGTGAAGTTGGCTGGGCACAACTTCTCTAATCCCAGCACTTCTGGAGGCTGAGGCGGGAGGATCACGAGGTCAGGAGATGGAGACCATCCTGGCCAACATGATGAAACCCCATCTCTACTAAAATACAAAAAAATTAGCCGGGCCTGGTGGTGGGTGCCTGTAGTCCCAGCTAACTGGGAGGCTGAGGCAGGGGAATTGCTTGAACCTGGGAGGGGGAGATTGCAGTGAGCCGAGATCACGCCACTGCACTCCAGCCTGGGCAACAGATCAAGGCTCTGTCTCAAAAAAAAAAAAGAATAGTGAAGTTAAGACCACTGTAGGCATAATTTCTACAACAGTGATGTTAAAGCTGTATGTCTGCCTTGAATTCAAGACTCTAGCTGTGTGAACGTGGAAAAGTCATGTAACCTCTTTGTGCCTCTGTTTCCTCACCTGTAAAATTGGGCATATTAATGACAGTACTGGCCAGGTGTGGTGGCTCTCATGCCTGTAATCCAAGCACTTTGGGAGGGCAAGGCAGGTGGATCACTTGCACCCAAGAGTTTGAGACCAGCCTGGGAAACATAGCAAGATCCCATCTCCAGAAAAAGTATGAAAATTAGCTAAGTGTGGTGGCACGTGCCTGCAGTCCCAGCTACCTCAGAGGTGGGAGGATCACCTGAGCCCAGGAGGTCAAGGCTGCAGTGAGCCATGATCACACCACTGCACTCCAGCCTGGTTGACAGAGCAAGACCCCATTTCAAAAACAAACAAACAAACAAATAAATAATAGTACCTACCTCACAGTGTCACTGCAGGGATTAAATGGAGACAGTATATACAAAGTGCTTAGAACAGAGCCTGGCATATAATTAGTACTATACAGTGTTCACGATGATGATGTGGGTGATAAGAGTGTCCAAGTGCTGTCCCCTTCATAAACCAGCCTAGACTGAAATGCTGACATCCAAAAGAATCATCCTTTGGTGCTAAAATGCTTCAGGGGAAGACTGAGAACTAGAGAAAAACTACTGTGAGAATCATCCAACAAACTCCCAACCCTGGTTGTCCCACACACATAAGACCAGAAAGATTAATGGAAACTGCCCAGCATCCAGCCCCTACTCCTACACAGTGCTTGTATTTCCCATTGAGGAGCCACACTCACACTCAGTCCAGGTAGTTCATGCTGGGCTGACTCCACTGTTGGTTTCAGGGATTGGTATGTATGTGGCCAATCAAAGCATTGTGTCCTCCTGACAGAGTGATTGGTCCAAGGAGGAACCATTTGACCCAACCAAGCCAATCAGACTTTCCCATTCCCTGGCCACAGTTGATTGGCTCACAAGTAGACATGTGACTCAGGATTTGTCAGGGATTGTTGATTCCAGCTGTCTCTCCACTAAGCAATAAGCACTGCAAGAGTCTACCACCCGCCTAAGAATAAAACCATCAGAGAAATGCAGAGGCAATTAATGGAAAGAGCTTGCTTTCTGGCCACTCCATCTCAGCGTCTGGATCCAGCCAGACCTGAGACTCTCTTCGAACTCTTCAATTACACGAGCCAGGAAATTACCCTTAAGCCACTTTGAGTTGGGTGTCTTCTATTTGCAATCAAAAGTTCACTGACAAAAAACAATCAGGCTCTGACATTTCTACCACTCCGAGGACCAGATAAAACCCTCTCAAAGTTCACAGAAGATACACACATAACTTTACCGTCTGTAATCCAAGGACAAGAGAACAGATGGTGGAAGGATGTTCAATATTTCAACTGCCCTTGTGAGCACAGAGAGCAAATATTAAATAAAGGGAATTTATGGAAATAATCAGAGATCCTCTGTTGTCATATCCATCACTTTGGTAATAAATATTAATTTTAAAAAGCTAAGATACAAAAATTCAATTCATAACTCAAAATAACCTGACCTTTTATGGAATTAAACTCATTGACAGAAGTCAAACCTGCTATTTGTAAAATGTCTGGTCATATCAACTTTCAGGTGACTAATAATCATTTCATCACAGTAATTTAAAGCATTGTGTCAGCCATAATGAATTTTTTTCACCTCTTCCTCTCCAACCCAGACACACTCAACGGTTCACCCTGATGCACTGGATATTTCCTGTCCATGAAGACTTCTCAACTAGCCTGGGTCCTCACAGCTACCAAGAAACACACAGGCACACACATGCACATATACATACATCCATTTTCACAGCTTTATTTGCCACCTATATTTTTTTCTTAAAATTTAGACTCAGGAGGTACCTGTGCAGGTTTGTCACATGGGTACATTGCATAATGGTGAGGTTTGGGCTTCTAGTGTGCCCATCACTCAAATACTGAACATTGTACCCAATTGATAATTTTTCAACCCTCATCCCCCTTCCAACCTCCCCACTCCTGGAGTCTCCAGTGTCTATTATTTCCATCTTTACATCCATGTGACCCACTGTAGCTCCCACATGGAAGTGAGAACATATGGTATTTGATTTTCTGTTTCTGGGTTACTTCACTTAGGATAATGGCCTCCATATTATGATGATCCCCAGACTTATTTTTACAGCACAGAACTTTCTTCCAAGTCCCAGATTCATAGCCAAATGAATACTTGAAATCATCTCTTAGAAGTTGAAAGGAAAATCAAACTTACTTTGTCCAAAAACTGAACTCAAGATATCAACCCACCCAAAATAAAAAGGAAACTAATGACTTCTCTTGTCCCCCTTGAGAAAGGACTGCCAACCTCAAAGCACTCAAACCAGAAACCTACAGATCAACCCTGTCGCCCACTTGACACCCAAGTCAATCAATAAGTCCCGAGTGTCTCTCCATGTCACTGCCATCATCCTCATGTGTATCATTTGCAACCACTGCTGCAAACCATGCAGCAACCAGGTGGTCTGCTCAAAATCCCAAGCTGTCGCTGCCCACCTTAACGCTCTCCCCTAATCACTTCTATTGTTAGAAGAAGTCCAAAATCTGTCAAGCATGGACTCTGGAACCAGACTGCCTGGATTCAAATCCTGGCTCTACTGTTTATCTGCTGGGCAAGTTACTTAACCTCTCTGAGCCTCAGTTTTCTGATCAGTAAAATGGAATCATAGTAGCCACCTCACTGATGTCCTCTGAGAACTGAATTTTAAGCACTTAGTGGGTGCTGTTTGAATTCTCTTTAGGCTTGTGGCTCCAGGCTTTCCTACTGGTCTTTCTCAGTTCCTACCTGGCTATATGGGTTGTTCTCTGTTTGCCCCTCCAGATCCATTGTCTAGACTTTTCTGCCCTGCCCTGTACCATTAGAGGCTGAAAGCTATGAACAGCATTACTCAGAGGCTCCTTCGTCCTCTCTCTGGCTTCCAGTTGGGTTCAACCAATAGGAGAGACAGTAGGAGATTAGACAGTGAGAAAAGAGAGGTTGAGATATTCCTATCCCCAGCTTCTTCCTCCTGTGACAGTGCCTGGGTTTGTCCCATGAAGTTCCTGCACGAAGCACTGTTCCATATCACTATAATTCACTTCCCTGTCTCCGCCTCCTTGGGCCAGGGCCATCACTGTTTGCCACTGTTGCTTGTTCCTGGCTGGCTTCCTTGACTGCGCCTCCATCTTCATCAAAAGCCCCTTCATTAAGTTCTCTTTGAGGTGTGCCAGCTGTTCCTGCCTGAACCCCGACTGATGTGGGTGTTCGCATATACCGTTTGCTATGCCTGAAACCTTTATAGCTCACACCACCCCCCAGCCCTTTTACCCCCAATTATCTGGATAATCTTATCCATCTTTCAATTCTCATCTTAATTGATGCCTCCTCCAGGAAGCCTTCCCAGGTACACAAAACCAGGTTGTTGTTGTTGTTGTTTTCTTGTATTGCGTCTCTATTTGTCCTTCCTCATATTTACCACAACTAATACTAAATAATCACCTGTGTAAGTTTTCATATACATTGTGGTTGTCTCAAACAGTTAAGACCCATAACAGTAGAAATGACATATCTTGTTAGGTTTTTGTATCATTCCCACTTCATACAATGCTTTGTACCCACTCAATGCTCAATATGCACTTCTCAGATTAATCAATCAAACACCCAAAATGCAGCAGGTCCCTGTGATTGAAATGCCAGGCTTTATCCAATACAGAAAGAAACCAACAAACTGATATCAAAGGCAAAGCTACTTTGGCTTCTCAAGCTAAGGCAGATGCTCCTGGAAGGAAGGTGCTTATGCCTCTCTCTTTTACTGACATGGCTTCTAGTCGCAAACGGTCTCCAGTAAAACTTGGTGTTGGAGCCCTTGTTGCAAATGTGGGCACAGAGGCAGGCTACGCAGGAGGGAAGCTGGCATCGGATCACGGGGCCCCCAGGGCTCAGTCTGATGTACCCTCCCCCATCACTCAGGAGGAACAGCACTAACAGCACCTCACATCCAATTGCCACTTGAATACTTGCCAAGTACTTTCACACATATTACCTCAGGTGTTCCTCATGCAAGCCTGCGACACTGCGACGGAGAAATCATTCACATATCCACAATCACACAAGTGTGTAGTGCAGAGCCAGGGCTGGCCTAGTGGTCTTGTGGTTATTGGTCCCAGCCTGCAACTCCTCCCAGGAGGTGAGCCGGCCTCAGCCACGTGGGTTTTCTTGGTATGATCTTGGCTGTTGGTCAGGTGCAGTGCCCCAAACCTCCCCCTACTGAGGTCCCTTTGAAAGTACCCAAAAAGGCAGCATCATGAAGGGGCTAAGAGCACAACCTCCAGACCCCGATGCCTAGGTTCAAAGCCAAGTGCTGCCACTTTCTACCTGCGTAGCCCAACGCTAGTTATTTTAGCCTCTTTGAGACCCAGTTTCCATGTCTGGAAAGTGGGGATAACAGTGCCCACTTGGATGGCAGCCTTGAGCATTAAGCGAGTGAATGTATTTCCATGACACAGCACAGTGCCTGACCTGGCATACGGCAAGCACTAAATACATATCTCCTATTCCAACCCATTTTTAACCACACCAGCTAAATTGTCCCCACTAAACTAGCTTCCAGCCTTCAGGTAAGATGGAAATGTTATTCCACTTTGCCCCTCGTCTCCCAACCCAGGGATGGAGAGGAAAGCACGTAGTAGGTATATTTCTCAGTCTATAAACTCAAAAAAAATATTATTTTCTTTACTTTCTAAAATCCAAGTTAATTTTGATTCTCAGTCCTATGTGGCCAGGCTGGTATTAAAAATAAAACTAAGGCCGGGCACAGTGGCTGATGCCTGTAATCCCCGCACTTTGAGAGGCTGAGACAGGCAGATGCCTTGAGCTCAGGAGTTGGGAGACCAGCCTGGGCAACACAGAGAAACCCTAGCTCTACAAAAAATAAAATTTTAGCTTGGTGTGGTGGTGTGTGCCTGTAGTCCCAGCTACTCAGGAGGCTAAGGCAGCAGGACCAGACGAGCCCAGGAGGTTGAGGCTGCAGTGAGTTGAGATCATGTCACTGTGCACTCCAGCCTGGGCAACAGAGTGAAACCTTGTCTCAAAAAACTAATTAATTAATTTAATTTAATTTAACTGGAGGGAATCCCTCCTGAGGTTTTGTACTCTCTTTTAGGGTTTGGGAGGAGATATACTTGTGGGGTTCTGTGTAGGGACAAAGATGGGAGGGAGCAGAACGCAAGCAGAACTTCCACTGTCCACGCACACAGACTGCCCCTGAGACATCCCACATGGTGGCTCCCATGGCCCCTGCAGGTCTGCAGGGGAGTAGGGGAGGGTCTCTGCTACTTTGCTGCCAGGCTTGCGGCTAGGAAAGCTTTCAAAAGGCTACCCATGTCCCATCTACTCAGATCCATGGTAGTAACCTCAAGTGCCTCCAGGACCAGGCAAGTGATATAAAGGTGAGTAGCTGAGCAGGTAGAGGCTATGGAAAGCTGGCAACTAACACCCACAGGCCCCAATCTAAGGGCAAGTCTCTGTGAGCCACCTCTGCTTTCAACCTAAAAAAGAAGTGCTCTCTGCTAACAAGAGCTTCCATTTGTATAGCTCTATCCAGCAGGCAACATACCTTGACACGAACTTAACCGCGGATGACCTGCAGCCTGAGGGCACTCTGTGAAGGCATTCTCTGAGGAGTTTCTGCTCCTTCACCATCCCAACAATTCTCCTCCATGATCATTTTTCTCCGTCCAGGAACACAATCTCCTAACACCACATTTGACATAGTAAAGTTCAATTATTGATAGTGAGACACACACACACACACACACACACACACACACACTATTCTTTAGTAAATCTGTTTTAATCCTGCTGTGAAAAAAAAATAACTCTTTAGTGCAGACCCCAGAGTTGAAAAGGATAAAGAGGAATAGGTTAGTTACCTCCTGCTGCATGACAAATCACTCCAAACCCTAGCTACCCCAAAACAATATTTTTCCTCTTAAAGTTTCAAGAATTCAAGAGCATTTTTGCTGGATGGCTCTGACTCAGGTGGTTCTCTCTCTCTCGAGGTTTCAGTCATGGTATGGGGGCTGCAGTCATCTGAAGGCTTGACTGGGGCTGGAGGATCCACCTCCAAGGTGACTCACTCAAATGGCTATTGGCCTCAGTTCACCATGTGGCCCTCTCCTTAGATGCTACTTGAGCATCCTCAACATGGCAGCCAGCTTCCTCCAGAAAAAATGATCCGAGACAGAACAACGAGAAAGATGCAATGCTTTTACATCTTGGTCTCAGATGTCACACAACCTCATGTCTGCTGTATTTTATATGTTAGAAGTGACTCACCAAATCCAGCCCACATTCAGAGTGGAGAACTCAGCTTCACCTCATGAAGTGAGGAGTATCAAAGAATTTGTAGACGTATTTTTAAGCCACTACAAATGAAAAGGTTTTAGAGACTTCTACTAAAACCATGGACTCATTTTGCCTGTTCTTGAATTTCACAGAAAAGGAACCATGTGTCTCTATGGATCAACGTTAAGTTTACCAATATTAACCTAGCTATTGCATATAGCAGTAGTTTGTTTTCTCACTGCATGAATATACTGTGGCTTATTCATCCATTCCACTGTTGATGGACACTTGGGTTGTTCCAGTTTGGGGCCTTTATAAATAATGCCACTATAAGCATTCTTGTGTGTGTCTTTTGGTGAACACATTTGTGAATTGCTGTTGAATATTTAGCTAGGAGTGGAATTGCTGGGTCATGGATTTGTGTATATTCCAAATGGTACTAGTTGTGAGGACAGCAGTAACCATGGAGAGGAGAGGAGTCCCTGGGAAGGAGCATATGGAGCTTATGAGGTGCTGGTCACATTACGATTCTTGAACGGAGTGACAGTTACACAGGTTTGTTCATTTTGTAAAAATTCATCGAGCTATGCAATTGGAATCTGTGCATTTACTGTCTGTGGGTATATGTCTATATAAAGTTTTCTTTAAACTTTTAAAATACTTGAGAGGCACCTATTATATGCAAGGTACCATAGGGCTATGAGATCAGGCCTCTTTTTACAAAGGTGCCCTACTTATGAGAGCAGTGGTGCTAAAAGACTGCCAATGTATCTAGAAGAAACCCTGCCACATGTCCACAGGTCTGGCTTATAGCTGCTGCATGGAACTGATGGAATGCCACAATAACAACCAAAAATGGCCACTAATATTTACTGAGTTCTTTCCAGTATCAGGCTCTGTTCTAGGCTCTATAGTATCTCTCTTAATTATCATAACAACTCCATCTTCAGTTTTAATAATGAGGAAAATGAGGAACAGAAAGTTTAGGTAATTTTCCCAAGATCACACAGCTAACAAGAGCCAGAGCCAGCATTCAAGCCCAGGAAGTGTGGTGGCTCTAGGGCTAGAGAGCAGGAAGAGATATCTGTGATGAATTATGGAAGGATGGATGGAAGAAGAAAGGAAGGGAGAAAAGCAAAGGAAAGGATGAAAAGGAAGGGAAGGGGAGGGGAGTTGAGGGGAGGGGAGGGGAGGGAGGAGGAGGGGGAGGAAAGGAGCTGCAATTTCTCTGCCCACATCATCTAAAATATTCTTCATGTCCCATTATGCTTTATCCTGACATCCTGCTTTAATTTTTGCATAACACTTAGTACTCCCTGAAATTATACTTCTTTTAATTATTTGCTTACTTATTTATTGTTTGTATCTCCAGCTAGAATACAAGCTTCCTGAGGACTTTTATCTGTCTTGCTCATAGCTGTATCCTCAACACCCAATTTTAAAAACTAGATTTATCAATCTTGTGTGTTTGTGTGTGTGTGTGTGTGTGTGTGTGTGTGTGTGTGTGTGTGTACAGAAAATATGGAAGAAAAGAGGGGCAATAGAAAGACAAAGGCTGGAATGGGAGAGATCTTGGCTTTTCCTTCCTCAATTCCTGTGTTGTTGCCTTGTAACTAGTAGGAATTGCTTTTGTAGTTTGAGGATAAAATGCAATGAAGTATAAAATAAGAATGAATAAAAGGATGCTACAAAAGTTCTGATTTTCAGAAACAATATCCACATGTGTGCAATAGCTGCTGGGGCAGGAGCCAGAAGACGAGCAGGGATGGCAGACATTTCACCTTGTGTATCTATGCAGTCAAACAGCCCTGGGTGCCTGGAACACTGTTCTGGAAAAGATGTTGAGGCAGCCTGTGGGTTCAGCAGAAGAGAATGCTGTGACTAGTTCTATGAGCCATAAGCAAGTGCCGGGGTTGGCACTTTCTGCTGCATATTCACCATCCTGGCCTAGAGTATTTCCTGGACAGACTGTTGACCAACACACAATGCTCCAACTAGAGTGATCAGCTCAAATTATGGCCCAGGTTGAAGGAAGCTGGCAATTAAACCATACGGGACAACAGGTTTTTGTTTTGTTTTGTTTTTCTTTTTCTTTTAAGATGGAGTTTCACTCTTGTTGCCCAGGCTGGAGTGCAATGGTGGGATCTTGGCTCACTGCAACCTCTGCCTCCTGGGTTCAAGCAATTCTCCTGCCTCAGCCTCCCAAGTAGCTGGGATTACAGACGTGCACCACCACGCCCAGCTACTTTTGTGTATTTTTAGTAGAGATAGGGTTTCACTATGTCAGTCAGGCTGGTCTTGAACTCCCCACCTCAAGTGATCCACTCACCTTGGCCTCCTAAAGTGCCGGGATTATAGGAGTGAGCCACAGCACCCGGGCGACAATAGGTTTTTATGTTTCCAAAATGCCTCTGGAAAAGGAGATTTAACAACCTCCCCCACAACCAAATCCTGTGTTATGCAGCCCTCCATGCCTCGTGTATAATTATCATCTGTGCCACACTACCAGCCTTTCAGAACCCAAACATCAAACCCATAGACAGAAGAGCAGATTGTAGAGAAGACTCCTCCTTTCTAGTCAAAGACTCTGATCATTCCACAACAGTACTGACCCCCGAAGACTTTTCCTTCTTTTGAATTCCCTTAGTATTCACTCTCTGTTCATCTCAGTATCCAGAATTCTTTACATTGCCTTTTGCTGTTAGTTAAGGATGGATGGATGGATGGATAACGGATAAATTAATAAACAGGAGGATGGAAGATGGAGACAGATGTTTATCCATCTCAGTAACAAGCTTCTTAAAATTCACCACCATTTCTTATTTTAAACCTCCAATATCCTACTTGGAGCCTGGTACAGCAGCTCAATAAATGACTACCAACAAGGTAGGTGGTATTTACAAACTGGGGTTGCACATCTCAAAAGCTGTTTCCAATGCTGTTCCCATAAAAGGTATCCACAATAGCTTTTCAACCTACAGAAGGAGGGAAGACTTTGTTGGCTACAGACCTGTGACATGTGAAGTGGGGCTTCTGGTCTATGTAGGGACACACAAAAGACCAAGAAGACCAAGCTCCAGTTGGCACTGCCTTGATTCACCTTCCTGCAAGGGCAAAGTCTGTCCACTGCACACAGATAAGAGACCCAACTATTCTTTCATTAATAAACAACCAGAGGACAAACAACTCAACCCATTTGAGTTACTGTGTTCAAGGGTCCAGTATTTCTAGCTGTGCTTGTGGACTAAGCTACAGTGCTATTGACAGGGACTTGGAAAATAAAAGCAAAAAACTCTTACCCCTTTTTTCAGAAGAGAGACTTCCTATGCAATGGATCACAAATCTACCCACCCCCCCACCATCTCCCCGCCCCACCCCCAGAAAAAAGCAGAGGCAAATACTTTTAAGATAGAAGACTTCTTTCTGTCTGGGTCAATCAAGATCATGGATAATGCTGCCGGGGATCTTCAGAACCACTTTTCTTAGACAACATCTCCCCTGTACCTCAGTGTCCTTAACTGTGTGTCATCACTTCAAAAACAGCCTTTAGAGACTAACTATGAGTACCACACACCCAGAGGAATACAAAGTAAAGAAGCTCTGGGTTTTAGAGAGTGTGAGATTTATTTCTAACATAGCTGACAGGTCCTTGTGCAACATTAGCCAGATCATCACACTTCTTTGTGAGACATCAAAACAGCAGGCTGCATGCATTTGGTGAACTGTTCTTATCTTTGCATACCAGGAAACTCAATCAGATTTCACTGGATCCAGGAAAAACCTTTCTATTCCTCCTAAAAGCCAAAATTATTTGCATCTCAGAGTCTTTGCACTTGCTCTTCCCTCTCTAGCTCCCCACGGCTCTTTGGATATGCCTGTCTTACTTTATTCAGCCTGCTCACTCCTTGTCTTGCCTCCATGGGCATTTTAAACTGTAACAAACGAACAAGTAGAGAAGAAAAAATGCAACAAACCCAGTGAAAAAGCAAAAAATGCAAATGCAAAAAGAATCTACTAATTTGCTCATGTGTGATAGGTATTTTTCATTAGCTGGCATTGCTACAAAATCACAGTATGCCACTCCCTAATTCATAAAACACCAATGGTGCCAATGTGGACCCACATCTAGACCATAGTCATACGTAACCAGGCACTTTTTCTCCTTGAAAGCCATCTGACCTTACTTCCCTCCCACCATGCGTCCATCTAGACTCTTGCTGCATTCAAAATCAACAAATGGCTGGGCACAGTGTTTCATGCCTGTAATTCTAGCACTTTGGAAGACCGAGGCAGGCAGATCACTTGAGCCCAAGAGTTCAAGACCAGACTGGCTGACATGGTGAAACCCCATCTCTATAAAAAATACAAAAACAAGCCAGGAGTGGTGGTGAGCACCTGTAGTCCCAGCTACTTGGGAGGCTGGGAGAATCACCTGAGCCCGGGAGGCAGAGGTTGCAGTGAGCCTTGATCTTGCCACTGCACTCCAACCTGGGCAACAGAGTGAGATCCTGTCTCAAAACAAACAAACAAACAAACAAGCAAACAAGCACTTCATTACTTGTTTAATTCACAAAAAATGGCCACCATAAACACCAAAATACCAAGGATTTCTGTGTCTCTCCTACTAGAATATAAGTCTCATTAGATCAGAGAACTATCTAGTCAGTGCAAAAGCAATGGCTGGCAAATATAAGACACTCAAATATTTGTTGAACTAATAAATTAATGAATATCCCATATGAGAAATATTATGTAACACTGATCCACCTCCCATGGTTTCAATAAAAAATACATTAAGCCCCTGGCATTCACTAGACTGTTGTTTAGATCAATTGATTATGTTTCTTTTAGTTGCCAAACCTACTTACAAAGTACATGAAAGTGACAATAATAAAGTTATTTTCCTTGGGAAATTAAAGCCTGAGAGTTACATAAGGTCTTTGTCCAACACAAATTTTGTCAGCATCTATTCTCATGTGACCTAGGACATTTTAGTTCTGTCACTAAAAAGGCTCCCTCTGGCCATAAAGTCCAAGGTGCATTGATCGCCTCCAACAATAGGGTCCACAAGGCAGCCTCCAGCTGCCAAGCTCCTTGGCACGATGTGAAACAAAGAGACATGGTGAGGCTCTGCGGAGCTAACCTCCTCCCAAAATCAGAGGAGCAAAAAGATGCTAGACAGGTCCCCCAACCCTAGATATCCAACTCTCACACAGTTTTTTTTTATCCCTTCAAATATTATCAAGAAGAAACAGGAATAAATTAAAAAAACAAACTTTGATCTTGCCTAGTTTTTTAATCTTTTTTGCTGTGAGAGCAAAAGAAAACAATCTACATCAAAGAAAACAATCTTGCCTAATTTTAAAATGTTAGGAACTTGTTTTAAATGCCCAGCATTAAATTTTTTAAGTAAAATAAGTCAGGCACATGGAGGCAAATGCAGCATGATCTCACTTTTATGTGGAATTGTACAAAGTTGAATTCATAGAAGTAGGGAGTAGAATGATGGTTATCAGGGTCTGGGGGAGCTGAGAGGATGGGGAAAGGAGAGGTGTTGATCAAAGGGTAGAAAATGGCTGGGCATGGTGGCTCATGCCTGTAATCCCAGTACTTTGGGAGGCCAAGGCAGGTGGATCACCTGAGGTCTGGAGTTCAAGACCAGCCTAGCCAACATGGTGAAACCCCATTTCTACTAAAAACACACAAAATTAGCCGGACATGGTAGCACGCTCCTGTAATCCCAGCTACTTGGGAGGCTGAGGCAGGAGAATTGCTTGAACTTCGGAGGCAGAGGTTGCAGTGAGCCGAGATCATGCTGCCGCACTCCAGCCTGAGCGACAGAGTAAGACTCCATCTCAAAAAAACAAGGAAGAAACTTTCAGTTAGACTAGAGGAATAAGTTTTAGTGATCTACTGCATAGAATGATGGCTATAGTAAATAATAATGCATTATATGCTTCAAAATTGCTAAAAGTATATTTTAAATATTCTTACCACAAAAAATAAGTATGTGAGGTGATGGATTTATTAATCTGAATTAATCATTCCATGTTTTAAACATATAGCAAAACATCACATTGTACCCCATAAATACAAATGATTTTTAATAAACATTTTTAAATAAAAAATAAATTTTAAAACATAGAAACAAAAATTTAACTGATAGAAATAAGTGTTTTCAGAATATGGGACAGATACCCTAAGGGTACATGAGAAAACTTTAGGTGGTATGACAAGGATATAACATTAAATAATATTGAATAAAAGAAATACAGAGAGTTTCAGCCGGGCGTGATGGCTCACGCCTGTAATCCCAGCACTTGAGGAGGCCGAGGCAATCACCCTGAGGTCAGGAGTTTGAGACCAGCCTGACCAACATGGTGAAACCCCATTTCTACTAAAAATACAAAAATTAGCCGGACATGGTGGCACACGCCTGTAATCCCAGCTACTTGGGAAGCTGAGGCAGGAGAATCGCTTGAACCCAGGAGGCAGAGGTTGCAATGAGCTGAGGTCACACCACTGCACTCCAGCCTGGGTGATGGAGTGAGACTCCATCTAAAAAAAAGAAAGAAAGAAAGAAATACAGAGAGTTTCTAATCTTTTTCAACCCTTTTGATTAAATCAAGTAGAAAGTTGCAGTTGTTAATTTCTTCAACCTTCTCTAACACTTGCAAATCTGCCCTTTTAACAGAAAGAGCTAATAAGCCTCAAAGTCAAGGCATTTTAGAGCCTTCGCCTATCTAGCTTGGATGTAATAACTTTAGCTTTGTATATATTTATTATTTATAGTTGCCATCTATTTATCATGAGTGATGCTGGCTTTCCATTTTCAAAAGAAGAGACAAAAGTTTCTGTTTTAGGTAAACTTGCCTTTGTAAAAATATGCACTGACTTAAAGAAGATAGGGATTGAACAGTAGTAATGATGATGCATACACATGGAAGAAATAATGAGGTCTGATGGAAGAGAGACAATGCCAACTTCCCAGTCCCTGAAGTCAGAAGTTGCCAAGGTAATATGAGTTTAGATAGTAAACCCACTACTGTAATAGCTATGCATTTATTTTAATGTGTACTAGGAAAAAATAAAACTAGAAAATCAACAGATTGATTTTCCACCTTAGTGAGTGATAGAAAATTTTCTTTTAAGATAAACTTACTTCCCAAAAAATATGTATCAATCAAAATTAAAATAGTAAAGGGGAAAGAGTTTGGGTGGTATGTTGCTACGAGCACAAATCACGAAGGTGGTCCATGAATAACTCCAGCTTCAGAGATGACTGGGGCTGTCACTGACTTCCACAGTCAGCCTCACACTCTACTGCAATCCTGCAGCTGCACCCTGGGGGTCTTTGAGCAACAAATCAAAGAGGCAATTATCTACAACAAGAGGCCGTCTCACCGTCCAGTTCAATTCAGCTAAGATGACAGCAGCTGGTACCACAGTCTGAGAAACCCACTCCAGGTTGGGTTTGCTCAACAGCTCAGATGAAAGAAAAGAAAACATATCTGGAGGAGGAATCAATCTGCTAAAAAAGAACTCTATCTGCAGTTGTCAAAAAACCCTCTTCTGTGGAACACAGGACCCCTACCTTTACCTGTCTATGTCTCCTATGTCTCCACCACCAGCAATTCACAGAGTGACCAAGAATGGAAAGCCATTAACAAAGAGTTTTCAAGCAGAGAAAACAGATTTTTAAGAAGCAAAACACCCACAACTTTACAAAGTTAGCCCGATCTGGAATAATTCAATGAGTGGTTAAACCCTAAAACACATTTCAAGAGCAATGTTATTGAACTGAGTTTAATGTAATTTCTTGGCATCAAATTATTACAGCAATCAAACCACCCATCTTTCACAGACTTTTACACTTTTTAAAGGCCTCTTTTTAAACTTTTTAAACTTTTTCAAAGGCCTCTGTTTCTTGTTTACATCTCAGTTTGTCTAATGGTTCTGTCATCAAGAGACTGAGGCTCAGAGAAATGGAGTGGCTCAAGCAAGGTCATAAAGAGTCAGAACCAGGCTCAGACACCCAACTCCACAATTCTCCTCTTTCCACCATCCCCTGTCACTGCTCCTTAAGAAGGCAGTAAGAATATGCCTTCTTTGTGTTCTTACACCAAACATCCTGTTCAGAATCATCATTCTGTATCCTAGGACCATCTCTTGGAATGAAAAAGATAAAATTGCATGACCCCTACTAGAAAAATGGAGATGCTACTATGACTGCACTGAGAAATCACACTTACCTTCGAAGAAAAGAAGAACCATATCCTACTTTTGTCTGCACTTTAGGAGCCTGGAGATACTGGGTGCACCATGGAAATGATTTATATTTGACATAAAATCATGTGATAGTAACCTAAAATGCCAAACAGTCAAGGAAGAATGTAAGTTAGAGTTACCTGTGTGCAAACAACAGAAATCCTTTCTGGCCAGCTTATGAGAAGATTTCTAAAAGGGATGTTGGGCATCTCGTAGAATAGGAAGGAGAGGCCTAGAAACCCAAGCCCAGAAATGGGCTAAGATCCAGGGAAAGTAATTGGCAAGACCTCCACAGAGAACATCTGATCAGAAGCACCAGACCCCACCTCCAAGCTTCCACTTCAGCTGGCACCAAACAGCATGTATACCTGGCACCCATAGAATTGCATTTCCCATTGGCATCCATAGAATATCTTCCCCAGTAACCTATGCACATCACCTGTGGATCAACCAGCAGGAGGGACCCTGATCTCTGCCCCCATTCAGTCCCTGATTTACGTGAACACACATACATGTGCACTAACGCACATATGCATACACATATGTACATTCACACACATACATACATTCACACACACACACACACAGTAGTAGACACATGTGAAGCACTGCTCTGCTGCCCCTCAGCCCACCTGATTTCAGAACCACTGGAATGGACAGTTCCATGTGCCATAGCTAGGCGCTATCACCAAGGCAGTCTTGACTTCTCCACTGTTTTCTCCAAGTTACTGACCCAGATCAACCTTCAACCAATTGGGAAGGGAGGCCAATAGATAAACTCTTTAGCCTCCCCATTTTCCTGAGGGACAATTCTGAGGGTCCTTGTACACAGTTCCAAGAGAGCACCCCAGTGGTATGACGTCCCAGGGACCCTTCATCTTCCTCCTTGGTCTCACTCTCCCCATCCTCTCACTTCTGCTTTCTGGTATCACCTCCCAGATTAACTACCTGGGCCCCAGGTCCTGGTCAGGAGTCTGCTTTGTGTCTACATGCACAGCTTGCGTGCACTTGTACAGCATGAGATGTCTATGGGAGAGTGGGGCCTTGGACCACCAGCAGGTTGAAAGGTGTGTGGAATATCAAATCCCCAGTGTCTCAACCACAGGGGCTCAACACACCGTGCCTGTAACTCCACAGAGCTGGAATGGGGCTAAGGCTGGTTTTATGCATATAGTGTGCTTAGTAGCAAGGCCAACACAAATTTGGTGTCTTCCTTTCTCTCTCTGTATCTCTTGTACCATTAAGCATCTGACCAGGACAGAAGCAACTCTGAGCATTTAAAACAGGAAAATTAATCCAGGGAAGAGGGTGTGCATTCATGTGCATCTGGAAGGCCCAACTGAGATTAGTGCAGCAGGGAGCTGATAGCACCCCTAGGCCAGAAGGACAGAAGGAAGTAATGTTTTCAGAACCAGGGATCAGGGTCACACAAAGGACAATGGAACCACAGAGGACTCATTAAGCAGGAGAAATGTGGCTGCTACCATGGACACCATGGGTGGGAGGGCTGCGTTCCTCTTGCTTCCAATCTTCTACCAGTGCCTCCCATCAGCTGAAGCCAGTTGTGGGTAACTGGAAATCATAGCCTGCAGGGACAGCCTCCTTGGAAAAGGAAGAGAAACTAGTGGATCTGACGGTGAGAACCGAGCACCAACATATGCCATGCTCCAATCACATGCTTGGGATCACGTGCCCCACTCCAATGACGTGCTTGGAATCTATCCATAAACTCCTTGGTGCTGTGGGAGGTGATTCATCTGAGGCTGGAAGGATGCACTCATCTTGCTCATTGCAGTGGGTTGAATGATGGCCCCCAAAATATATGTCCATCCAGAACCTGTGAATATGAACTTATTTGTGCATGTAAGCAAGGTAAATATCTCAAGATGAAATCATCCTGGGTTACAGTGAGTCCCAAATCGAATGGCCAGTGTACTTATAAGAGACACACAGGAGGAAAGACAATGTGAAGACAGAGGCAGAGACTGGACTAATGTGACCACAAGCCAGGGATCTCCAAGAATTGCCAGCCACCACCAGAAGCTAGGAGAGAACCACGGGGACATATTCTCCCTCAGAACCTCAGAAGAAGGAACCTACCCTGCCCACACCTTGATTTCAGACTTCTGATCTCCAAAACTGTGAGAGAACAAAGCCCTATGATTTTAAGCCATCAAGTTTGTGGCAATTTGTTATGAAAGCCCTAGGAAATGAACGCATCCATCCTCAGCTCCATTTCTTTCCTGCACCACAGTATTCTCTCCTTTCCAAATTGAAGATAAATGCTGAATCAGAGAGACAGGAGCAAAATAGAAGTTCACAGATCTACCCTGAATGTAATGTTGTGATCTGAAAAACCCTCATCTCTCAAAGCTCTCAATTCCACACACCTCTACCTGTAGTGGCAGCACTTGGAAATGTCCTTGCTTCATTCATGATGGAAAATCTCAGCTCTGGAGCTGGGAGCATTTACTCCACAGGACATGTAATATTCTGGTGCTCAAATGCATTTTCAATCTGCCTCCCTTTCATGATGGGCTCTGCTCAATGGCAAAGCCATCCATCTACTTTCTGGATTAACTGGTCAGGGGACTCTATTATTTTCCAATG
This sequence comes from Homo sapiens, assembly GCF_000001405.40. Lineage (NCBI taxonomy): Eukaryota > Metazoa > Chordata > Mammalia > Primates > Hominidae > Homo > Homo sapiens. Next base: position 125,379,647 of record NC_000012.12, on the reverse strand, counting down.
CTACTGTAACAAACCACCACAAGCTTAGTAGCATAAATATATTGTCTTATCATTCTACAGTTCAAAAATCCAAGATGAGCTAAAATCAAGGGGTTAGCAGCGCTGTGATCCTTCAGGAGGGCCAAGGAGAATATCCATTTTTTGTCTTTATTTTGGGGGGTTTTCTGTTTGTTTGTCCTGGAATCTGCTGTTGCTTGTTGGTTGGTTGGTTTTTGCTTTTTCCAGCTTCTAGAAGCTGGCTGCATCCTTGGCTTGTGGCCCCTTCCTGCATCTTCAAAGCCAGCACTGTAGAATTCAGTGCTCTCTCTTTGATTGTGAACTTCTGCTTCCCTCGTCCCATTGAAGATCCTGTGGTTACACTGGTTCCACCTGGATAACCCAGGATACCCTCCTTAACTCAGCTGATCAAGCCTAAATTCCATCTTCAACCTCAATTCCCCCTTGCCATGTAACATAACATATTCACAGGTTCTGGTGATTAAGACTTGGACATCTTTGGAGCATTATTATTCTGCCTACCAAAGGCAGGGAAGCTCCAATTAAATTCTTGATAGGGAGTTCCTTAACCTGAAAATGAAGGCTTGGTAGGCAGATCCACATTTCAACCTGCTGCATTCTTCCCAAGACAGGCAAGGCAGTGATAGGTGCTTTGTAGAGAGACCACCAGATGCTGGGGACTGAGGGGGGTGGGGGCTATACACATGAGACCTCACTCAAACCTCCAACAACAATAACAGGCAGTTCTAGTGTCCTTCTCCCCATATGAGCAAATGAGGCTCAGAGACATTAAAGATTCAGTGAAAGCCAGCAGCAGCACACACTGCTCTTTGGCCATTGTCAACTTGCCCCTTTCACCTTATTGACCTATAAACTTGTTTGCAGGAGTGGGGACAGAAATGTCCACTTAAATACATTCACCTCCAAAGACTCCCTTGCAGCTAGAAGTGACCATGGCACAGTTCTGGCCAATGAAATGCAAGTAGGTAGCTCTGGGTGGGAGCTCTAGGAAAACGAAGTGTTTCTTACAGCAAAGGCCACATCCAGCTGTGCATGTCTATTTCCCTTGCCCTGCTGCCATCTTGCTTCTTGGAATCCAGACATGATTCCTAGAGGTGTAGCAGCCATGAAGATAAAAACTGTGGGTTAAAGATGAAGCCAGGCAGAGCCTGAGTCTTTGATGGCCCAGAGAACAGCTACCTCCACCCTTGACTACTTACTTGTAAATTCTTCTTATGGGAGAAAACTAAGGCCCTGCTTGACTGAGGCACTGTCATTGGATTTGATGGTACGTGCAGTCAAATGCACTCCAGCTGATATCAGCTCACAGCTGGTCCATGGCAGAATAGGGATCTGAACCAGTCTTCCTGGATTTATTGTTCATGCTTTTTCCATGATACCACACAGTTTCCTGGAATTAGTGACAAGCCGAAGGAAGAGATCCACCCTATATCCACAGGTATTTCAATGTACAGGTCTCACCTACTTCCTGACCCCAACACCAGCATCCCTCCCAGCTGGGCGGCCCATCACTCCATACTCAGTGTCACCGTCTCTACCAGAGTGAGAATGCCTTCTCCCCTCCCATTCCCATATCCTCATTTAACCAACTTCTAACAGCCAAGATCAAGTGACACCTCCCCTTGTCCAGCCTCCCTAAATACCTAGCTTTCAAAACATTCTTGAAACCCCCTTCACATGAACTCATCTGACCGTATGTGTGCGCTGTATCCCCAAAAGAACTTAAGATTTTGTGAGTAAGGTCCCCATGCAAGTCACCTTGGTGCCTCCTAAATCTCACCAGCTGGGTGGGTGCTCCATGAATAGCTGTTAAGTGAACCCATAGCAAGCAGCCAGAGTTGCAGGCTCTAGAAAGAGATTCTCTTTAAAGAAAACAGTTCATTCCACTTCCCTAAGGGATCTGTCCAACTCCAAGAGAATCCTTTGAAAATATTCAGACGTCCCATGAGAGAGATCAGAACTATATAGTGGAATAAAAATTATAACAACATGGAAAATAATAATAATTAGATCCCTGAGCCAGGCCCTGTTCTGAGCTACTTACACATATTAACACATATTAACCTGTGTATTCCTCACCACAGCACTCTCAAGTAGGGGACATCATTACCCTCATTTTATAGCAGGGGGTACTGAGGCACACGACATGCATGAGAAGTGTCCAAGATTTAGGAATTCTGAACCTAACCACCCAACCTCACTCTTTGTTCTCAAGGTCTTGCTACCCAACCTCTACTTCACCTCCACCTTCTCCCCAGTCCAGCCCACAATCCAAAGTTCCCTGCCCTCTGATGTGGGCTTCCTCTCTGGGTCTCCCCTTGGTTCAGCTGCTCCTTGACCTTCAGGATAAGTCCCTGCTGTCTCAGCCCAGCTCTGGGAACTCTCTCCATTTCATGCCCCTAGGAGCAGTTCCCCATCAACTGAAGTAAATCAGCCCTCAGTAACCACATGTTCCCCACTACCCACCTGCACAGGTGTTCTGTGCCTCAGAGGCAGTGCACAGACAGCAGCTTGCAGACCTGCATAGCAGCAGCACTGGGGAAACGCAGGCTGCTGGCCCCACTCTCAGCGAGCCTCTCTGAGTGGGTCTGGATATGGCCAAGAGATCTGCATTTTACCAGCCTGCCCTGTCCCGCTAAGGGATCCCACTGCCAGTGGTCCCAGAGCGTGCTTGGAGAAACCGTGGGAGGGTTCTGGATGACCTGGAAGGCCAGTCACAGTTTTCTTCCCTGCTCCCCACACTGGAGCAGGCATTTATTTCACATAGATCTGCTTTCAGATCACTGTGATGTGCCTGGGGGCACTGGCTCAGGTGCCAAAGTCTGTGCCATGGCCACGGAATCCTAGGGTCCCTGCCTGGCACACTCAGCTCCCCCTTAGACAGTGGGCTTCATAGGGCGGCCTCAGCCCTTTTAAGGGGAAGGGGGAACTTGCTCTCTTTGTACCCCTCCCTCAACCTGGGAGCTTCTCCCCTGCAGGAAACTCCCTCTAGACTCATATCCCTCCAGGAAGTGGGGAAGTGGTGCTATCCCATTCTGAGATGAGGAAACAAGGACAGGAAGAGTTTAAATAGCCCCGAGCCCAGGCAGCTAGCCACTGGAGGAGCTGCTGGGCAGGAGGAGTGTAAATGAGCATCCACCGGGGCTGGTCTCCTGCCTCACTTAAGGCGGCACCTGCTGTCAACCAACGTTCCCAGTCCTCAGGCATCCCGTGCCCTGTCACTCTGTTTTGCTTTAGCATGGGTACCATCTGTATTATTACTTAATATTTTTATTTAAGTCTGTTCACTGGGCTTACTCAAATTTATCTGGGGAGGAAGCAATATATCAGCACTTGAAGTGGAAAAAAAAAGCAATATCAATTTCCATAAAGAGAAGAAAACCCTAAAATAAGTACAATGGAAAAAAACAATGTTATTGAATTGTAGCCAGACACTGCTGCCTGCCAAAGCCTCCCAGCCTGGGATGTGGGCTCTCATTTAAAACAAAAACAAGCCATCAGACAAGGAGATTAGCAAGAGGTTAGGGGGTGCAAGAGACTGGAGCCTCAGACAGACACTACCTCCTTGACTTAACCAGGACACAAAGAGGATGCAGCAGGAACCACCTCTCAACAGGTAATTCAGTGCTACCTCAGCACCAAGAGTAAGTGGTACCGGAATACCTACAGTCATCTGAGTTATCACCTGAAACCATTTTTCCCCTTCCCTGGCGGTTCCCAAGGTGTGAGTGCAGACTGATTTTAGGTGGCCTCTAAGATGACTTGAAGACAAAAGTCATTCCAGAACCTGATAACTATTGGAGAGAAAGGGAAGTAACAAAATGAAGAATTCACAGGAATATAGAAGGTGATTTAGTTCATGTGCTGGTCTCACTAACGTGGGTTTACCACGTTCTCTGAACCCTCATCATGTTACTATGGAAACACGCAGCCGTGGTAAGTCAAACTTTCTACCTGGGTGTGACAGAGTGTGATGTGTGCACCTCAAAGAGAGCCGGCAGCCACCAGCCACAGAATAAGCCACTTGCTCGCCCATCCAGGACACTCACTAATTACGTAACGTAGCTGACATCACATATCTGAATCCTGATGTAACTTTTTCATGTTGGTTTCCTTTCTTTCAAGATGAAAAGCAAAGATGGGTGTTCCTCCACTCCATGACTAGCTATACATAACTCCAAAAACATTTGTCCTTTAGCGACAAAATGTATCTCTTTGCTGTCACCTGGGGAATCACTGAAGAAGGACAGATTGGCACTAGATCCTGAAAGCAGCTAATAAAATGGCAAGGCACGGACACTTCTTTTCCCTTGAAAACTCAGCCTCCATCTCCTGAGTCTTTAGAGACTGTTGCATATTCAAATGAGTCCATCCACCTTGATCACAGGTTAGATTCTGAGTCTGAGATTGAGTTTCTTATAGACAGCAACAATGAGCTGGATTATTCATATGCATACACACACGAAAGGGTTAGCTGCTTTTTGTATCTGAGCTCAAATATTATAGTACATTGTGTGCTATCCAGTTGCAGTACAATTTCTGACACAATTTCCATAATAGCAAAATTTACATACAGATGGCAAATAAATAAAACCTTTCTGTATCTTGGTCTGCAGTTCTTATGGTCAGCAAATCCTATTAGGGGCTTTATTAAGCTGCTCAGTGATGGAAATGTTGTATCTGATCTTATGGATTTCAGCTGTGCAATCTAGCCCTGCTACAAAATGAAATGTAACTCTCAACATTTTTCTGCAACATGAAGCCACCAAAATTGAGGGTTTTTTTCTGTATGGAGCATTGGAAATATCCACTCTTTCTCATTTCTCATTCGAGCCACAGATGATCTCTTTTTTCTATCTGTTTCCTCTAACAGCACATAATTGCAATTAGCTAGTGAGCACCAAGGGATACAAGTTGATCAACATGCAAGGTTGCCAAGCAGAAATAAGTTTAGGCAAGAAAGATAGAGAAGCCGGGGCGGGGCGGGGTCGGGGGGTGCAGGGCAGAGGGATCTCTGCAATGAAACATGCATTAGGAAGACTTGGCTGAAACCCCCAGAGAAACCCTTAAGAAATCCCTCTCTGTGAGCCTCACCGTTTCAACTGTGGCAGGAGACATCCAGGACTCAAGGGACTGTCTAATTACTAGTTAAAATCAGCCACTTTCTATATCTAAACAAAGGAAAAACAAAAAAAAACATGTTTGTGGGTGAGCTGAGTTGAGGTCTGCACTATACAGACTCCCATGAGAATCCAGATACTTTAGAATTCCCTGTGCCCACGGAGAATTTAAATGGAAAAGCCATCTCCACTCTAAGAAGAATGAGCCTCCAGACAGAGGACTTCAGAGAGTCAGAGGTCTTGGTAATAACCCTTCCTTTTGCACTAACAGTGTTCTTCATAGCTTCAATCCCAAAGGAACATCCCTAAAGAGGAACATCCCTAAAGTGCAGAGCAAGATTCTTGTGTGTCACACATCTGCCAAGGAGTGGCACCGACAAACACATCCATCCCAAAAGTAAAATCCTATGCTCTTGGCTGGATGTGGTGGCTCACACCTGTAATCCCAGAACTTTGGGAGGCTGAGGCAGACAGTTCACTTGAGGCCAGGAGTTCGAGACCAGTCTGGCTAACATGGCAAAAGCCCGTCTCTACTAAAAATAGAAAAATTAGCCAGGCTTGGTGGTGCGTGCCTGTAATCCCAGCTACCTGGGAGGCTGAGGCATGAGAATCACTTGAACCCAGGAGGCGGAGGTTGCAGTGAGCCAAGATCACCCCACTGAACTCCTGCCTGGGAGACAGAGTGAAACTCCGTTTCAAAACAAAACAAAACAAAAAACAACTGTGCTCTTAAAAGACTCAAACTGATAATGAAACAGAACAGAAAACACAGGTTAGAAAGGGGAGGGGACAAGGGTAAGGGACATTAAGAAACTTCTGAATTAATAGCTGATGGCTTTAAAGGCTCTTTATTACTTTCCATTGCAGGGCACTACAATGGTACTTTGTAACGGAAGCTAAAGGAAGCTGGGGCTGCCATACGAAGTACCGTAGACTGGGGGCGCCTTAAACAGCAGAAATTTACTTTCTCACAGTTCTGGAGGCCAGAAGTCCAAGATGAAGGTGTTTGCATGGCTGGTTTCTTCCGAGACCTCTCCTTGGCTTGCAGATGATCATCTTCCTGTGTCTTCACATGGATCTCCCTTTTCTCAGAAGGTATCGGATTAAAGCCCACCCTAATGACCTCATTTTAACTTGTTGACTTCTTTAAAGGCCCTATATCCAAATACGGTCACATTTTGAGGTCCTGGAGGTTAGGGCTTCAACACAGGAACTTTGGGGGACACAATTCAGCCCATGGCAGGCATCAAGCCACATGAGTGAATGGCTGTATCCGAGATGTAAAGGCGTGTGGTTCCCATTTGCTGAGTCCCAGCTACATGCCACATATAGTTCTTGGCACTGGTGATACATGTCCCTGCCCGCATGGAGCTGACCTTGTAATGTGGGGGAAACAGATGACAAATAAGTGAACAAATAAATAACTTCACTTCAGGTGGCGATGAGTGCTTTGAAGAAAATCAGCTGGATAATGGGGCCAGGATTGCCAAAGAGGACCACATAGGGATGGTCGGGGAAAAGGGGACATCCAAGGTAAGCCATGAATGGCAAGGAGAGACCAGCTCTGCAGGCAGGTAAGGGAAGAGCATTCCAGGGAAAGGAAACAAAGAAAATGCCCTGAGACTGGAGTAAGCTTGGTGGGTTCCAGGAGCCTAGAAAAGACGGTGTGTGTGGCCAGAACGCTGCGGGAGATGACATCGGTGGGGTGGGTGGTCCGTCATGAACATGCAGCTTGGCCCTTTACTCACTTCATTCCCATCAGGCCCTGTGGCCTTCGGTCACAGTCAAGACCACTGCACATTTGTAGCAGGAAAGGGGACTTTTTACCTCCCAGCTGCCTTTCTACTTCCAACCCAATCAGAATTTCAAATACTTTGTGTAAAGTATCACCAATGTCAATCCTAACTAGTGCAAAATGGGTGTCCTTATTTCTACCTCTTTCCACTGGAAAAACATCTCTTAACATTGATCTGACATTGCAATCCCAGGGGCAGGCAAAAAGCTCCTTTGGCTAAACCCAATAGGGCATAAGAACTGGAAGAGGTTTTGATTTCCCATTGAGAGGAAAACCGCCAATATATTTATTAAAGTAGCAGATGTAACTGCATTGCTGTAAGTGAAGAAAAATCACTACTTGGGGATCCTGGAGGTAAGTGGCAAGTTTGCTAATTCTGGATTTCAACTTTAATTCCACTCAAGGGATACTTTATGAGCTCTAGCAAACTGCCAGTTCTAGCCGGGGACACAGGCTCCGCCAAGTCAGCAATCCCTGTCTGCAAGAAGCTCATAATCAAAGAGACTGACACAAATTCAGTTAGCTAAAATATGCTGGGATAAATGCTAGATTCCAAGTTTGAATAAAATTCTCGAAAACCAAAGAGAAGCACATGTTGAATTTCTTGCAAAAAGTGTTGTGGATTTAGACCACACAGACAGGAAGAAATGCAATTAAAAATTATATCTAACCTTAAAATTACAGTTGGCACAATGCATTTGCTTCTTTCCTGGTTTTTAGTGATTTTTTCTGAAATATTCTGTCTAACCGAAGTGAGTGACAGTCAATTTAAACATAATGGAGATAGAGGCCATATTTTTAATAGAGCTAACAGAGAGATAAATGGTATGCTATGCTTCTATGGTATTAAAATAAAATCTGACAAAATTCTTAACCAAACAATACCCTGCTAGTGAAGACGAAAAGATCACAAAGTGCAGCTTGCATCTCTGATTAGTGCTAATACTGTCCCTTTGAATTCCCCTTGAATTTCCCTATAATTATTTACTGCACAAGTCACTGGTCGACAAAATGTCAACCAGACAAACTGAACTAGCTCCACACAAACTAATTACACAGAGCAGATCTACTGTGAACACAATTACATACTTCTCTTTTAAATAAAATTCTCTGTTACTCTTAAGTGGGTGGTAAAAAGTAAGGTGGTTGCATAATTGTGTCCTGGAAACCCACAAGGTACACAGAGGAGAGTTTTCAAGCCCCTGGAAAGCAGCCCCACATTACCACTGGGACTCTGAGCATCACTTTATAACTTAAACATGCACAAGCTTCTCTCAGCTTTAGGGAAAAGAATCCCCTGACACCCCGGGTCCCTCGGATGCCCTCCTTCCTCCCTGTCTCTTCCCAGCTGTGATGATTAATATTAAGCGTCAACTTGATTGAAGGATTGTCTCTGCATCTATCTGGGTGTTTCTGGGTGTTGCTAGAAGAGATTAACATTTGAGTCAGAGTCAATGGACTCAGAAAGACCCACCCTCAATGTGGGTGGTCACCATCCAATCAGCTGCCAGTGTGGCTAGAGAAAGCATGCAGAAGGTAGAAGGAGCTGACTTGCTGAGGCTTCTGGCCTTCATCTGTCTCCTGTGCTGGATGCTTCCTACCCTCGAACATCAGACTCCAGGATTTTTGGCTTTTGGACTCTTGGACTTACACCAGTGACTTCCCAGGAGCTCTCAGGCCTCTGGCCACAGACTGAAGGCTGCACCATCAGCTTCCCTACTTTTGAGGCTTTGGGACTCAGAATAAGCCACTACTGGCTTCCTTGCTCCTCAGCTTGCAGATGGCCTATCTGCAAGTCAATCCTCCTTCATAAACTCCCTGTCATATATCCATATATCCTATTAGTTCTGTCCCTCTAGAGAACCCTAATACACCAGTCAAACATTGGAACAACGTAGAAAGACATTGCCTTTCCTGTTTCCATCAACTCACATGTGTCAGACAATGCTAATTACTCACCCAATATCCATTACCCATTTCTTCCCTATCAAGAAAACCCTGAAATTGGCCGGATGCGGTAGCTCATGCCTATAATCCCAGCACTTTGGGAGGCTGACGCGGGAGGATTGCTTGAGTCCAGAAGTTAGAGACCAGCCTGGGTGACAGAGCAAGACCCCCATGTCTATTTAAAAAAGAAAGAAGGAAAACCCTGATGGGGGGAGAAGGGACTGCCCAGATGCCCAGTTAAATACCTACAATTCCCTACCTCACTACAGGATGGCCTTGATTGTGAGAACAGTTCTGGCTATTAAGCAACAGTCAAAAGATGTTGGTTGACAATTCCAGGAATGTTCCTTAAAGAAGGGCAGACTTGGATGCACGTGATGTTTTGCTCCTCTCTCTCCTTTCTCCCTTCTGAGTGAAATATAGATGTGATGACTACAACTGCAGCGGCTATCTTGTGACAGTGAGGGAAAGAACAACATAATCATAAAATCCTTGATACTCTAACATTCTTGATCCACCAAACCAATACCTACCTGTGGACATTCCTGCCTTTCCTTAAATAGATGCCTGTCTTGGTGACCTCAGTGTTCTTTGGGGTTCCTACCACATGCAGCCGATCTTAAGCCACAACAGGGATTAACTTCACAGATCACTCATCCCCAAGCCCCTCCAGTCTGGCTTTTATTTCCAGGAGTTCATTCAATATCTTTTTTATTTTTGAGATGGAGTCTCACTCTGTCGCCCAGGTTGGAATGCAGTGGCACAATCTTGGCTCGCTGCAACCTCCTCCTCACTGGTTCAAGTGATTTTCCTACCTCAGACTCCCGAGTAGCTGGGATTACAGGTGCCCACCACCACACCCGGCTGATTTTTGTATTTTTAGTAGAGACAGGGTTTCACCATGTTGGCCAGGCTGGTCTCGAACTCCTGACCTCAGGTGATCCGCCACCTCCGCCTTCCAAAGTGCTGGGATTACTGGCATAAGCCACCACGCCCGGCCCATTAAATATCTTATTAAAGTTACCAATGACCTCCATAGGTAAAAATGCAAGGAATAATTTTCATTTCCCCTGCTTGAGCTCTCAGCAGGATTCAACTCTGCTGACTTTCTGTGGTTTTCAGTCTCTTCCACTGGCTTGTGTGATATCATATTCTCTTGGTTTCTCCACTTCTCTGGCTGACATTTTTAAGTCTCATCTTTGTCATTTATCAACCTATCAAATGTTGGAGTCCTTCAGGATTCATTCAAGAGCTCTTTTTTCTTCTCATGATTTTTACTGAAAAAAATCTCATCCTTTCCAAGGCTTCAGTTATTATTATCAAACTGCCAAACACACCTAAATTTGTATTTCCTACCATTTGACCCAGCCATCCCATTACTGGGTATATACCCAAAGGATTATAAATCATGCTGCTATAAAGACAAATGCACATGTATGTTTACTGCAGCACTATTCACAATAGGAAAAACTTGGAACCAACCCAAATGTTCATCAGTGATAGACTAGATTAAGAAAATGTGGCACATGTACACCATGGAATACTATGCAGCCATAAAAAAGGATGAGTTCATGTCCTTTGTAGGGACACGGATGAAGCTGGAAACCATCACTCTCAGCAAACTATCGCAAGTACAGAAAACCAAACACCACATGTTCTCACTCATAGGTGGGAATTGAACAATGAGAACACCTGGACACAGGGTGGGGAACATCACACACCGGGGCCTGTCATGGGGCCGGGGGAGGGGGGAGGGATAGCATTAGGAGATATACCTAATGTAAATGACGAGTTAATGAGTGCAGCACACCAACATGGCACATGTATACATATGTAACAAACCTGCACGTTGTGCACATGTACCATAGAACTTAAAGTATAATTTAAAAAAATCATGACAGGAACAACACCTCACATGTTTTATTCCTGTCATGGAACAAATTGAATGTAAAAAAAAATTGTATTTCCAAGCAAGACACAGGGAAGAGATGTTGTTACCTAAAAGCCCAGGAACTAGGACCATCCAGTGGGAGCTAAATTCCTGGCAGGGTCTATTCCTGAGGAGCATGTGTCCTATAGGAACAAAGCTATGGAGGATACGCAGCCTCTGACAGAGACATATCAGGAAGCAGAGCAAGAGGGAAGTTCTCTACTTTCTCTACCTTTTCCCATCCTAGTCTTCCACTGCTGCCTCCCACTGGGCAAATCCATGCAAAAAAGGAAATCATGACTCCATACAAATGTAAATTAAACAATGAATAAATAAAAATTTGATGAGGGGTGGAATGTGTACATAATATCACATAGTGACACCCCACAAAATTCTTATTAACGGCAAAGAGAAAAGCAGTAACTTCACAGTTGAAACTACTGGCAGATACCACCTTAATTATGTAATTAAAGTGAACCTCAACAGTAATGAGACAAATTAAAATTATGCACAACCTCATAGGATGCAACAAGAACACAGTATCATTTCTGTGGCATTAATGCAACAGATGCATAACCTGAATCTAATCATGAGGAGACAGCAGACAAACCCAAATTAAGAGACCATCTACAAAATATCTGTCATCTTAAAAGTGCCAAAACAAAACATATATAGATATCAAATATATGAAAATAGCACAAAGATGTGGAGAATGGACTATACTGTGGTAAAGTAACTATACTTACCTAGAGAAATAACATGTCAACTCTAATTAGATGATGATAAATTTAAAGATATATACTATGATCCCTAGAGCAATCACTTAAACATGCAAAGAGATATAGCTAAAAAGCCAATAGATTAATTAAAATCAAATACTAATATTTGATAACACAATAGATTAATCAAGAAAGAAGGAATAAAGAAAAAAACTAAGATGAGAAAAATAAAAAATAGCAGACCTAATTCCAACCACATCAATAATTACATTAAATATAAATGAACTAAATCTATTTCTGGTAATGGTTGAGTGAGATACTAGAGTTGGTCCTACGTAAACTCTAGACATAATTTTTAAAGTAGCTATCCAAAGGCACTAGAGAGTAAACAAAAACAGGAAGATCATGGAGGGGAGTCCATACTCAGAGGAAGACCCACTCTGAGGAAGAATTTCCCCCATTTTTGTCACATTTAGCCTGGAGAATAATGCAGTTATTATTGTAGGATGCAGAGAGAGCATCAACCTGGAAAAAAATGCAGTTGGGATTGGGAGGTAGGGAACCACAGGACTGAGTCCAAGATGGCAGCTAAAGAGAGATGAGAGAGTCATGGAAGAGAAAGAGAGAATGCTCAAATTCTACCTGTCAATATCTCTGGTTGAATATTGAATCTTGTATATGCAGATCAGTCTCAAAGCATGTCAGCTAAAGATAAAAGATCCATACTGAGATTGTACTTATGATCCAAGAAAGAGATCTGCAGTTTGACTACAACAAAATTAATTGCCTGCTGAAACAAAAGAAACAACACTTACTGGAAAATCAAAAATAAGAATCCAGAGTCTTCACAACTTAGCATTCATAATATTCAAGATACAATAAAAAATTGTCCAAAATATGAAGATTTTTAAAAATGAGACCCATTCCAGAGTGAAAAGACAATCAACTGAAACCAACCTGAGGATGACCCAGATGTTAGAATTACCAGAAGAGCATTTTAAAGTTGCTAATTACAACTGTCATCAGTGATGTAAAAGAAAATACGCTCTTAATGAATAAAAAGCCATGAAAACTCAGCAAACAAATAAAAATGACAATAAAAGAACAAAATGGAAAGTCTAGATCGAAAACTACAATAGCTAAAAGTAAAATTGCACTGGTGGACTTAATACCCAAATAAAGATGACAGGAGAAAGAATCAATGAATTTGAAGATAAATCAATGGAATTATTCAATGTAAAATGAGTGAGAAAAAAGACTGAAGAAAATGAACAGAGACTCAGAGGCCTGTTAGATAATAATAGATAGTCTAGTATATGTGTAATTGACATTCCAGATGCAGAGGAGTAAGGAAATGAGGCAGAAATGAATATTTTAATAAATAATGACTGAAACTCTCCCAAATTTGATAAAAGACATAAATGTACAAATTTAACTACACAACAAACCCAAGGCAGGATAAACATTTAAAAGTCCATACCTCTGCACATTGTAGCTAAACCGTTGAAAGGCAAAGATGATGAGCAAATCTTAAAAGCAGCAAAAGAACAGCAACACATCACCTACAGGTGACTGATTCATTAATGGCTGACTTCTTATCAGAAATTATGGAGGTCAAAAGCAAGTGAATCAAAACATCTCACCATCTCACCCCAGTTAAAATGGCACTATCAAAAAGACAATAAAAAAAATAACAAATGCTGGTGAGGATGCTGAGAAAGAGGAACACTCCTACATTGTTGGTGGGTAATCATCATATCAAAGAGATATCTGCACTCCTGCGTTTACTGCAGCACTATTCACAGTAGCCACAATATGGAATCAACCTAAGTGTCCATCAATGGATGAACGAATAAAGAAAATGTGCTGTGTACACACACACACACAGCAATATTATTCAGCCATAAAAAGAATCAAATCCTGTCATTTGCAGCAATGTGGGTGGAACTGGAAGCCATTATGTTAAGTGTTAAATAAGCCAGGCACAGAAAGACAAATATCACATGTTCTCACTAACATATGACAGCTTAAAAAAAAAGAAAGTGGGCCTCTTGGAGGTAGAGAGTAGAATGAAGGTTCCCAGAGGCTGGGAAGGGAAGTGGGAAGGAGAGGGATGAGAAGTTGATTAACGGATACAAAAATACAGTAGATGGAAGGAAATAGTTTTAGTATTCAATAGTAGAGTAGGGAAATTATAGTTAACAATAATTTATTATATATTTCCAAATAGCTAGAAGAGAAGAATTCTAATGTTCCCAACACAAAGAAAAATGTTTGAGGTGATGGATATGCCAATTACCCTGATTTGATAATTACACATTTTATACATGTATCAAAATATCACATCTGCCCAAAAATATGTACAACTATAATATAATTTTTAAATCAAGTAGAACAATATCTTTAAAATGCTGAAAGAAAAAAACTGCCAACTCAGAACTCTACAAATAGCAAAAAAAAATCTTCTGGAATAAAAATGAAATAAAGGATTTTCAGATAAAAGAGACTAAAGGAATTTATTGCCAGTAAATATGTACTTCAAAAAATTGCCAAGAGAAGTCATACATGCTGAAGGGAAATAACAACAAATGAAAACTTAGATCCCCAGAAAGGAATGAAGAACATCAGAAATGGCAAAATCTGGATAAATGCAAAAGGCTACTATTGCTTTTTCTTCCTAATGTCTTTATAATACATATAACTATTTAAAGTAAAAGTTATAATATTCTCTTCGAGGGTTTTTAACATATATCTATGTAATTATACAAAGTAACATTAACATAAAGGACATGGGATGGTTAAGTGGACCTACTATCTACATTTTATGGAAAGTCTATCTCAAAATAGACTGTGAAAAGTTAAGCATGTATATGGTAATTTCTGAAGCAACTACTAAAAATATAATGCAAGAAAGTGCAGCTAAAAAGCCTATATAAAAGTTAAACTAGAATTCTTAAAAGTATGCAAATAATGCCCAAAAAAAAAGCAGGAAAAGAAGAACAGAGGAATACCAAACAAAAAGAAAAAGAGAAACCAAATAATAAAGTGGTAACCCCAAATCTGGTAACATTAGTAATTACATTAAATATTAATAGACTAGCACATTAATGAAATTACATATTAAATATTAATGAAATAAGCATACTAATTAAAATACAGATTATCAAAACAGATAAAAAATACAAGACACAAGTGTATGCTATCTACAAGAGGCACATTTTAAGTATAAAGATACAGATAAGTGAATTTGGCAAGGTTACAGGATACAACCTCAGTACACACAAAAAAATCAACTGTATTGCTATATCCTATCAACAAAACATCTTAAAATGAAAATAAAATCAAGTCAATTTATAATATTAAAATATAAAATACTAAGAAATAAAGTTAACAAGGGATGTGCAAGATCTGTACAATGAAAACTACAAAGCATAGCTGAAGATAATCAAAGGAGATATAAATAAATGAGGAAATATACCATGTTCTTATATCGGAAGACCCAACATTGTTACAATGGTAATTCTCCATAAATTGATCTCTATAGTCAATGTAATTCCAGTCAAAATCACATAAATATCAAATCCTAGCTAATAATGTACATACTAAGCTATTTATAAGGAAGTGAACAAATGTCTGCAAACTACTTTTAAACACATCAGAAAATAAGATGGATTGATGGATGAAGAGATAGATTGATAGATATGTAGTAAAGTAAGAACAGTAAAATATTAATGGTAGAATCTAAGTGGTGGGTATATGGATTCTCACAATACATTTCTTTTAACTTTGTCATGTTTAAAATTTTTCAAAATAAAATATGGGAAAATATAAAATATTTCCAATATGTAAAAGAGTATGGAGAGGAATAAAATGAAAACCCATGTCTCCCACCAACTAGATTAACAGATAAAACATGCAGATACAGTTGAAGTTCCCTAGACACCCTTCAACCTTTGTTCTTCCCCAGAGATAACCAGTCCCTTGATTGGTGTTTATGATGTCCACATATATGCATGACCAAACAGGAATGTGTTTATATACAACAAATAGAATTATGAATATATTGCACGTTTTAAACTGTATGCTACTGTAGATATAAGCTAATAATTTGCTTTGTTCTTCCACTTAGCCTCAAATCTTGGGGATTTATCCAAGAATGGAGACATGAATTTATTTTCATATCTGTAGAGCATTCATCCGTATAAATATGTAGCTATTCATTTATCCACTTTCCTCTAATGAATATTTCTATTAAACCATCTCAAGATGTGGCCTCTCTGAGCCTAGCATAGTAGTGAGATGCTCAGATTCTGGGCATGGGAAGACCTGAGTCCAAACCCTAGCTTCTTGGTTTTGTGGATTTGAGGAAGTCACTTATCTTTCTAAGCCTCAGTTTCCTCATGTAACAGGTAAGGATGCTCATTCTGCTACCTCTGAAGATCATTGAAAAGAAGTACATAAGACGGATGGATAAAAAGCACATAGCAAAGTGCCTGCCACACACACACTCAATATTCTGAGTCTGAAACACAAGGAATAGAAAGTCCTAGGGGTGCCACCAACCCTATTTCACTCAGGCCCAAAAAACACTACTAGGCACTGAAAACTGCCAGCTCTATCTCATAGGGTTAAATTTCCAACGGGGAGGCAGACCCCACACTGCTTGCCCCTAGACCTTCACTCTCAGCCTGGGAAACATCATGCAAAGCCATAAAGGTGGTTTAGGCTGGATCCAGGCAGCTTCCTTCTTTACCGCTGTGCTAACACACCACTGTACCCATCAGGGCTTCAGAAGGTCTCATGAAGGGACTATTCACAGAGGTATAGGCAGGGTTGTGGGGATCAGTAAGGGATGGTGAAACATCCTGGGGCTGGCAACTCTGGGGACCCTTGTTCAATTGAGCCTTCATTTTTTAACTTTATTTACACTTAAGTTTAAAACTGGTACTTTATAGATGGTAAAGTTAGGATTTGAGCCAGCAAACTGGCTCCAGGCTCCAAGCTCTGAGCCACTCTACCCTGCTGCCTCGACCCCAGAGAAATCCTTGTTTGTGTTCAACGTGGCAGGCAAGGATGTCCCCTGCAGCACTGCTTGAGGTGCCAGTGAAAAACTGGAGGCAAACTAATGCCCACTGATGGGAGAATGACTAGTTAACTTACCATAGAGCTCTTCGAGCAGATACAAAGAATGGGGCATGAGAAAGTGCTCTTTAGGGTTCAACACTAAACTGTAAATGGGTTGGTTACCCCTTCGAAGCAATCAGGACTGGAAGGGGGTTGTCAGCATGGACGCTGGCCTTGTCTGTATTGTTGCAGATTATTGTTTTACAGTATTACTTGTGTATTTTAAAGTTAAGTTTTAAAAAGTCATAGATGAATAAGCCAATTATAGAAGGACAAATACTGCATGGTTTCCATTCTATGAGGTACCTAAAGGACTCAAACTCAACTCACAGACGTACAGAGTAGAATGGTGGCTACCAGGAGCCAAGGGGCAGGGAGAAATGGGACATTGCTATGTGGTGAGTGTAGTTTCAGTCCTGCAAGATGAACAAGTTCTAGAAATCTACTATCCAATAGTGCGCATGTAGTTAACACTACTGTACTGTACACTTTAAGATGTGTTAATAGGGTCGATTTCATGTCAACTGTTTTTTACCATGTTAAGAAATATACCTTATCCAGGGCATGTATAAAACTCCTTGGGGTTTCTTTTTTAAAAAACAATATTCCAGGTCATTTGAAATAAAATTACTGGGATAGACTTCCTAAAAGAAACAAAATGTAAGTACAAGGAGAGCATAATTGAAGAATGAGAACTCAGTATCAGGGTGTGATAGAGCCTTGTTCTGCAAGCATGTCAGTCAGGGAGTCAGCACCCAGGCACAGGGAAGCGCTGAGCAGGAGAAGGAAAGGAGGGTCTTGATGCTGGGTGTCAAGGTCAGCCAAGGTCATGCCCCAGCCACTTGCAGACAAGTAGCCCTACCAACAAACACTGCACACCTGGGAGCAGGTGCAGGCAGGCAGAGGCAGAGGCTCTGTTTCTTCATCTGTAAAACAGGCTTAAAAACAATCATTCCAGCCTCCTAGCATGACTGCAGGGGCTAAGGCCATGGCATATCTAAGTGTGGCTTGGTACAAACTAAGTGTTCACTAAGATATTGGCCACCACCATAATCTAGGTATACTCCAATTTTCCAAAGTTGTGATCTGAGATAAAGTAATCAGCTCAGGTAAAAATCTACTTTTGTGCACAGGCTCTTCAAGCATCTGAAATTTACACTTACTTCTTACCAGCCTCCATCAGAGCTCACAGACTCCAATGCAATTGGGAGAGAAAACAAGGCAGATTTGGGGGGTAAGCACCATGTTCTTATTAACGGAAACAGGCTCCCTAAATGCAGCAGATAACATTTGGAACTAGTGTCAGCTAAGCACAATGTGCAGGTGACAGTTAGCTTGGGAAACACTCACCTGTCCTCATTTCCAAGCTCTACCAAAATCTAAGCTCTTAGCTCTCGACTTGATCTGGGCTCCAAGGTTGCAGATTTCAGAGCATCTGTGTCTCTGCACACTTTCCTCAAGGGAAATCTGAGTTTTATTTGGGAAAAGAGACTAGTAAAGCCTGAATTTTTGTTGCCACATGGGGACTGTTCCTCAAATAGGTGACTGTTTTTTTAAATGTAAAAACTAAGCATTAAGATTATTAACCTTTGAAATGGGGGATCATGAGAGAGGCATGAGCTTTGAAGTGGGCCGATCTGGGTTAGGGTCCTGGTTCTGTCACTTTCTGGCTGTGTGACCCTTGGGCAAGTGACTTAGCATTTCTGAGCCTGTTTCTTCATCTCTAAATGGAGGAACCAGTCATTTCCAGAGCTGTCCTGAGGATGAGTGATGACAACGTACATAAGAAACTCATAGCAAGCCCTGCATGTGACAGGTGCATAGGGGGTGGGAGCCACTGCTGAGGGTGGGCTGGGCAGCGGGCGTGTCCCTGTAGTGTGTCTTTGAGGCAGCTTCCAGAATCCACTTAGACACCACTAAGACTGGCACCAAGCATCACAGTCAAATTGCTCCCAGGCACTAGGCTTGGTAGCTTCCTTATCTCATTTACTCTTCACAGCCCAAAAGACTGGTGCTATTACTACTCTCACTGTACAGGAGAGGAAGGCAAGGCTCAGAGAGGTGGAGTGACATGTGCAAAGTCACATAGACAGTAAGGAGGGGAGTTGAGATTTCACCCCAAGCCTTATTGATTCTAATCACTCAGAAAACTTGCCTCTCGAGAGCTTCCTAGGCATACCAGATTCTTTGATCATACTGCCCTACCCACACACCGTCTCCTATTTTCCTTTAATTGATCCAAAACCTGCCCATCGTCCACAGCCTCCTCCTCCAGGAGGCCTGCCCTGATTTACCCCCGTGGACTGCACTAATGACCTTAACCTGATGTCACTTCCTACCCACAGCACTTCCTCAGGTACTTAAGCCATACCTTGCATTGCTAGTTAATGCTCCAGGTCAAGAATGTCTGTTTCCTCAAAGCCTTCCAGACCCCCTGAGCACACAGACCACCTTCCTTCATTTCAGCACCAGGCAGTAAAAGTCTAACGATGTCTAATGTGATGTCTAATTGCTACCAGTTCACCTCTTCATATTGTTGACTAAAGAAAAAAATTAAGTTTTTAAGGAATTAAAATTTGTTTCATTTACAGTCTTATTGTAGACCATCGTCTAGGAGCAGTCTCTTGGAGAGGTTGTTTCAGACTGTTTTGAAACAGTGTTTTACTTTATAACTTATATATAGATTGTACAGGTTCAATGTGTGTAAAATTACATCAAGGTTTGGGGTGTAAGAGTAAATCGGGTTATAGATTATTAAAGTTTGTCTGGTTATAGATTGCAGAAGTAAAATCCCTTTGTCAGATGTTATCTTACATGTAGGAAAAGACAGGAACTAGGATTATTTATCTGTTAAAAAATGTAGTGACTCAGGCAAGAGATGTGGGGGCCATGTGTTCTATTTTGTTTTGTTTTGTTTTGAGACGGAGTCTTGCTCTGTCGCCAGGCTGGTGTACAGTGGCACGATCTCAGCTCACTGCAACCTCCACCTCCTGGGTTCAAGTGATTCTCCTGCCTCAGCCTCCCAAGTAGCTGGGACTAGAGGCACGTGCCACCACGCCCAGCTAATTTTTATATCTTTAGTAGAGACGGGGTTTCACCATGTTGGCCAGGATGGTCTCAATCTCTTGACCTCAGGATCTGCCTGCCTCGGCCTCCCAAAGTGCTGGGATTACAGGCGTGAACCACTGCACCTGGCCTTGTTTTGTTTTTAAAGTATTTTTCCCAAAAGTTGTAAGTCATCACAGGGTCGGGAGTTTCGTGAACTTCTGCTGGCAAGTAGAAATGACCAAACATGGCTTTTTACATTTGTTATTTTTCTTACAAGTTTTCGCTTTTGTTCATAAACCAACTGGCTGGTATTTATAAAATCAGTGTTGATTGTCTCATGTAGTTAGGGAGGCTACTTTTTTAGGAAGCTCATGGTCTTTAGTTGTAACCATAAGGAATGAGCACTGAGCCCAGAGTGTATATTTGTCTATCAGAAAATACTATTTGGATCATATCTTTTTTTTTACTAATATGATCTGGGGTTTTTTTGACATTGTCTTTTTTGTAGCCAATATAACATCTTAACAGGATTGTTATAAGAATATTATAGATTACATATAATGGTACATATTTAACAGTGCTAAAGTATATTATAGATTGGAAAAAACATAACTAATAAAATCGCAATATATATTTGCATAATTTTTATTAATTGTATTGGGTGTAGGAACACATCTGGTTAGAGATTACTAAGCACATCTGGTTATAGATTGTAGAAGCATAAACATTCACCCTGTCAGGTATTATCTTATGTGCAGGAAAAGGCAAGAACTAGGATCATTTATCTATTAAGAAATGCAGTGATTCAAGCAAGAGATGTGGGGGCCATGTGCTCGATCCTGTTTTGTCTTTAAAGCATCCTTCCGGAGAGCTGCACATCATTACGGAGTCAGGAGTTTTGTGAAATTATGCTGGCAAGTAGAAATGAGCAAACATGGCTTTTATGTTTGCTCCTTTGCCTCACAAAATAAATTCAAATAAGAAGTGATCAGGAAGAGCCAAGATTCTTCTACAATATTCACTTCTAAGTCATTCACTTAGAAATTACTGCATTTGAGACAAGAATCGTCAATGGATGCCAAAAGTTATAAGCAAAAGGATGATGCAAAACAAGATAAATGTGTAATCTCAAACAATCTTCCCAGGTGTTATTATTACCAACTACAAAGGGGGAAACAGCAACTTTACAGTGGAGAAACGGGGCAGACACAAACTTAACCATCACTGCTGAGAAGACACATCAGTTACCTCCTGATATGGTGCACTGAGGAGGACAGAGCACTTCACTGGTATTCTGGCCAAACAGGTACATCCTCAATCCAATCATGAGAAAACACCAGACAGACCCAAATTGAGGAACTTTCTCAAAAATAACTGGCCAGCAGTCTTTAAAAGTGTTAAAGTCATAGAAAAAAATATAAAAAGAAGTGTAAAAAAACAGAATGAAGGAGACAAGCAAGATATAACAACCCTGTGCTGTGGGGTTCCTGGAGCAGAAAAAGGATACCAGTGGGACAGCTGGCAATTTTTAAGAATGTCTGTTAAATAACAATATACCAACATTAATGTCCTAGTTTTGATATTTGTATTGTGGTTACATAAGATATTAGCATTAAGGGAAATAGAAGTTTTAGACTTTTCCATAAGTCTAAAAGGATTCCAAAATAAAAAGCTAAAAAATTTTTTAAAAAGTAAAACAAAATGAAAATGTCTTACATACTGTGGTTTCCTTCATGGCTCTTAGCATGGGTTTCAATTGTGTGTATTTCTATTTATTTGTGTGTTTGCTGTCTCCCCCCCATAGAGAGTGTGAATTTGATTAGGGATGGGAGCATGGGTGCTTGATTTCAAAAAAAAACAAGGAAATTAGAAGGCAAACCAAAGATATGCCACATATAATAGGCGACCACAAAACACTTGTACAATCAAAGACCACTACATAGAGCTGGCAGCCTCCAGGGCACCGGGAGAACGCACCCAACAGATTTCTGCCTCCAACCCAGGGATGGGGGAGACTGAGGCTAACCAGCAGGTAATGCCTGGGGTGCAACTAAGGCTGCATTGTCTTCTCATGGATAAGACAGTCAACACCAGCCAGGTTTCCCAGGGCGTGACATGAGTCCTGGGTCTGCAGATGGTTCTGATGCACAGGTGTGGCCTTAATAACATCAAGTCCTGGAGGGAGACAAACATCCCCATCAAGGTCTCCTTTAAGCCTCTGATGACTTCCAGTGGTGACTCAGTGTGGCCCTGGCCTCTCCATAGCACATGCTCTTCTTCTTCTACAGAGACCAGGCCACAGGTCCCCGGTCTTCGGCAGGTGATGGTGCCTACTTAGAACTTAATGGCATTGTTTTTTGTTGTTGCTATTTTATGTTAATTTATTTTTATAATACCCTTTCATGTTAACAAGTAATATTGGTTTCCATTTATGGTACCAGATGTTAGGTTTCCTTTCTAAATGCATTCATATGAGTTTTAAAAAGTGATATGATTTAAAGACAAAGAGTAAACAAAAACTGCACAGAAGGCACGGGTACATGATTTAACTTATGAAGGTGGCACATGATGGTATCTGATATGACCCAAAAAACTCAAAGCCAGTGTATGAATTACTCAAGTTTAGGATACACTGGCATAGCCCATTGTTTGATTAGAGGTGACGAATCAGTAATCACATTACAGGTAGGAGGAAACTTTTGCCAGAATTGCATCCCCTATGTGTCCTAACTTTCAATATTTATGAAATTGTTACTTATTTATATCATGAATTCATACAATCTTGACGATTCATTTATTCATTGCCATTGTTCCCTTTATCTGGGAACAATGCCTCACAATACCTAGGATACATTCATTCATTCAACAAGTATTTATTGAGCACTTACTATGTGGTAGACAATGTTCTAGATCCTCAAGATACATCAAAAATACAGGAGACAAAGGTCCCTGCCCTTATGGAGATGACTTGCTAGCAGGAAAAGCAGACAATAAACAATGATATCTTACGTCGTTAACACAAATATAGTAGGTCAAAAAATCAGGACAGGGCAAGAGGCCCAGTGGGGCAGGGGGTGCAGGATTAAGTAGGAAGCTAAGGGTGAGTTATTGAAGCCGGTGCAGAGGCCCTGGGTAGGAGCATGCCTAAAGGCCAAAAAGGGGGTGGGCCAGCATGGCTGTTGCTGAGTGGGGAGAGGAAAAGTCATGGGAGATAACAGGTCCAGACCACGCAGGGCCTTGTAGGCAACATGGCGGCCTGAGCCTTAACTCCAGAACAGACTACACGGGCAAAAATGGAGGCAGGGAGACCTCAAGGGGGCTCCTGTAGATGTCCAGCCAGGAGGGGATGCTGGCTTAGACCTGGGTCATAGCAGTGGAGGTAGATAGAGTCTATATATTTCAGAGGAAGAACTCTAGAATTTACTGATGACTCAGCTGTGGAGTGTCAGAGAATAGGGAGAATCAATCGTGGTTACTGGGTGTTTGGCCTGAACACCCAGGAGGAAGGTGGCTTCCAAGTTAAAGGAAGAGTCTGACCTGACCACAAAGTTGACACTTCATAAATAGTCACTTAAAGCATAAACTGTCCCCACGTACAGATTGGGAAACTGTGGCACAGAGAAGTTAAGTAACTTTCCCAAAGTCACACAGCTGGTATGTGGCAGAGTCAGGATTCAAACCCAGACAGTCTGGCTTCAGAGTTCACATTCTTAACCACTGGGCTCCACCGTCTAAGAGACGGAGAGGTCAGCCCAGGAGGCTCTCTGTGTGAGCTGAGAAAACCCTATTTTAATAAATCAGAGATAAAGCTTCCCAGGACCTCTCTCAGCCCCAGAGATATTATATTTGGAGGGGGCAGAATTTCATAATATTTCAAACTTTCCTGGAAGTGTAGCAAAGACCTACCCCAACTCCAGCCTGGCACTTCCCTGCCACCAGCCCCCAGCCCCCTCCAAACCCCACTTGATGACCCTTTGCTGAAGGGTTTTTTCAAGGCATGGGTGAGATGTACGTGCTAATGCTGCACAGAATCTATCTTGGTATTAGAGAATCACCGATTTAATTTTTGTTCAGACGGGCCCCTCTACAATGTGCAGTCTGAAATAGCAGCATGGCACGTGGAATGGTACACATCTGTTTCTTTTCCATGTGTCTCCAGCTCTGAAATTCGATCTCAGCAAATCTTGTGCACATTCACGCTTTGATCTGGGTCCTCACCTAAGCCAGAATGAAATGTGTCACATCTCATTCATAAGAGACATGATTAAAACAGACAATCAGTTACGCTGGGAAATAACACATTTCCTTAGGCCTAAGAAAAGTATCTTATTTCGAGAGACTGAATATACAAATGGACAACGGCCAGACAACATATAACAATACAACTCTGATCTTCCACCGTGCAGCAGCCAGGAAGTCAAGCCACAACCTCTGCAACAATCAGCCTAGAATAGTGATAGCCTGGTCAATGACTCCCAGCTCTTCTCTTTTCTGCCTCTGCTTCCAACTCCGGGCCAACCAGAGAAAGCCAACTGTGCTCCCAAGCCCATCACATAAAATGTCTGCTTCTAGCTATCCTGCCTCCAGCTCCTCCAGGCCAAAACCCTCCAATCCAAGCACACCTGAAGCTTTCTCATTCCTCTGCCTGCCTTTGAGTCTCTGCTAATGCAAGTGCTGGTGACCAACCCCCACTGACACAGTAAGCTCTGAGTAAATATTCCTCTGTTTGTTCTCATTTGGGTGGTCTTCATTTATATCCACAATCTCAATGCATTTTTCTCTGGCCATCAAATAAAGCTTAATAAGTAATCTAAATGCTGACCCAGAGAGCTTTAGTAGTGAATAAAGATCAGTCCCCAACCAGACAAGCAGAAGAGCCCAGAAGAGTGTTTTAAAGTGGGGGCTCTCAACTCACACATGCAGGCCTGCACCCCAATTCCACCATTTCCCCAATGCATGACCTCAGACAGGTAACCGCTCACCTCTCAGAGTCGCAGTTTCCATATCCATAACATGGACGTGACTAGTACTTACCTTGTATGCTGGCTGTGATAACACAGTGAGGGAATGTATAGAAAGGGTAAATGCAGAACCTGGGACAAGTACACATGATAATTTAAAAGTATGAATTAACAGTATCAATTAACACATATTAATTATAGCATAAAAGAGAATTGGTGTGCCAGGCACTCTTGTAAGTGCTTTACATGAAGTAACTAATTCACTCCATAATGCCAGCGATAATGGAGGGTGGTTTCACTCCCTGTGATGCACCCACTGGTCACTTCTGACTCCCACAAACACGCATAATGAATTGGCAATGCCTGCCTTTATAGATGAAAATCTAAACTCCCTTTTTAGCATTGCATCCTTTTTTATCCCAGTACTGAATCAGGGTTTCAAAATTCAAATACCCTCAGGAGCCAGATGGGTGACATATCTGAGTGAAATGGGCCAGGTGTGAGACAGAAGGGAGTGGTGGGGACAGGGGTGAATTAGACAGTTTATGATGCAGCTAAAGGGGGTGAACTACAACCAGCTAGTTCTAATTTGCTAAATCTTCAAAATTTTCAAAGAAAATGGTATATAAAATCTCCCAGTTGTTAGAGATTGGTAACTCTCTTAAATATTTGAAAGAATGCCAGGTGGGCTAAATAAGGCACACCTCTATGGGCTGAATTTGGCTACCGCCACCAGTTTTACAAACTGTTGAGTAGATGTTTTTCCTTTAAGTAAGCATCAAGTCCCCACAACTAAAGTTTAAACAAAGATTTGGGAATTTGAGAACATCCTTTGGCTGAACTGCCTCCTCTGGTCCTCTCCCTCTCCTGTCGCTTTAACTCCAAAGGCCAAGAATCTAAAATCTTGGTGGGTTCCCTAAAGGAAGAGGCTGCTGGAGGGCTGCAGACTCACAGTCCAAATTCCAAAGGCCCCAAGGATGCTATTTCCAGGAGGCTGACAGTTCATTGCTTGATTTTTCAAGGCCAAGTCAGAATTAAAGTCCATTTCAGCTCTAAAATTAACTTCTTAGGGAAAAAAGAAAAATACCTGAGGGGTTTCTACTTACCAAGAAGATAATACTCTAAGGCTTTCTACAGTCTGGATGTTGAGTCCTCTTCTAGTCTCATCCCTAAATGAATCTCCTCTTCCCTAAATTAACCCTTAGCTCTGGCCTGACTGGGCCCCTCCTTGTCTGTTAGAGGCAGTGAGCTGTGGGGGATGAAGGGCACAAGCTCTATGGTCAGATCACAGGGGTTCACACCAACCACTCCCTACCTGTGTGACCCTGGACACACTACTTGACTTCTCTGTGCCTCAAAGAAAAAAGGGAATAATAATAGCACTTGCCTCTTTCAGTTGTCTGTTGACAGAGTTTAATCAGTTAATTCATGTAATGGACTTACCACATGGGCTGAACCATTCTAAGTCTCAATGAATGTTAGCTAATGCTGGGTATGCCACTGCCCGGCCTGAAATGCCTTTCCCAGCCAGACTCCAAGGCTTTGCTGACCACCAGACCATCTGCCCTCCTTTTCCTCTAACTTCCCATCCAAAATATTATCTCTATATCAGGAGTAGCAAATAAGTTTAGTCTTATGTGCCAACCCCCCACAGCAGTGATAGGGGCTGCCTGAAGGGGTGGGTTCAATGTCCTCCATGGCAGAGGGAGTGCTGAAGTGCTGCAGTTGATTGGTAATGTCTGCCATGGCAGAGGGAGTGCTGAAGTGCTGCAGTTGATTGGTAATGTCTGCCATGGCAGAGGGAGTGCTGAAGTGCTGCAGTTGATTGGTAATGTCTGCCATGGTAGAGGGAGTGCTGAGAGGCAGAGGCAGTGAAGCCATCCCTTGGCCATTCTTGGTCTACAGCAAGCATATGACACTGCCTTATACTAAAAGAATCTCTGTGGGGTTGGATTTCAGGCTTCTCTAGTTTCTATCAGAGCCAAGAACTGGTTTTAGACCACCCCACCCCTTCCAGTGGAGTGACTAGCACAGGGCTCAGTCCACACCAAGTTTTGAATCAGTAACAGCCAAAGGCTAAATCAAGAGGCTCCAAATAGAATCTTGGCTTCTTCCAGGCTACAAAACCTACTTGGGATCTGCCAGAGCCTCGGAATCCTGTTGGTGGGCATCTGAATAAGCACAACTCCAAAAAGGCATGATCAGCCTCAGTCAGGATTGGAAGGAGCACACTAGACTCACAATGAATTCTCCATTTCTCCTTCTTTGCATCTGTAAAGCAAGGTTCACTTATGTTGGAATTTATATGCCCAGTTCCTGAATGCCAGGGAAACAACAATAGGCTAACATTCACTGAGGACTCACAATTTGCCAGGCATTGTTCTAAGAACTTTATTAAATTATTTAATCTTTACCACCACCCCAGGAGATAGATTTCATCACTATCCTTATCATACCAATGGGGAAACTAAGGTCCAGAGACGATAAGTGACTTGCCGAAGGGCACACAGCTGGTATATGGCAAAGCCACCACTGTCTCCTACTGATATCCATTTTTGTGAGCAAAATTAGGAAAAGACAGCCTTGTCCCCCCAGCACATAGAAGTCCCCTACTTTTAGCGATCCTAAAACCAAATCTTGATCATACAGATAGAGGCTGCTGACTCATTTTAACAAAGAATTATTTACTGCAGAGAAAGAAATTGTCTTAGAAAGCTCTTTCGTATATTTAGAAGTTGGAATTCATTTACAAGGTTTCCACTGATATGCAGCATTGTAGGATTCTGCCTGACACATCAAACAGGGCAGGGATAAGGCCAGACTATCATGTGAGAGCCTTAAAGGCCTTCCTGAAGAAGAAGCACTTGAACCTCACAGTCTAGAACGCAGAGTTCTAGAACAGTTGTATTTAATCCTGGTTTCACAACAGATTTACTTGGGGGAGCCTTCAGAAAATATAGATGGCAGCAGGATCCTTGTTTGGTTCTGTCAATAGGGGGTGCTAGAGGGAGACTGGCAGGTGGAAGGTGGGAGAAAGAATTTTCTCCTCTTTCCATTGGCTTCCTATTTGCTTCTTGTTCTGATGAGTGGCACCCAGCCTTGCTGCTTCATGACAGCAGCTGCAATTCACTTCCATAATAGCAGATGAATCCAGTTTGCAATATTTCCAACCATTGAAAAACCAGTTTTACGACTCCTAGCCCTGGTGACACCAGCACAGGCTGTGCCCTCTTCTCAGGGGTTTTAGTTGCTGCTCTACAGGGTCCCTGCTCCAAGCTCCAAGTTTTTGAAACTTTTAACTTCTTCCCTTATTCTCCCAGCTGGAGGGATGATAGCCGCTTTCTGCAGCTGCCTCTTCCCTAGTACCTCAGTATTGCCTTCTTGACTTTTCAATTACCTAGTTAACATTTCTTTATATATAGTTTATGGTTCTTTATATTAAATTCTTGCTTTTAATATACTTATGTTGTCTCAGTCTCTTGGCTGGACTTTGTTTCCCCCAGTTTTGAACTGTTTCTTTGTCTGCCCCCGTATTCCACTCATCCTTAAAGATCTAGCTCAAAATGAAAAATTTTCTGCCCACTGCAACACACATAACTCTCTTCTGTGAATTCCTGTAGACTTTAGGGTCTCTACTACTCAAGCTTCAACATGATCATATATTGCAGGGGTTGGCAAACCATGACCCCTGGGCTAAATTCAACCTTCTGTTTTTGTAACTAAAGTTTTATTGGAACCCAGCCAAGCCCATTCACTTATGGCTGCTTGCATGCTGCAACAGCAGAGTTGAGACATCACCAGAGAGACTACATGGCCCATGATGTCTTTTCACCATGTGGCCCTTTCCAGAAGCTTTCTGACCCCTGGTCTATTGTCTTGTGTGGGTCTCTATTTAATGTTTTGAATCTCTCACTACACTGGATACTGAGAACTGCAGAACTCTCAGCACATGACAACTCCATCCAAACCCCCGCACTAAAAAACTTCACCAAACTCTAATATGGCTTCTAGCAGCATAAGGCTAGCTCCCTAGGATCACTTTTGCACCTCTTATAGTACCTGCTTAAGAAAGCTCAGCATGGCCAGGGAAATTTCCTGTTTGTTCCAGCCAATGCACACCTGATGATACGCCCCTGACCTCCCTTTCCTACAGCATTTATGAGAAAGGGCTTACAATTGTAAACATCTGTCTCTTGCAACTAAGACGCATCCTCCCAAGCACCTGAGAGCCATTCTTCTGAAACAGAATCATCAGCAAAGACAATGCCTCTGTCTCACAGCCTCTGTGGGAAGATAAAATCCTAACTTTGATAACTGCCAGCCAGCAGACGCAGCTGGCCTCCTTGCACTCACACTGCCCAACCCTTTGTACTATGTCGCTTCTCTGGCTCTATGGAGACTCCACTCTTCCCCATCCCTCATTCTCCCTTTAAAACACACAGATCATAAATTGTAATGAAGCTCAGCTCTTTTACCTACTGTCCGTAGTTACTGAATAAAATCTGTTTTCACCACTTTAATGACCAGCTGTATTCATTTTTGACAATAGTCAGCAAATGATCAACACCCATTTTATTCATTGACAATTCATTGATTACTAAGAGTTGGCTTCTGTTCCATCCCACCTGGCAAAGCCTCTTACCTAAGAGTGAACTGGTCTGCCACAGAGCTACTGGTCAGAGAGACCAAAAAGGTGGCCGTGTCCCCTTCCCGGACTAGATTCAGAGGTACCGAGATGACCACATTCTCGTCCAAGCTCACCAGGGACCACTTCAGATCATCTTGGGTTGGGTAGACCACCACACTCCCAATCCTCTCTCGGGCTGGAAACGCTTGCTGGGGGCTCTCCAGGCCCGAGTGGATATTGTTCTCCCACTTGCCTTCCTCCTCCAGAGGACACTGGCCAGCCTTGTCAGCTGGGTAGAGCGTGAAGAAGAGCTCCATCGTGGTGCCCCCGAGCAGGGCTGGGATCTCCTCCTCTGGTTCCAGGTCCAGGCCTGAGCTGAACCACTCGGGCAGCAGCTCCAGCTCAGCCACACACAGCCCTGGGGCCCCTTGCAGCCGACAGCTGGCTGCCACTTCCCTGGCCTCAGGGAAAGCAAACATCTTGACACAGGGTAGATCTTCCGTAAGGTCACTGTCATCCCAGCCCATGCCAGTGACATAAAACAAGGTCTGCACTTTGGGTCTGTTGGAGTAGATGGAGCTGTCAAGGATGTGGGATTTCAATTTCCAGTTGAAGGGAAATTTGTCCATGTTTCCAAAGGCTGTAGATGTCAACAGGAGCTCCTGGGGGATTATCTTCTCCACTGAAAATGGGCCATAGCTGGCATTGATAATAGGGGGTGTCCTGGCTCGGTAGATGAAGAATGGCTCCACCCGGGCCTGCAGACTGGAGTTCCTTGTGAGGTCTTGGTTGGCTTCTTTAAGGAAAAAGGACTCCTCTGCATTGGAGATGTGCAAGTTCGTGGGGAGGTAAGCAGGGAGCGAGGAAAACTTCTGCAGGCTATCCACAATCCCTCGACTCTCTGTCACTGCACAAGAAAGGAAAGCAAAAGAATAAAACCGTGTTCTGAGATGTAATGAAATAAATGCAGTGCAGTCTCCACCCACCTCCCCAACAAACCGCCCACTGGCCACTGTTTCTCCCCCAGGTCTCATCACAGTGAAAGCCCTGTAATTATATAAAGTATGGTCTTCAGGATCTTCCCAAAAAGACAGCACAGAGTGGGGAGGAACCCCATTTACCACTGATCCAATAGTCTTGGGGGTGAACAGTTATCTTTCTAAAGGGAAAACATTGCTTCTGCTGCTTGTGCGAAATCATAAACTCAAAAGATCATGGTCATCGTTGTTCATCTACCCCACAGATAAAAGGTTGCGTACCTACCAAGTCTACCAATCAGGCATTGCACCATTGTATGTGACACGTTAGTGCCTTATTACTTTGATATTTATGCTGCTCTCTATCACTTCTATAAGTACAATCTACGTGGACATGATGACATCTCTACTATTGTTATTGAAAAGAGAGTGAAGCTACCGCTCAGCTTTCCTACTTCTAGAACTCTCTCCTTCCGAAATACCAATGAGAATGCACACAGGCTTATCTATCTACAAGGATGTTCACCACACCATCATTTAGAATTGCAAACAAACAAACTTAAGAACATATGTGCTGAGCCGGATGGCTGGATTTGAATCCTGGCTTTGCCACTTCCTAACTGAGCAACCTTCACCAAGTTACTTAGCCTCTCTGTGCCACAAATGTCCTCACATAAAGTAGGACAAACATGAATTCTACCTTACTGGGTTGCCGCAAGGATTAACGAGTTAATAAGTACAAAGCACCGCCAGGTGTGGTGGCTCACACCTGTAATCCCAGCACGTTGGGAAGCCAAGGCAGGTGGGTCACTTGACCCCAAGAGTTCAAAACCAGCCTGAGCAAAACAGTGAGACCCTGTCTCTACAAAAAAAAAAAAAAAACACAAAAATTATCCAGGCATGGTGGCATGTGCCTGTAGTCCCAACTACTTGGGAGGCTGAGGCAGGAGGATCTTGAACCCAAGAGGCGGAGATTGCAGTGAGCTGGGATTGCACCACTGCACTCCAATCTGGGCGACAGAACAAAACCCTGTCTCAAGAAAAAACAAAATAAAATAAAGCACATAGAACAATGCTGGCACACAGAAATGTGCTGTCAATATTCACCCACAATTATTATTTTAATCCATATTCAATAGGTTGATCAACAGGAAACTAAACATTTACAGTGGAATAATATGAAACTATTTCTTAAAATGCGGTAGAGCTACATAAACATACTTGAAAAGATGGCCACAATATGACATTAAGGATAAAAAAACAAATAAAGTGTAAAAAAAACAAAAATCAAATGTGTCATATTTGATCCTATTTGGTAAAGTTTTAAAATTCTACATATGTATATGTAAATGTATATATTTATGTTTGTGTGTCTATAGAACCCAAAGGCGAAAGTTTTTGTTTTTCACCATTTATGTTTCTGCTTTCTTTTAATTTGTTACAACCATGTATTATTTTGTTAATTAAAACACACAGCACATATACATAAACATGTACACATGAGTACATACATGTATGTGTGTTTCTTAGCATGTTTCTTTCAAATGGGAAAACACAGACAGCAAAGACCCAACAAGCTTTTTCAAAGTGAAGACAGCCCACCAGGAACCAGGGTCAGCAAAGCAGGCCAAGGGCAGACAGAGACTTTTTTTTCTTTTGCCCTAAAATGAACCTCCACCACTGGAGTCCTGTTTTCCAACCAGTGCAAGAAGAAATGGCACCTGACCGTGGCGCTTAAAATGCAGCATCCCAGAGGAGGAAACAGCAGAGAAATCCCACTCCATTCCCTCTGGCTCCTGGTGGCGTATTTTTCTGCAGCCATTAAAAATTCTGCAAAATATAGCTTCTATTGATTTAAACACTTTTTGGCCTGTTTGGGGCTGTGCTTGGTGAGCTTTCCTTTTCTAGAGGGTGAGAAAATCGTAACTAGATTGTGAAAAAGATACAGCCCACGTACGGGCTGATGCATCCTTTTTCTAAGAAGGCATTCAGAAAGCAAATTCTCCTCAAATGTCATCAACATGGCCAGTCCCTTGTTAGATTCATTACTCCAGCAGGGTAATTACTTATTCATTCCTCCAATTACTTACCTAAATATACTTATTATTCACTTATTATCTTTCCAGCATTGTGGCATGTAAAAATATTACAGGGACAATGCAGTCATGAATTCTGCCCCCAAGGAACTAGAGACTATGTTCAGCCAATCGGAAGCTCTGGAGGACACGGCTAACATTCAGAAAGCAATTCAGAAATTGGGCATTAAGATACTTAAAAATGCCCATCCCAGGAATTCACCTAGGAATTTGTTCTAAGGAAATAATCAAGAGATCAGGAAGGAGATTAATGTGCAAGTATGTTTATCGCAAGCATGATTTATAACAGCAACACACTGGAAGCAGCCCAAAAACCTGTCATTAGGGAAATGATCAAATAAGTGATTTAAGCCACACTATGTGTGTGACATTAAACTGCCATCAAAACCATGACTTCAACAAATCTGTAGTGTCAAGAGAAAACACAATATGTTAATTGAAAACGACCTCATAACTTCCTTTAAATTATCTCAAATCTATTTAAACACACGATATAGTCCCTTCCATAGTATAGACCTGGGTTTCCTCCAGAATGATGTCCATACAGGCTTGGCAGGATTTGGATCAAAAGATAGAGGAGGGAGAAATGATTTTGAAGAATTAGCCTCATCTAAAGTTTTAGCTGCTGCCGCCACCAAGGGGCAATCTGTATTTTGACAATGTCGAGCAATGCAGAAGCACCTCTCCAGATGAAATTTAAATTAGTGCTTTTTGTCATTGGTTTACTTCCCCTCTCCAAACCAGGAAGTGAAATTCAGGTGAATTTGCTCATGAATTACTTGGCAACAGGAACACCGTCAGCAGGAAACATCTGCCTTATGCAGCATCACAATATCTTTCAGCTGGGCTAAGCAGGCACACCAGACTTGGAAGTGAGTGGCTTGAATTTTACTTCTCGTAAAATTTAGGGGAAGTCCAACATAAGGCTTAAATTCTGATTTATTTACAAATAAGGAAAAGGAAATTAAAATAAATGCAAACTTTAATATGCTCTGTTTTCACTGTAGATTGGTTTATTGTTTTCTTTATCTTTTAAGAAGGTATTTTATACCTCTCAAAAATTGATTTACAAGAAATGTAAAGCTGCACCTTCTCTTCTTCATTGTAGCCAAAGCCTCCATTTTATCTGAAATAGCAGTGTAAGGTTTACACTCCTGTCCCACCATAACTCAAGCAAAATGCAATACAAATTTTGTCTGAAAGTGTATATGGAAAGCCATAAACGTCAGCTACCAGAGCCTTATTCTGTCCTCAAACCAGATTGCAACAAAATATAATATCTGAATTTAGGAGCATTTTATGAAGCCACGGGACTGTGTCCTGAGAAATACACTGAAAAGCTAACACTCTTCCCTTTAATCCCAAAATGTCACATAGTAACACCATTCTTTTTCCCATTGGCAGGTAGACCGTGTGGCCCGCGTTCTGAACGTGAAATGAGGCCCTATTCAGTCTGCCGATTTCCTAGAGAGGTATTTACCACTGGACAGAACGAGGTGGGCCCTGAGAGCAGGAAATGAGGAAGGAGCAATGAGGCCCAGCTGAAAAGAACTTCTCATCACTGCCCTCCTTATGAGCCAAGAAGAGAGTCAAGTTCAGGTTCAGAGAGAACACAAGGTGCACCAGACAGATGCTCTGTGGCTAAAGGATGCTCCGACTCAAAATACCAATGGCAGATGGCTCCAAGGAAGCCCTAAAGACAGCCTCGGCAGGAAGAGAGGGGAGGAGATTAATAATATTACTCCTAGAATGAAGCAACTCACAGGGTGCCGGGAATCCAGGCAGGGAACCTGTGACCCAAACTGAGTGAGTGGATGTCACTGCTGTGCTTAGCACACAAAAAACATTCCTGGACATGGACCTTAGTCAGCACTGGTGGGACATGAATCCCTGAACCCCAAGATGGTACAATGTGAACCTGCTACAACATGGGACACACTCAGAAATCAGTCCCTTTCACTGTTAGCTCCAGTCATGTCTGGGAGCTAACTTGCCAGTCTTGTGGCTACTGGTGACCCACTTAGGGTACAGGCCCACAACATTTCTGAGGCTGAGTCTCCTCTAATTCACACAAAACAACTCAGGCATCGAGAGCCAGGTGTGGAAAGTTCTCTTTCCAGTGGGCCAGGTGGCCAGGTGACCAGGTCACCAGGTCTTTGAAAAACACCAGGAAGAGAAACTCCTTACTGGTCTGTCAAAATGTGGCCCTAACAACTGATACAATTCACTACCACCTGGGTACCGCGGGAATAATCACAACCCTTACTGATTTCATGGTCGTGAAGGCCAGGAGCCAAAAGGAGGCCTTTGTCAGCATTAATATTAGTTCAGGTTGGTGCAGTAAATGTCATCTCTGGCGGCGGCGGAATGGACTAGAAAATCTTCCATGCTGTCTTCCACCCAGAGTTCTCCCATCTATTTCCACAGCTCCACTTTGGTGCTGTTTTCACATAGTTCTCCTTGCCCTTACTTGCACTTGCTGGGGAAGCTCATCACCCACATGTGAGCAGAGAAGACTCCTTCTGGTCTGGATTTCTTAGCTCAGAGACACCTTCTCTGAGCTGACCAGCAACTTCAGCCATTCCACTCATGCCAATGTAGTTCCCTGCTCCCTTGCTCTCTCCTTCCACGTGTGTTCAGCCAATTGGAAGCTCTGGTAGAAGACTGGCGGGTAGGAAGAGGGGAGAACCCAGGGTATTTCACCCTGTGTCTCTTCCCTGCAGCATTCACTGGCAGAAACTGCATCTCCTCTGTGGTTCTAACCCCATATAAAACCCCCACCATGGTCCCAGTTTCCTGTAGCAGGTTCTAATGCTTAACCCAGCAGCTTCTGGGTTCTGATAACCTAACCTCTTCCCCTTTTCCCTCTAGCCCAAAAGGTGACAACAGCTTCCAGCTCCTGCTGTTCTTAATTTCTAAATCACTTTACCATCCCCAGATGGTACTTTATCATCCCCAATTTGGTTTCTCAGATTTTCCAGCACCAGAGTAACTAATTCCCTTTATTAAATTCCCTCTGTAGAAATAACTAGAGTGATTTGTTTTCCTGACTAAAGCATGACTACTATATCCAGTCACTCATCACTCCATCCTGCTATATTCCCTCAAAGCCACTATCACCATCTGAAATTAGCCTTTGTGTTTTTCCTTGTTCCCTTGTTTACTATCCATTCTGTCTACTAAAATTCAGATACCATGAGAGAAGGGGCTTTGATGTCCAGTTTACGGCACAATCTCCAGTACCTAGCAGGAGAAATTAAATAGATATTTGCTGAATGAATGTCCATCAATTAAGACTGCCTTGGTTTAACGCTTGAGAGAATAAATCTCTCTGTGTTCCTTCTGAGTTTCTCTCTGGCTTCTTCCCAGGGTTGTTAATAGATACTGTTTTTATTAACACAGCATTTGCCCATCACACTATCACTCCATTC
Organism: Homo sapiens; assembly: GCF_000001405.40. Taxonomy (NCBI): domain Eukaryota; kingdom Metazoa; phylum Chordata; class Mammalia; order Primates; family Hominidae; genus Homo; species Homo sapiens. Next base: position 125,343,854 of record NC_000012.12, on the reverse strand, counting down.
ATTTGGTCCTAAAATATCACACCACTGTGGTCACTAAGCTGGCAGCTATGTTTGCCAACCAAAGAGCTGCAATTCTCAAGTAGAAGGAGAAAATATCGCTTAAAGGGAGATGCACACCATTTACAGGCCAACACACCTAGGCATATTTACCAGTCATGCCAGTTGATTATCACAGCAGTTGTAAAATAAGTTCTGTTAGACCGTTTTCAAAAAATTATGAAACTGAGGCACAGAGAAATTAAGCAATTTGAACATGGTCAACGTTAGAATTCATACCAGCTCTATCCAATTCCAAAGGCTTTCCACTTTCTCATATTACCTGAGGGCCTACCTGGCCTGGCAGTTCTACAATGAGGCCAAGGAGTTAACCATTTGGAGGTCATCTGAAGGAGCCGAAGCTTAATGCTCACAAGGCCAGGTTCATGGACACAATCCCTGTACACCCAATGAGGTTTTCATTGCTCCATGGTCACAGGTGACTGTATCTCCCATCCCAGGTACCTGTTACCAGCCTGGATTCTCAGGTAGAGCAGGAAAATAGGTACAGCTGACCCAGAGCATCTCAACCCAGCTGCTAGCAAAACAGCCAGTGATCCCTACCTTTAAGACACTAATAAAGATGGAAAAACATTACTACCTATAAACCACCTTACATATCCTGGAGCCTCAGGAGGAAGATCCTATGCAACAATTTGGGCCAAATGCTCTTGGATTAAGGTGGTCATTCATTAATAACAGCTGTGGTGGGGTGATGCTGTAAATTCCCAGTTTGCTCCTACCTCCAGCTGTATCCCTTTATTGTACCCTGGAGAACAGACCCTTCCACACCTCAGCATTTGAAACACGATTCATTCATTATAGAATCAAAAAAGAAAGGTAGCAAATACTTGACTACTGAATTCCAAGGCCACCAGTATAAAAGCAAGATGCAAGAAGTCAGGTGAGTCTCCACTTTTCTCAACTACATAAAACACATCATGGCCTGAGAAAGAAGAAGAGACACTACAGACAGGCAAGCAAAAGGCCACCAGTGGCAGCCGGTCATCAGGCAGGAGTGACACTTGCCTTTTGTCCCAAGATTCTTCTCACCCCTCAAGCTGGGCAGCCCTGCTTGGCCAAGCTGGGGCTCACAGGAACAGGAAGCAGATATGAGGCAGACAGAAAGCAGATGAAGGGCAAATAGGAAGTCAGCAGGAGCAAATGGGAAGCAGACAGGGAGAGAGAGGAAGTGGAAAGGAATCAGACACAGAACAAAATGGAAGAAGCAGATAGTTCCTGCTCCCAGCTCCAGCCTTGCAGTTGCCTCTATCTTCCCTTATAGGCAGGACCTAAGAAGGAACACCTGACTAAGAGTGGTTTTGCAGAGACCCACCCCTAGCATCACACACCAGAGAATAGAAGAGCAAGTTTAAAACTTAGAGCCTATAATGTAATAACTGACACATCCCACTTAACAGAGGAGGAAACTGAGGCACGGGGTGAGGGGAGTTAAATTACACAGTTAGTAAATGATGGTGGCAGGACAGGAATCCTGGAAAACTGGCTCTATGAATTGCACTGCTAACCATCCCCGTACAGCCTCACATTAAAGAAGTTGATGGGAGAATTCTTATTCCCAGAACTTCAGGATGATCCATAATTCCTTCTTGGTCCAGAAGGATACATGAAGATCCTAGAGCGGTGTATAAGGTAAAAACCTAAAAGGTGGGAATCTTAGATAAAAAGTCAGAATCCAGAGTGGCTTGTCTCTATCAGAGTCCACAGAATGGCTTTAAGTATCATGAAAAACACCTAGGTATTATAGTTTGCAGAACTACCAACAAAATAGAGAATATAGGCATAACATCAGGTCTGAGGGAGGAACAGAAGGAATTTAGTTTGGACACATTTGAGTGAAGGTAAAGGGAAGACTGGTAGAGAGATAGCTGAAAATATGGGATCATGGGATTCAGGGGAAGTGGACCCCTAATTTATCTCCCCACAAAAGTAAGCTCCTTTTACACAACACGCTACCTCATCAACTACCTCTGTATTCTCTAAGACAAGGATTCTCAACCCTGACTGCATGGTGAATGTATATATTATGCTTAGGACCTGCCCCCTCAGAGTTCCTTCAGATGGTCTCAAGTGAGGCCCAGTATTTTTCTGTGTTTGCTAGATGATTCAAATGAACAGCAGTAGAAAAAAGTTCATGGACACTACTGAGTAAACAGTAGGTGCTTTGTGTATACTCATAAAAATGAATAGTCAGGGTAAGGAGAGCCACCCTTGAGGGCAAGTCTTGGATCATGTGCCAGCAAGTCCATAAAACGTTAGAGGCAACTTTATAAATTAAAACAACAAAAAAGATGAAATATTTAAAAATAAGGGCAAAGGGAAAACAAGAATAGAATTATCATTATCATCATCATTTATATATACTAAGCATTTTGCAGGTATTAAAATCGTTATCATCATTAAGTCATCAGTTACTTAATCCTTGTAATAGATCAAACACCATTCTAAGCATTTTATATGTATTAACTTTTAATTCTGATAATCTTTTGACTATGAGGATTTAGTTTTTACCCCCACTCATAAATGAGAAAACTGAGGCACAGAGCAGTTATGTGACTTGCCTAAGATCACACAGCTAGTAAGTGGCAGAGGTGGAATTTGACCCAGGCAGTTTAGCTCCAGGCAGAGTTCTCACTATTAGCCATTATGTTCTGCTGCCAGAGGAAAGCTCGAGCAAGCAAAATCTACATTGTAAGAGCGTAATCAGTGACTAAAGGGAACTGCATATGTGGCTCTGAATTGCCCAGCTCTCAAAGCACAAGATGAGGTCACTATTTGGACACTGTCCATAAAATGAAAGCAAGAAGCAAAGCTTTTCCTGGCTCTAAGAGAAGTTCCTCTGGTGAGTGCTCCCAACTGGCCCCTGCAGGGCATGACATCATTTCCACAATACATTGTGAGCTTACGAGGATGCCTCCTCTGGTGGGCTCCATGTAAGATGGGCCTATAACAACTATGGACAACGAAGCAAAAGCAGTTTTCCAGAGGGCCCAGCGGTGTGTGCCAAGACTGCTGACAGCTTTTGGATAGTCTAGCTTAACAGAAAAAGAAAATCCAGAATGTGATTCTAGAAAACCCAACGTTGTACACTCTCCTCCTGAATGTGCTTTCTTCCCAAACCAGGCAAGGCTTTTAGAAAGAATCAGGTGGCAGAGCACTTGAGATTACATTCTGAGGCTAGAAATATTTTACAGAGACAGTTGAAGGCAAATGCACACAATTTGAAATACAACAGAGAATACCAACCTTTTGTCATAATTTCCACCACCATGTTATGCTGAGAAAGTCCTCCTCCATATCCCAGGATCAAATAGACACTACCTACACTTCTGCTTGCTTTCTGTGCATGGGTATGTATAGATGGGTGTGTCTCTTCATTTTTACACTTAATTCTTGAATCTATCTGAAATCTCTGCTGGTGTATAATGTGAAGTGAGAATCTGATAAAGTTGAAAATTAGCACGCACTGAATTCAGACAATAGAAAGATTTTATTTGACTTCGCAGTTTGAGTTTATTTTAATTGAATTCGAATGCTTTGTGTCAGGGTGCGCACACATTTTTCGCTATTCTCTAATTCACTAACACCCACTTACACCTACTCTTTTCATTCATTTCTGGTATGTGCCTCAGCCTTGATCTTAGAAATTGCTTTCCCAAATAGCTAGCCACTTTCTCCAAACTGTGTTTGTATAATTTCTCTCTCTGCCAATGATTTCTAATGCTTCCTGATTATGTTGTTAAGACCTGAAACATCCTCAAGTCTACTTGTGATTTACTTATTTAACTTCTTTGCTGTGTGACTACACTCATATGAATACATTGTAGCTGAAATTAATGTGGATTTACAATACAGTTTATTATGTAGGAGTGTTATGGACTGAAGTGTACCTCCTCCCAAATTCATACGTTCAAGTCCTAACCCTTGGCACCTCAGAATGTGACTGTATTTTGGGACAGGGTCTTTCAAGAGGCAATATAGCTAAAATAAGGCCATTGGGGGGTGCAAATATTTTTATCCCACGCTGTAGCTAGCTCCTCTGTCTTCTTGCACTGCGTTCTCAGCGTGTAACTTTGCTCCTCCTGGCTACACAGTGGCTGCTCTATCTCCATCCCTCTCAGGACACACCACCAACACCCACACTTGGATGCCTGACATTTCTCTGGAAGGTTAATTGTCCTTAGAGAGCAGTTGCCTTTTTGAAGAGCTACTGGGGAGAAGTACCAAGCATTCTGCCTTTTACTGAGGATGGGGGCATTGGAAGGAGGTCTGCCTGGAGTGGGTGTTCCATCGTCAGAATTTAGTTACTCCTCTTGCTTGCAGCCCTTTTCATGCTGTCCTTGCTCTATTTGCCAACATGTGGTCAAGAGCCCCCAGTTCAATTGGACTGGCGTCCTCATAAGATGAGGAAATTAGAACGGACACACACAGGGAAGACCATGTGGTGGCATAGAAGGCAGGCGGCCATCTACAAGCCAAGAGAGGCCTCAGAAGAAAACAAACCTGCTGGCACCTTGGTCTTGGACTTCCAGCCTCCAGAATTGTGAGAAAATAAATTTCTGCTGTTTAAGTGGCCCAATATGTGGTACTTTGTTATGGCAGCCCTAGCAAATTCATACAGAGGCATTATTGTTCTTTATCAAAATCCTATTAGCTAGACTTCCCTGCTTTCCACCTTCCAAGTTAACTTTAGAATCATATGGTCAAGTTGCCCATGTCAAAACTCAAATGGACTGTTAGCTGGAGGTGAGGATCTACACATTGAGAGTGTGGATGCCTTTCAACTTCCTGCCATATTTTTCTACGTATTTTCAAGTTTTCTAGAATGAACATGTGCTGCTTATTCAATCTAAGAGAAATATTGACATTCTTCCTTCAAAAAGAAGGATACGGAATTTACTTTTAAGTAGCAGACTGAGCACACTTATTCCCTCCATCTCCACAGAAACCCAAATGAAATAAAAGCATGAAAGTACAAAAAGGAAAAAACCTATTATCAAGAGAAATGGAGGGAGGATATCTGCAAATAAAATACTTCAACAAATTTAAGAAAGAGAATAAGCGGATAAAAGTGTGCTGATGGGCAGGACAGCAGAGGAAACCTCAGACCAGAACATTCTACATGTGCTGCCAAGGATCAAGGGGCTACTCTGCCCACTGGAGCCCAGAGGGGCTCCTGGCTACCTGCTGGCATGTACAGTAAGGACAGGTGTGAAATTAGAGCCGCAAAAAAGGAGAGTAACAGATTCTGAAGATGAGACACCCACTCCAGGCAGACCTCCTTCCAGTGCCCCCATCCTCAGGAAAAACCAGAATGCTTCATACTTCTCCCCAGTAGCTCTTCAAAAGGCAACTCCTCGACACTGAGTTAACCCTCCAGAGAAATGTCAGGCATCCAAGTGTGGGTGTTGGTGCTGCGTCCTGAGAGGGATGGTGACAGAGCAGCCACTGTGCAACCAGGAGGAACAAAGGTACACGCTGAGGACACAATGTGAGAAGACAAGAGAGCTGGTCACAGCATGGGATCAAAGAAAAAATAAGATCAAATCCTACTCGCCTAAGCCACTGTGGCCAGGGCTTCTGTTACTTGCAGCCAAACACAATCCTAAATAATAAGAAAAGAGAAGTACATGGCAGAGTGCCTGGCCCAAAGTAAGTAGGAAATAAATGTGTGTTGAAAGAATAAATGAATAAATGGAATAAAGTTGATATTTTTAATGCAAATAAGTAAAAACAATTAAAATGTGAAAAAGGGAAGAAGGTGTGTACATTAGCTAAATCCTCATCTTTTATAGAGAGAGCGCTGCTGTCTACATTTATTAACTCAAGAAGTCAAGGTAGATGAATAATTATAGAAGTCATCACCAGAAGAACTAAAACCAGAAATGGCTAGAAGTGGCGGACTTTGGGGAAGGAGATCAAGGATATAGAGGAATGGAAGACTATGGCCATTCTTTCAAAGTTATTCTGTACCATTTTAATTTCGCCATCTGCATGTATGACTTTGAGGATGAGAAGCCTTTGTGTGCAGGAGCCCAAACCTAGCCAAACAGGGGAAAATAGCATAGAACAGAATACCGGAAATTTGAGTATATGGATGAGGGGAGAACACCCTTAATCTAGATAACAAGACATTATTGGGCCTGTGGGTGAGATGGCCACCTGTCAAGGAGAGGAAAATCAAAAACTTCCTCGTCGACCGTATTGCATATGGCTGCTCAGGCAGGGACTTTCCCAGCCTCTCCTGTATCCACGTATGGCCACAAGACTTCTTCTTGAAAGAGAAGCAGGAGTGTCACATATCACATTAAAGCCAAAACAGGTAACTTTTACCTTCCACCAGTGAGAAGCAGGAAACACTGAAGCCCTAGGGCATGACAAAGCCATCACCTGGAAGGAGCCCCGGCCCTGGAACCTCCACGCGAGGAAAGCTGCCTGCCAAATGTGAACACCCACACTAGATGTGAGCAGGAAGCAATCTTTTATTGTGTTAAGCCACGCCTAGGAGTTTATTTGTCACAGCAGCTAGTGACAACCAAATAAACCAACATGGTATAGGCTTACGATTTGGACAGCAGTGGTCCCATCCCTACTAAAAAGTGGAAACAAATGGCATAGCACTTCCTTATGTAAACTGTGTTTTTGTGAGCAAGGAGGAGATAAAGACACTCAGAGAAACAAAAGTGAAGAGCTGTTCAGCCAACATGAGAGATTTCCATGCCATGCCAGATGCAGGGGGAGCATTATTAAATGGATTATATAGATTGCTTAGTGACAGTAATTTTGACCTCCTATAGGTACCACCAGCTGTTAAACAGTAGGAAATTTTGATGACCTTGTTATAATTTCCATTTATATTTATTCTAAATTGGACACCTTGGAGACTGTTTAAATAAGAGAGGAAAATTCACTGAGTAATCTTGACAGCTCTGCCACTGTGTGATTGGGAAGCAGCTGAGGCTTACAAAAGGCAGACAGACACCTGGGCTGGAGCCCCGGGTCTGCCATCAGTTGGATTTATGTACCAAGGCAAGTCACTTCATCCTCCCATTCGATTTCCCTCTGTGTCAAATGGGGTGTCACCTGCTGCCAGGTGCATCAGGGACACACCATGAGGTAACCCAGTGGCGTGACTTGTTATCGTGCAACTGCATGTATAGGAATGTCACAGGTGGTGCCTCTGCGGACTTCTCACTGATTCAGACTTGTTTCTCCTTCATCTGTTCATTACTGAAATCGAAAATGATTCTTTCATTTCCCAGAATGAAATGAAAGAATGCAAACCATGTAAGTCTAAACAAAATTGGAATTTAAGGTCAGTCATAGCTGGCATAGGCTGGCTTCAGGTCTGGCTGGATCCAGCAGTGAAGCAGTGTCATCACTGTGCATCTTCACAAATGTCATTTGAGGGAATGGTTAAAGAAGCCTCGGTACCTGTGTTGGGTGGAACACTACTCGGCAGTAAAGAGGAGCAAATGATGGACAGGCAGCATCATGGATAAGTCCCAAATACATCATGCTGAGTGAAAGAAGGCAACCTCAGAAAGCCACATGCTGTCCAAGTGCACTTACATAACACTCTAGAAAAATTGAACCAGAGGGATGAAGAACACATCGGTGACTGCCGGACAGAAGGGGCTGGAAAGAGTTTGACTACAAAAATTTTAAACAAGGGAATTGGAAGAGGGGTGATGGAGCTCTTCTGTGTCCTGACCGTGCCGATGCTTACACAACTCCATGCATTTGCCAAAAACTTAACAGCGCTCCATACCAAAAAGGGTGAAATGTACTGAAAATAATTTTTTTCCTTTGAGGGGGAGTCTTGCTCTGTCGCCCAGGCTGGAGTGCAGTGGCGCAATCTTGGCTCACTGCCACCTCCCCCTCCCAGATTCAAGCGATTCTCCTTCCTCAGCCTCCCAAGTAGCTGGGATTACAGGCATCTGCCACCACACCTGGCTAATGTTTGTATTTTTAGTAGAGACAGGGTTTTGCCATGTTAGCCAGGCTGGTCCTGAACTCCTGATCTCAAGTGATCCTCTCACCTCAGCTGCCCAAAGTGCTGGGATTACAGGCATGAGCCACCATGCCTGGCCAAAAATAAATTTTAAAGTAATTTTTTAAGATGCATTTTCCCCCATCACCCTGCTCTGTCTTCTACAAAGCTGACTTTATTCTCCATGTCACGGTGAGATCAGCATTTTCAAGTTTCACATTCTCCTTCTAAAATCCAATGAGAACTAGTGGAAGTCTATTTGTCAAAATTACAGGAGAAACCCTCAGTGCATCTCACTGTCTATGATAGGGCATTTGCCCATCCCTGAACAAATCACTGTGGCCAGGGGGATGCCTGTTCTTATTGGCTCAGCCAGGGTCATGTGCCCCTCCCCAGGAGCCTGGAGGTAGAATCAGCTTTAGCTGGAATAGGAGAGGTGGGGGTGGTTCCCCAAAGAATCATCATGGGGTCATTTCAACAAAAAGAACAAGGGAATTCTAGGTAGGAAACAACAAAAAATCTCTATTTTTCAAATAAAACAATTTACACCAAGTCAGTACTGATTTCTTCCTGCCAGCACTACTCTCAATACTGTAGGTGTTGAAAAAGAAAAGTCAGGACCATGCCTGGGGTCAGAAACCAGACATTTGAGCAATTACCCTGCAGAAACGTGTTACCTTTGCAATTTGACATACTGTGTTCAAAACACAAGTTGAAGATTCTGAACCCAGGGCCTAAAATAAACCAACATTCGCTGAACGGCTAATCTGTTTACTCAAGCATCCCAAGTCTTCAGAAGTGATCTCAGCGGGCAGGGACAAAACAGAAGTAGACTGAGGGCCGGCTTTATGTCACGCAAACTGTGCATTCCAGGGCCGCACGCTCAGAAGGAACTGTGCTCTGCTTAACGCTATGCTGCCATGCTCTTCACCTCTGAAATTCTTAAGAGTTGTGTCTTTGAACTTTTGCTTTGTAAGTGAAGTCTAATGAGACGGTCGTGCATGGCACAGAAGCAGAGGAGAAGTGTGCAATATGCTTGTCTGCTGTTTGCTCCTTGCTGCACTATTTGCATATAGCATTCACAGTGCCCCATAAGCATCATGGTCCCAGTGAATCCATTGTGCATGGAGCTCAGCAAGACTCAAAGCGAGTATAGGTAAGCGTGCTGCATCCATGACAACTAAACAGGGGCACTGACAGCTCCGAGGAACCAGGCTGCCCATTCAAACCAGAACTTGCTTCAAAGGCAGAAAAAAGGCAAAGACATTCTACAAAACACAACAAACCAAGGAACCCTGTCAGGTCCTTTATTACTCCTGTTACTTCCTGTATTCCTTCCAGCCACTTAACCGCTGAAAAGGAAGGCACAGAAGGAACAGCGAAGATCAGAAAACCCCTAGCTCCTCTCCCCTTCCTCGCCCACCAGGAGGCGAAGGGAGAGGTCTGGTAGAAGGAGTATCAAGAGGTGAGATGAGAAAGTGCTGAGGTAGTTCTGGGCAGCGTTTCCACTGTCCTGGTAGCAATGATATACCCATGCTTGCACGAGCTATGAAATATGGATTGAGTAACGGACGATTCTGCATATGTGTTAATTGCTCTTATATTTGCATTTAAAACTGATATCACATAATAAAAAGATAAATGGTAAAATTCATACTAATGATTTAAGATTTTAATTTTTCTTTTTCAGAATGGCCTTAAATAGCAAGTAAAAACACCATGAGAAGTTGAAAGAGGGGCCCCAGAAGGAAGGAAAAGGGCTTTATATTTTCATACTTTTCATGGCATTTTTTCCCTGATTTTGGAAGAAGGGGCTGAATTTTCATTTTTCCCTGAGCACTGCAAATTATGTAGCCAGCCCTGAGGACATGTGAGTTAACCCAGCAGAAATATAACCATGCCACAATCCCCAACTTTCTCCCAACACTTAGGCCAGAGGTTAAAAAAGCAGGCTCCAGGGACAGTATCTGGGTCACAGACATATTTTTATTTTACCTACTCAGTGATTTTCTAAAAATTGAATTAATCACACAAAAATCCAGATTTCTGGCTTTTCTTTAAAGATACAATAAGCTTTGACTAGGCTGTGCATGCATTCTTACCCAGCAGTAATCAGCTAGATCAGCAGGGTCACTGCTGCTCTCTTTAGCTAGCACCTGCATCCTAAAGCTCACCACAGTCCCCACCATTCCCTGTCGCCCCATTCCAGCTCTCACACTCACATATATCCCCTGCCTGCCCTCCAGTCCACTTTCTAAAAATGAGCCCAACACTGAGGAGGGCAGAGTTGGGAGAGGGAGACAGAATTGCAGGTTGAAACAGCTTCAGACTTAGACATTTATTCTTCATGAATGTAATTAATTCTATTTGCCGTATGTAGTGGGTTGAGTAATGTCCCCCCAAAAAGATATTTCCAGGTTCTAACCCATGGTTACCTGTAAATGTCACCTTACTTGGAAATAGAGCCTTTGCCAATGCAATTAAGTTAAGGTTTTCAAGATGAGCTCATTGGATGACATAAGTCCAATGACACCCACCCTAAAACCAATGACAGACGTCCTTATAAGAGAAAGGACAGGGAGACTTGAGACACACAAAGACATAGGAGAAGGCCACATGAAGACGGGAAGAGTTGGGGGGATGTGTCTACAAGCCAAGGAACGCCAAAGATCACTGGCAACACCAAAAGCTGGAAAACCGGCCTGGGACAGCGCCTCCCGCAGTCTTCAGAGGAAACAACAGGGCAACACCTTGATTTCGCCTCCAGAATGTGTGAGAAATCAGTGTCTGTTGTTTTAAGCCACCGAGTTAGTGGTAACTTATTACAACACCCACAGGAAACTAACGCACATTATAAAAAACAAAACATCATTCATCCTGGCTAGTCTGGGCAATCCGAAATCGCTCAGAGAATATCTTTTGTTCTCTTTCTTGTTTTTGGTTTTTTGTTTTTTAAGGCAGTTCATTATTTTCCAACACACAAAGTAACTAAAGAAAGGAAAAACTAATATTGTCCAGTCTTAGTGGCTGTTGCAAAGAGAAGCCACTTTAGTGAATCTGTAAGACGAGTTTTTAGCGTGTTTAAACAGCATGACCTCAGACGCCTTCAACATCCCTTTTACAATCCTGTTGAATCTCCAAGTGCTTGGAAACCCCTTTTCACCTACCAAAGCACTCTACTGTCTTAAAAAAAAAAAAAAAAAAAAAAAAAAAAAAAAAAAGCCAACTCTCTGAATTAATTTCTCAGATGACATAAGGGTCCCCGTGACGCAGAAAGTGCAGAGCTATGAAGAAATGCAGTGGGTGGAGGGCACAGCCTGCTTCTGGGGAGCTGCGCTTAATTGAGAGAAGATGACAGAAGTCTGTGGGAAAAAAAAATTGATGAAGAATAAAAGAAAGTAAAATATGTATTGTTCACTTGCCTGCTACAAGAGTTGCCAGATCTCAGAGGAAGAAGAGATGAATAATTGGCTGGCAGTTATCACAAGCTTATCAGTAGCATCCAATACATAAAATAATAATAATAATAGTCATTGCTAGGAATTTGTCAGATATCTACTGAGTACCAGTCACTGTTCTAACTACATTAACATGTATAAACATACTAAGTAACATGTTCTGATACATGGATTAACAAGTTTTAAATGTATTAACATGTATTAGCTCTTTAGACATTTATTCTTTACACAATCCTATGAGCTAGAGTATTATTTTCATATGGTATATTAATACTATTATATAATTATTACCTAAATAAATTTGGGCAGGGCTCAGTGGCTCACGTCTGTAATCCCAGCACTTTGGGATGGCTTGAGGTCAGGAGTTAAAGAGAAGCCTGGGCAACAAGTGAGACCTCAGCTCTACAAAAAAAATGTAAATAAAAAATAACCAGGCAAGACAGCAAGTGTCTGTAGTCCCAGCTACTTGGGAGGCTAAGGTGGGAGGATCGTTAGAGCCCGGGAGGTCAAGGCTGCAGTGAGCTGAGATTACACCACTACACTCCAGCCTGGGCGACAGAGCAACACCGCATCTCCAAATGTATCAAATAAATAACTTGTAATAATATAGCCATTTTATAGATTCAAAAACGAAGGCACAGAGAGGTCAAAAAACTTGCCTAAGGTCACACAGCCAGTAAGGGGTGCAGCCAAGAGTGGGCCCCAGAGTGTGGGCTTAACCCCTGCTCTGCCGGGTCCTGGCATCTGTACAGCTCCTGCTCCTCTTCCTCAGCTTGGGGAAGAGACTCAGCTTCTTCCTGGTGAGCCACATGTGAGCTGGTTCCAGATTTCACCCGGAGTAAAGGGCTCATGTGCTGCTTTTAACCATAGCGCGACCTCGAAACCCGTGGACTAAAAGCCACGGAGAACTCGGGAAAGAAACAGCACCTCCCCTTCACACAGACCCCAGGGCTTCGCCGTGGACCCCACCCTGGGTAAAAACCCTTAACAGCAGCCTTGGGAATCTTGGTGCGGAGGAAAAATACAAAGCCTCAGTCCCCTTTTCCTGGAATGCAATTCAGAGCTTGTCCTGTGTCGCTCAGAGTCAGCGGAGGACGAAGCGGACTCCTGGGGCAGCAACGCGGAGGAGGGGACCGACCCGGGAGCCCGGACTGAGCCCACCCGGACCAGGCCCTCCCCGGCGCTGTCCCCGCCCCGCTCCCAGTCCGGCTCCCTCCTCCGCAGACCCCGGGCCTCGCGGGCAACACCGCCACCCAGTGGCCGCCGCCGCCAGCGCTGCACGAGGAGCCGGTGGTGCATCCCTCCCCTCTTCCAGAGACGAAACCCCGATTTGGGCGGTTTAGGGCAATCTGGGGACTTTCACCAAGGCCCACTGCTGCTTTCCAACAGAAACCCCTTAAACACCTCCTGCCTCAGCCTCCTGAGTAGCTAGGAACACAGGATGTGCTAATTTTTATTTTTATTTTTTGTGGAGATGAGGTCCCACTGTGTTGCCCAGGCTGGTCCCAAACTCCTGGCCTCAGGCAGTCCTTCCACCTCTGCCTCCCCAAGTGCAGCTTGGTTAGGCAAAGTGTTGGAATTGCAGGCATGAGCCACTGTGCCCAGCCAAGAAATTTTAATTTGCCTGTGAATTTTTTTTCAAAGCAATACACTAGGTAGAAACATTTGCACATTTTAAAGCTTTTGATACATATTGCTGTTTTACAGAAAGGCCTCTGCCCTCTTGGCAGCATTGGATATACTTTTTAAAAAATCTTTGCCATTTCACAGTAAAAAATGATAGTTTATAGATTAAAAAATTTAAATTTGACAATTAGTGATTAAGTTTTTTAAATGTTTACTGGCCATTTTTTTTCTTTCTTTGTAAATTTCTTGTTGTCATTTGTCTATTGTTTCCATAGGAAGTACTTAACTTTTTTCTTGAGCAATAGAAGTTTTTATGCATGAAAAATGTCAACCATAACTATAGATAAATAAAATCATCTTCATGGCTGCAAAAAAAAAAAAAAAAAAGAAACCCCTTAAACAAAGCACGACTACTCTATGGGACCAGATTCTTTGTTTGCAAGTCACACAAACCCAAACCAGGATAGGCTTAGGGGAGAAAGGGAGTCACTGTCCCCAAACCATCAGCCTGGACAGAGGAGACCACAAGTGGCAGCCAGCACCCCGTGGGTTCTCTGTGCTCCGGAAGAATATGAAATTCTATTTGGAAGCGGGGACGCACCCACACCACACGCATCCCGTGACCCAGAGCAACACCTGGGTTTTCCATCAGTCCAGCGTGACACAGATCGTCGGACCACAGCGTCGGCCACGGAACAATGGCCACAGGCTGCCAGCAGGGCTACTGCATTGAAACCCTCTCTCCCCTTCCCTTTGTCCACTTCCGTCACCCTGAGAAATCACAAAGTGGAGAACTGATTTTTGCCTGTATCTGTCGCATTCCTTCCAGTGAAGATCGGGTAGTTTTATGAAAGGGCTTTTTCTTCCCTTTGTGTTCAGGGGTATTCACTCCATGGGGAAAATCTCTCTAGTCCCTGGCCTGAAAGCTGTTCCTGTTGTTTCCTTTCATTGGCCACCTGAGTGTCAAGGGGCCGGGGCTGGGGGAACACTTTAAAAGGCCAGTCTCAAGAGAGATGAATACAGCCTGTGTCAGTGACAATGAGTGGTTTGGGGACAAAGCCACGACAGCTCTGAGACATCCGTTAGGGAATCGTCCCAGGAAAGTAACCAACCCATTGTCCCATCTCGTTCCAGCCAAAAGCCACTCAGACCTTATCATCCTCCTCAAGTCAGTGCCTCATAGGACCCCAGACCCAAGGGTGGAGGGAGCTTGGGTTCTAGAGAAGGAGGCTTGGGCTAGAAAGTCAGCCTGCCTCTTGCCTGGCTGGGCTGCCTGGTGAGTGACTCAGCCCTACTTAGCAAGACAAGAATACCATCTGCCTCCTGGGGTTCTGTCACATTCAATGGGATGGATCAGGCACACTCATTTGTCTAAGTCAGCTTGGCCAGCTGTAACAAATCCATCATAGGCTGGGAGGCTTCAACAACAGATATTCATTTCTCACAGGTCTAGAGGCTGGAAGACCAAGATCAAGGCGCCAGCAGATTTGATGTCTGGTGCATGCCTTCTTCCTTATGGACATGCATTCTTGCCATATCCTCGCATGAGGGAGGAAGCGCTGGTACTTCTTTCTCTACTTATAAAAGCACTCATGAGGGCCCCACCCTCGCAACCTCACCTAAATCTAATTACCCCTCGAGGGCTCCACCTCCTGATACCATCACATTGGAGATTAGGGCTTCAGCAAATACATTTGGGGGTGGGGGAGAATGCGAACATTCAGTCCATAACAGGGTTCATTCAGTATCCATTAAGAGCCAGTCCTGTGCCCGGCACTGAAGTTGCAGGGAGGATAGAGCAAAGCAGCCCTGTCCTCACAGAGTTTAGTCTAGTTTGGAGCTGAAGAATGAACAAGCCATTCCAGTAAAGAAAAGCGAGAGTCATGAGGGCACATGTACCGAGGAGAGGCCCCAGTGCGGTCTTGAGGGAGCCAGAGAAAACAGGACCTGTAGTTCATTGAATGGTGCCCCCAAAACACATCCACCTGGAACCTTACTTGGAAATAGGGTCTTTGATGATGTAAGCAGGTCATATTGGACAAAGGCAGACTTTAAATCCAATGACTGGTGACCTTAGAAGCAGAAGAGAGAACAGAGACAGGGAAGGTCATGTGAAAATGAAGTGAGAGACTGGAGTGATGGGGCCACAAGCCAAGGAATGCCTGGAGCCACCAGAAGCTGAAGAGGCAGGAAGGATCCTCCCTCCCCTAGAGCCTTCAGAGCAAGTGTGGCTCTGCCAACACCTTGATTTTGGACATCTGCCCTTCAAAAGAGAATAAACGTATGATGGATGCCCCAGGAGACTAACACAGTAGCCGAAGGACACGTGGAATAGCCAGGTCCCATTTGGGGAAGAAGGCTCCCAGCAGAGGAAACAGCATGGGCAGAACACAGAACCCTGCTGCAGCTGCAAGGGTGTGGTGGCTGGGCAGGAGTGAGGGCACCGTGCTGGGCTGGAAAGGGAGGAAAGGGCACATCCTTCAGGGCTGGCGGAGGCCACTGCATTGTGTTTGGACTTTATCCCAGGGTAATGGGAAGCCACCTGAGTGACTGAGGTCCCAGGTTCATGGCACCACTTGATATAACACGGTTAAGACATCACTCTGCTATTACGGAGAATGGACTAAAAGCAGGAAAGGCCAAGACAGGGAAATGAATGCGATGGCCCAGCCCCAAGGGCAGGGTGACTTTGTTTTACAAACGGGCCAAAGACGGTCCTTGTAGACTGGCCCCAGGTTTACTTCTTCAGAGTTGGCTAGGGCCATCCATTCTCCAAGACCCCCGGTGCCAAAATCAAAATTTTACACAACCCATTGTTTTAAATGTAGCCCAAAGAAGCAGACTCTTAGCTATGTAGAGCCCGCCTGCTTTATATATCCTGAGAAACTGCACCCAGCATCTGCCAGCCACAGATTTTTTTTTTAAAACCTTGGACTATAGAAGACCCCAGGCAGCTGCTGTCCCTTGGAGCCCCCTGGCCCAGAGGCACCCAATGGTCCTGCTGTGTGACCTGGACACTTAAGCCCCCTCTCTAGCTCTCCTTTTCCCCAGGAGTTCCTTCTTCCTTCCTGGTTGGCTGGTGGCCCAGGTGATGGCCACAGTCTCTGGAAGGTCTCCTGCTATGGGAGACGTCCCCCGCATGCAACCTGTCAACATACTGCCCAAGTAAAAAAGCTCACTCTTCCTGATCAGGCCTGAAATCCTCAAACTCACCGCAGCCTCTACTGCAGAAAGGGCCACCAGGATGGAGAGGAAATGAAGAGATTCTGGTAGGACTTGGACATCAATTAGCTATGATGGGAGGGGAGAGGGTGCTGAGAGAGGGAAGAAAAGACAAAGAGGCATTTTGAGCTTAGTCTTGGGCACAAGGGTGGACCCGTCACTGGGACAAGGGAGGTGGGTATTTGGGAGAAGGTGCTGAGCTCTGCTTGGGACGTATTTAGTTTTTGATATTTGTGGGCCCCCATGTAGAAATGAGTTAGATGCTGATGCTGGAGCTCAGGAGAGACCTGTGAGCTAGAAGGAGATTTGGGTGTCAGCAGAAGAGAGGTGGTGACAGAAGCCATTGGGAAAAGTGGCCCAAAGAGAAACATGCAGAGTGGGAAAAAGAGGAGGGAAAGAGAGCCTTGGTGGAGAGAGGCTTTGGTGGAGAGAGGTTTTGGTGGAAAGGTCTAGCAGGGGGCAAGCCTGCAGAGAAGGCTCAGGGGGCATCCAGGGAGAGAGAGAGAAGGGAAAGCAGGTGCCTGTGTTGTTAGAGAAGGCAGGGAGACCCTGTGCCTCTGAGCTGCAAAAAAGCCAAGCCTGGAGAAGTGGCCCCTGCATGTGGCAATAGCTTTGGCAGCCTCGGTGGACAGTTTCAATAGTAACAAGGTGGCAAGAAGCACAATGAGTGAGCAGGACAAGAGGAAGGGGTGCACGGAGAACAGGCAACTCTTTCAAGAAGTTTGCTGCAAAGGGAGAATCTGAATAGGACATAGGAAAACCTCCCCTTGGGTCTGGTCCCATCCCTGTCCTGGTTGCACCAGGCCATTCCCTTCCTTCCGACCTCCCCCGGTGCAGACAGCAGTGGTGTCCATTCTGGATGCTGCACCAAACATTTCCCGTAGAGTCTGGAGCTGAGGCGAGGGCACCAAATCTTCAGCTTTATTCAACACCCCCCAGTTCCTAATTCCCACCTCCCCCCATCAAACAGCATTAAGCCGATGTTTACTATACAGGTTGCCAGGACAACGGAATGTCAGAGCTCATGTGCTCCATTTTGAGCTCATATTGTCTTCATTGGAAACAGGTCAACAAGGAGGGCAAGTGACTTTTTCAACCAAGTCTGGAATACTGACGGGGCTTGTCCAGCCTGAGACCAGTCACTTCGGAACAGAGTAATTCTCCTCCCCAAAAGCAATCAATAGATCACACAATGACTCTTCTGAAGCTCAAAGGCACGGGGACAGGACAAGTGCTGAGCTCCTCAGAGTTCTTTTCTTATTAGGCATTTGTTGGTCGCCTCTCCAGTGTCTACAGTCTTCTCTCCCTTTGTGGAGAACCTTGATTTGGTCATAACTGGGCATGTGACCTAGTGCCGGCCATTAAGGGAGAGAGAGAGACTCTGGGTTTGTGCAGAGGCTCCCTGGGGTGTCCCCCTCTCCCTGTGAACAGCGTGGTAGGAGGCTGGAGGCCCAAAACCCCCAAATGTCACTGCACTACATGGGGAGCTCAGAGCTGCAGGGCCCTGGAGTGGGGTCAACACCATGAAAAGCAAACCAGGAAGTCAAAGAAACTCGGTCCTCACACAGTCCAAGCTCTTGGGTCAAGCTACTACATCTGATATGATTGTATAGCCACAGCTCATTCCATGAGACACAAGAGAGAATCCACAGCATCCCATGTGATCCTATGACCTGCAGAGAAAGAAGAACTCTCACTAGAAGCTAGTAAGCCAGAGAGCTCCACCTGAAAAGTTGGAAACAACAACAACGACAACAAAACAAAGTTCTTAGAAACAGACACACACACACACACACACACACACACACACACACACACACACACACACAGGGTGGGAGGCAGGGAAAGAATGCAAGAGGTGAACACCTTCTTAACATAAAAATGAGCCAACTTCAGATCAGAAAAATGGAGGCCCCATGTTTCCAGAGTTCTCCGCAAAAATGTCAAATCTCTGATCAATAACTTTCAAATGCCACAATCCGTGCGTTCAAATAATTCTTTGAAGGCTTAGTAAATAAATATATTGACAAACAGATTAATTGCTAATCACTTCTCCGATATTGTCATTACTTCCAAACAGTTAGATCCAAAACAAGGCAGCTTGCACCAGAAAGCCTTCCCATTTCCCCTGGGCGCTGCTTTGAAGGTCCTCCGCTCCTGCCTGGTTTGAGGCTGCTGCTCCCATGGCCATGCATTCTAGGGGCATCAAACGCTCCTGTTTTGATGAGAATTCAAAAGGTTTCCTGTCAGCTGGGATGCTGTGCTTTTTTCTGGGTTTTGTGTGTTTGCGTCTTTACCTTACCCATATGTTCTGGGCCTGTGAAAAATGTAAGCAACTGGCAGATGTGTCCTGAGAAATCGCTGGCATGACTTATTCAATTTGCAAAAATTGTAAACACAATGGAACTGGTGCCTCAGGCTACATCTACCCCTTGTTATCAGCTATCTCAGTGGAAACAATGCCAGAAGAGCTCTCTGTTTTGCGTTGCAGGCAGGTAACCACTGTCTACACCAAGGGGCCCAGAGCAGGAACTGGCCCAAAGGAGTTTTGTTTGAGCCCCGTTGAAGTTGGACTGTTTTCCCCCAAAATAAGAGATTGCCACGTCCACAGCTCACCTTTCAAGCTGATAAGATCCAAAGACCAGACTTTTGGAGTCTAGCTAAGATAGCTAAGGGAACACGATCTCAGTTGTCACTCTAGGGCAGTGGTCCCCAACCTTTTTGGCACCAGAGACCAGTTTCATGAAAGGCAAGTTTTCCATGGATGGTGGAGGGCAGGGATGGTTTCAGGATGAAACTGTTTCACGTCATAAGGGGAACGCAACCTAGGTCCCTCGCATGCACAGTTCACAATAGGGTTTGGGCTCCTATGAGGCTCTAATGCTGCCGCTGATCCGACAGGAGGCAGAGCTCAGGCAGTAATGCTCGCTAGCCTGCTGCTGTGTGGTCCGGTTCCTAACAGGCCACAGACCAGTACCAGTCCGTGGCCTAGGGGTTGGGGAACCCTGCTCTAGGGAGTAAAATTGATAATTTGGCAAAATCTATCCAAAATTAGTCTGCACATACCTTTTGATTAATTCTTCTTCTCAGAACTTATCCTATGAATCTACCTGCACACGCGTGACGTGACACACCTGCAAGGTTCTTCGTGGAGGCAGTAATTCTACTTGCACCTTTCTGGTGCAGACCACCTTGTTTTGGATCTAACTCTTTGGAAGTAATGACAACATTGGAGAAGTGATTAGCAATTAATCTGTTTGTCAATATATTTATTTACTAGACCTTCAAAGAATTATTATTCAAACGCACGGATTGTGGCATTTGAAAGTTATTGAACAGAGATTTGACATTTTGCAGAGAATTCTGCAAACATGAGGCCTCCATTTTTCTGATCTGAAGTTGGGTCATTTTTATGTTAAGAAGGTGTTCACCTCTTGCATTCTTTCCCTGCCCCCGTTGTGTGTGTGTATGTGTGTGTTTCTAAGGAAATTTCACGGTTGGGGGGTTTGTTTCCAACTTTTTGGTCGGAGCTCTCTGGCTTATTGGCTTCTTTCTATAATGCTCACATGATTTTTCTGGGTGCCAGGCCCTGTGGATGCCTTTATATACACGAGCTCCTTTCGTCCTTATAACTCTATGAGGTAGGTAGGCACTACCATTTTCTTCATTAAGAAACAAGGAGCCCAGTACGGTGGCTCACGCCTGTAATCCTAGCACTTTGGAAGGCCAAGGCAGGCGGACCACCTGAGGTCAGGAGTTGGAGACCAGCCTGACCAACGTGGCAAAACCCTGTCTCTACTGAAAATACAGAAATTAGCCAGGCATCATGGTGTGCACCTGTAATCCCAGCTACTCAGGAGGCTGAGGCAGGAGAATCGCTTGAACCCCAGAGGCAGAGGTTGCAGTGAGCTGAGATTGTGCCACTGCACTCCAGCCTTGGGTGACCAAGAGAGACCCTGTCTCAAAAAACAAACAAACAAACAAACAAAGAAGCTGAGAGGCAGAAAGAGGGTAGAGAATTTGGCCAGTCTTTGTTTTTTGTTTGTTTTTGTTTTTGTTTTTTGAGGCAGAGTCTCGCTTTGTTGCCCAGGTTGGAGGGCAATGATGCAATCTCAGTTCAGTGTAACCTCCGCCTCCCGGGTTCAAGCAATTCTTCTGCCTCAGCCTCCCAAATAGCTGAGACTGCAGGCGCCTGCCACCACGCCCGGCTAATATTTGTATTTTCAGTAGAGACAGGGTTTCACCATTTTGGCCAGGCTGGTCTCGAACTCCTGAACTCAGGTGATTTGCCCGCCTTGGCCTCCCAAAGTGCTGGGATTACAGGTGTGAAGCAGTGCACACTGGCCAGTCATTTTCGTAGTGGCAAAAGACTAGAACCAAGCCAGTGTCCATCAATCAAGGAGTGACAACATAAGCTATAGGCCAGGCACACGATGGAATGTGGAAGGACAGTGCTTGAAAAATTGCAGCTCTTTATGTCAGAGAAGGTTCTCCAGACAAATTGTGTGTTAAGTGGAAAAAAACAAGGTACCGAACAGTACTCATGGTTTGCTACTGTCTATGAAGGCAAAGCAAACTATACATAGGGAAACATATACAGCATATATATATATATGCATAGAAAAGTACATTTCTATGATTTTCTATGCATGAAATATCTCTGAACACATTGGGGGGAAATGCTAATCATGTTGACTGCCTGTGCAAAAGAAAACTGGATTGCTGAGGGGTAAGATGGAATTTTTTTAATTATAATCACTTTTATACTTTTTGAAATTTGAACCATATGAATGTATTATGTCTTTGAATATTTTAACAGTTTTGTTCAGGTATACTTGGCATCCAATAAAACGTACCCAATTAAAGTGTATGGTTTGATGAGTTTAGCTACAAAGTTGTGCAACCATTGCCACAATTTAGTTTTAGAATACTTCCTACACCCCAAAAGCTCCCTGTGTTCACTGACAGGTAATCCCTCTTCCCACTCACAGCTCTGGCAACTATTAATCCGCATTTGTCTCTGCAGGCTTGAATGTTCTAGATATTCACATACATGTGTAGACATATGTATTAGTCTATTCTCATGCTACTAATAAAGACATATCTGAGACTGGGTAATTAATAAAGAAAAAGAGGTTTAATGGACTCACAGTTCCACATGGCTGGGGAGGCCTCACAATCATGGCGGAAGGTGAAGGAGGAACAAAGGCACATCTTACATGGCGGCAGGCAAGAGAGTGTGTGCAGGGGAACTGCCCTTTATAAAACCATCAGATCTTGTGAGATTTATTCACTGTCACGAGAACAGCACAGGAAAAACCCAGCCCCATGATTCAATTACCTCTCACCGGGTCCCTCCCACGACACGTGGGGATTATGAGAGCTATAATTCAAGATGAGATTTGGGTGGGGACACAGACAAACCATATCAACACACAGTATGAAGACCTTTGTGCCCGACTTCTTTTATTTCGCATAATAATTAAGTCACCCATGTTATTATATTTATCAGTAGGTTGTGCCTTTTTATTCCATTGTATGGGTGTCCTAAAGGGTGTTCATGCATTCACTAGTTGATGGACATTTAGGTTGTTTCCAGTTTGGGGCAATGACGAATAAACATTTATAAACAGGTCTTTTTTTTTTTAAAGTAGATATCTAGCAGTGGAATTGCTGGGTCATATGGTGGTGTATCTTAACTTTTAAGCAAACTGATGAACCAGGTGAGCTTGGTGGCTCACACCTGTAATCCCAACACTTTGAGAGGCCAAGGTGGGTGGATCACCTGAGGTCAGGAGTTTCAGACTAGCCTGACCAGCATAGTGAAACACTGGCTCTACTAAAAACACAAAAAATTAGCCGGGCATGGTGGTGCACACTGGAATCCCAGCTACTTGGGAGGCTGAGGCAGAGGAATCGCTTGAACCTGGGAGGTGGAAGTTGCAGTGAGCCGAGATTGCTCCACTGAACTCCAGCCTGAGCAACAGGAACAAAACTCCGTAAAGAAAAAAAAAAAAAAAAAGAATCATTTTCAAAAGTGACTACACCATTTTACATTCCCATCAGCACATAGAGGATTACAGTTTCTCCACATCCTTGCAAAAACTTGATATCGCCAGGTTTTTTATTTTAGTCATTCCATTGGTTGTGCAGTGGTATCTCATTATGGTATTAATTTGACTTTTCCTAATGACTAACAATGTTGGGGATATTTTCTGTCTTCAAAACACAAAATGTAAAAGTTTGACTCAGTAAACAAATCGAAATTGAGAGATGTCACATAACAGTTAGGACCTCCGGTTTCTCTCCCCCAAAGTCAGAAAAATCTACCACTTCTTTGGTCTACATTGCATGTATCCAGATCCAGCACCTCTTTTCCAGAACTCTCAGTTCCTAATTTCTCTGATTTAGACAGGCAAGACCAATGCATACGCTGAATCTCAGTAGCACCTTCAGCGGAGCCTGGGGCAGGATCTTTGAATCCACACACCAGTGGTTCCAAGTCAAAGACAAGAGCCTTCCTCTTAAGTGGAACAAATAAAGTTATAAATGAGCTCAGGTGAGGTTCTACCACCCAATGAGTCTGCTGAAAATTTACCAAAAACATTGTGGTTCTCAGAGGTTTGGGAATCTGGAATTGCAAATAGAGAGATAATGGGTGCATAACATCTGCTCCTTCTGGAAGATGTGTTGCTTTCCATATTCCCCACAGTCCCAATGTCTAAGACCAGCCTGACCCCAGTGCATTTTCCCTTGTCCCTATGGTGCGTGGTGTTTCAGGAGCAGACTCATGATTCATTTAAATGCATTTGTTTCCATTTAAGTCGGCCAAAGACTGAGGTCGACTCAGCTTCCCCCTTGTGGAGCCGTTCCTGTACTTAAACACAGGAATGGAAACAGGCCTGAGTTCTTCATAGAGCAAACAAACCTGTCCCTTCTCCTAGCCAAGCTCACCCCAGCAATGCCACCAGGAACCCCTAATGTCCTCTCCAGCGCAACAGGCCGGTTCCACACGCTAATAAAAGCTGACTGTTTCAAAGCCTGTTGGCAAATCTTATTAAAGTAATCCCCCTCCCTGAACCCAGATTATTACAGCCACCGTTATGGTAGAATAAAAATTAATTTTCTCAGCTATAATAAGAGCGATAAGAATGAATCACTTGGGACCAAATAAAGATTACAATTAGCTCCAACAGAATAAGACTAAATTTAACGTAGGCCAGCAATTTATTTGCTCCTATTTTCTCTCTGGTGCCTGCATGAATGAGGCTGCTGGATCAGACCTCCTCCCCAGCTGGGCCATTGTTGATACAGTTACATGAGGGGCTCCAGCAGGACGGTGAGGCTCCAAGCCAGCCCCCAAAAGGCCAAAGCTCAGTGCAGGACCCAGAGACATCACAGGAGAGTCCAGGCAAGGGAGGCCAGTCCTTGTAGAAAAGGTGAATTGTGCTGCCCTAGACCGGTGGCTCCCTTTTTTTTTTTTAGGCAGGGTCTTGCTCTATTGCCCAGGCCGGCGTGCAATGGCACAATCAGGGCTCACTGCAGCCCTCAACCTCCCAGGTGCAAGCAATCCTCCCACCTCAGCCTCCCAAGTGGCTGGAACTATGGGCACAAACCATCACACCTGGCTAATTTTGTTTACTTTTTATAGAGACAGGGTCTCACTATATTGCCCAGGCTGATCTTGAACTCCTGGGCTCAACTGATCCTCCCACCTCAGCCTCCCACAGGGCTGGGATTACAGGTGTGAGCCACTACACCTGGCCAGTGGCTCCCTTCTGATCACTGGACCTATGTGATAATTGAACCCTTCAGTATCCATCCCCCTCCTGGTAACTGCACCCCAGTTTTGAGTCAACAAGAAGGAAGGAAGCCCAGCGCAGCCCTGAGGGGAACCAGAGAGTCAGTGCCCATCTCAGCAGGATAGGGAGGGTAGTCTGAGGTCACCATCAGCTGTGGATGTGTGATGGATCAGAGTTAGTCTGCAGCCACATGAAGGGCAGCAGGGTGTGTGGCCACAGCAGAAGAGAGGCTTCCAGTCAGTGTGGCTCAAAACCAACCAGTCCTCCTGGGGCTTGAACACAAGGCGGCAGCCTCGTTAATGTGGAGGCGTTGGGACCCATACTGGAAAGCCAAGTTCTCGTTACTTCTCCCCTCTTCCTCTGCCTGTCCCTCTCACTGTGTGGATGGAATGACTGTTCACTATCATCATCAACAGCATCTACTGTGTGTTGTGCATAGTACACTGCCACCGGCTCTGAGCTAAACACGCTACACGTGCCACCATCTCTGCAAATCCTCCCACCAGCCCCGGGAGCTGTAGTCATGGGGACTAAATTCTTCCCATTTTACAATTGAGGAAACTGACATTCAGAGAGGACACAACTCTTATCCAAGGTTCACCAGGACAAAACCAGGACCTGAGCCACCTCTACCTGATGCTCTTACCACTGGGCCACCTGCCCTGAAACCCAGGATTATATCATGGCCTCTGGGGACAACCGGGGGACCCCAGTGGGTCAATACCAGCAAGAGAGGCCAAGGACATCCAGTCCAGCAACTTCCAGACTAATTTTTTCCTTAGCTATACAAACTGTTATTCAAACAACATATTTTTAATTGATTATGTAATATTTTTACAAGAGGATTTTTATAATACAGTGAACATACCTGGACCAACCATCCAAGTTAAGAAACAGGTCACTGCACATGGAATCAACCCAAATGCCCATCAATGGTAGACTGGATAAAGAAAATGTGGTACATACACACCATGGAATATTATGCAGCCATTAAAAGGAATGAAATGTCCTTTGCAGGGATATGGATGGAGCTGGAAGCCATTGTCCTCAGCAAACTAACACAGGAACAGAAAACCAAACACTTCATGTTCTCACTTATAAGTGGGAGCTGAATGGTGAGAACACATGGACATGGTGGGTCAGGGACAACACACACTGGGGCCTGTCAGGGTGGGGGTGGGAAGGGAGAGCATCGGGAAAAATAGCTAATGCATTCTGGGCTTAATACCTAGGTGATGGGCTGACAGATGCAGCAAACCACCATCGCACACATTTACCTACGTAACAAATCTGCACACCCTGCACATGTACCCCAGAACTAAAAATAAAAGTTGAAGAAAAATAAATTCATTAAAAGCTCTGTTTGAAAAAAAAAAAAGAAAGAAAGAAACAGGTCACTGCAAACACAGGTGAAGTCCTCCGTGGTCCCTCCCCAACCACAGTTCCCTCCTGACCCCAGAGGTAACCCCTTTCCTCAACTTGGGGTTCACCATGTTGTGAGTTTTTTTTACTTTTATTGTAGTATATAGTGCCTACATATGGTAAGATATGTTGTATCATTTCTAGATTTTATATAAATAGCATTGTACTCTATGATTCTACAACTTGCATTTTCCACCCAACATTATGTCTACGAAAATTACATTTATTGACATACATCGCCGTAACCCACTCACTTTGCTACTATTTGGTATCCCATTGTATGGAAATACCATATGGATCCATTCTCCTGCTGGAAGTTTAGGTTGGTTCCAAGCTTCTGTGATTACATACAATGTTTTAAGAAACAATTCTCACACACGTCTTCGTGTTTATATTTGCATTTCCACTTACCTAGGAGTGGAGTTTCTGAGTTGTTTAAGGGGAAAAAACACCCTTACAGAGAAAGATGATGAAGAGAACCACTGAGAGCTCCCCAGATGAAGCAAGGAGGGCAGGTCTGGGGCCCCTCAAAGTCACACTGGCCACCCCTTCTGGCAGCCCCAGAATGTGAAGGCTCCAGGTGAAAGCCCAGCCCTGGAGGTCACCTGCCCAAGGTCAACAGGCGGGAGACTCCACTAAGCTGATGACGGAGGAGGATAGAGATGATGAGGGGATATGACCCCATGGTGGGAAGGCAGCACTATCCTTTGATGATGTCCCCTTCACTCAAGCCAGGACCCCTCGCCAAAACCAAAGCCCAAAGTCCTGCCCCCAGCCCAGGAAAAGGCAAGGACAAAAGACTGAAGGGGAGCACCCCCACTTCCCAGTTCTGCCCGTCGGGTGAGAGCAGTGGATCCATGCTCCGGATGCATGGTGATCTTTAACAACAGAGACTGATGGGCAGGGGAGACTCAGCCTTTTACACAGATGCACCTGCAGCAATGTGAAGCTGCAGGTGAATTTAAACAATCGTGCCTAATAGTCACACGGTGCGCACTCCAGGCCAGGTGCTTCCAATCGCTTTGAGTATACCAACCCATGCTAATCCTCTCAACAACCCAGGTACTACAATCAGCTCCATCTGAGGAGGAAACTGAGGCACAGAGAGGGGAAGTCACTTGCCCAAGGTCAACAGGCGGGAGTCTCTGCCAGGCTGATGATGGAGAAGGATCGGGATAACAAGGGGTTCTGTCCCCAAGTTGGGAAGGCGGCACTATCCTTTGATCGGGAGCCCCCCATTCTGCTTCCAGCCCTCTCACCACCCTGCCAGGAACAAGAGGTAGGTGGGTTGTGGTGGGCAGGCAAGGAGAGGAGGCTTGGCCAAAGGCTGTGGCTGAGAAAGAGATGTACTTATTTATCGGGGACCTTAGGCGAGTCACATCAGGCCTCCTGCCCTGCTCCCAAACCTCCCATGGCTCCCATTTGACTCAGAGTAAAAGTCCAAGTTCTCATGGTGGCCTGTAGTACAGTTTGTGGGATGGTCCTTCTCACTGCTCTGTCCCCCTCGCTTACGTCACTGCAGCCCCCCACTTTGTGTCTAGTGGACATCTGGCACCGTTCTGCCACAGGACATTTGCACTTCCTGCCCCCTCTTCCGGAATGAGCTGCCCCAGGTCTTTATATAGTCAGTCCCTTCCCACTACTCAGACCTCAGCTGAAAATCATCTACTCAGTGCTGCCTTCTTTGACCACCTTCTAGAAAATAGCTTCATGGAAGCCAGGTTAAAGGTACATAGGACCTCTCTGTACTCTTTCTGCAGCTTTTCTCTACATTTAAAATTGGTTCAAAATAAAACATTTTAAAAAGGAAAGAAAAGAACCCTTTAGCTTGATGTATTGAGGAAAAGCAAGGTTAGAATGCCTGACATAGAGAAAGAGAAAGAGTGCGAAGAGATGCTGCTTAGAATCAGGGCAGGGGCAGGCCATGCAGCCACTGCTCCCGCCCCCCACCAGGAGCTTGGATTTTATTCTCAAAGGGGTCTCAAGCCAGGCAGCTCTGAAGCACATCAGCAATTGCCCATAGGACTGTCCTGTAGAGGAGGAATTAGATTTATCCTGTGTAATCCCTGGAATCCAGGATGGACTTGATGGGGAGGCAGATATGGATCTGTGTAGAAAGAATGTTCCAACACCTAAAGACAGAAGAGGAGGTAATGAGCCCTCTTCCTTTGAGCTGGGCAACTTGAAGCTAAGGGAGTGCTTGTTGGAGAGAACATTCAGGGAACTCAGTATCCAGGACAAACTCTGCTACTCTAAGACCACCTGTGTCCCCAGAAAAGCCAGCCAGGTGAGGGGGGGATGCTGATCTTCCATTTCTGCAACATCCAGGGGGTGGTGACCCAGGGTCCCCTGCTTGTTGTCCTAAGTACCTCCATTACAACCACCTCCAGAGCATCCTCAGTCTCTGGAGCCACTGCTGGGCAGACGTCAAGGGCTGCAAACTGCTGGTGTGCATTACAACAATTGGCCAAGTAGCAACTGCTATCTTTAGATGGGGAATGGGGTCTCCTGTTCACTCCAAGTCCCATCACCCCTTAACCACCAACAGGCAAGTGACACAGAATCTGAGGCTCCAACCCCAGCTCTACTGCCTTCTAGTTGTGTTACCTTGGCCAAGTGACTCCATTGTTCTGTGCCTCAGTTTCCTCATCTGTAAAACAAGGATCATGGTACCCACGGCATCGGGGCTATCATGAGGATTGCTTGAGTTAAGATACATACAAGCATTCAGAGCAGTGGCTGGAAAATAATAATAGTGTTAACAATTCCTATTATTGACCAGGCGTGGTGGTTCACGCCTTTAATCTCAGCACTTTGGGAGGCCGAGGCAGGCGGATCACTTGAGGTCAGGAGTTCGAGACCAGCTTGGCCAACATGGTGAAACCCCGTCTCTACTAAAAATACAAAAATCAGCCAGACGTGGTGGTGGGCGCCTGTAATCCCAGCTACTTGGGAGGCTGAGGCAGGAGAATCACTTGAGCCTGGGAGACGGAGGTTGCCGTGAGCTGAGATTGCACCACTGCACTCCAGCCTGAGTGACAGAGCGAGACCCTGTCTCAAAACAAAACAAAGAAACAATTTCTACTGTTATGCGCCTTCGCGTAGGCACAGCATCATCAGCTGGATTTGCTGCTGTGCTGACTCCCTAACCCCTAACCTACTTCCTTCTGTGCATAAGCTGCCTGGTTCCTGGCATTGGTTGAGTTTGCAAGCCCAGGAGGGTGCCTTCTTGAGTCTGTCTAGATCACATAGGAAAGAAAAACCCAGAGCAGAGCACTAAATAAACCTGGACAGTTAACCAGCCCCAACTCTGCCTGCAAGTGTAGACAGGACAGTGCCCCCAGACTCCCCTCTCCAGCTCCAAGTCTCCCATTTCTAGCGGCATCTGCAGACCTCCCACATGGCAGCCAGTGCCCACCAGAGGCACTTTGCACAAAGAAGACATTTCTCAGCTAATCTTTATTCTAATTTCTGAAAGAACAGGCCAGGCAACCTAGATAGTCATTAGCACTGAAGAAAGAAACATCTCATCCCAGCTCCTAACCCCTCAGACTTAGCTGAAAAATGACAGCAGCCTCTGGCAACTTCACTCATTTGAGCTGGAAGAAAAGATCTTTGTGCCTCCCTCGCGAGGGTTCGCGACCTCTTGTGCGGTTCCCAGTTTAGAGAATTTGCCCCGTTGAAGCCTTGCTGGCTCAGTCTCTTCCAGGAAGTAGTAGCTGAGCCCCTCTGAGCCCGGGTGCAGGAAGCGCCTCCTCAATGCAGCACAAGAAACCCAGGAAGCCCAGCACCACCTCTGGGGCCCACAGGAACACTTTTCCCCTGTTCCTCGCCTTCAAGGCAGAAGGCAGCGTTACCTTGCAAACCAGGCTTCTGAGCAAGAAGGAAAGAAAGAGCCTCCCATCTGCTGCCTAGAGTTGGTACCGAATCTCGGCAAAACCTCCAATTACTCTGGAGGAGCCATCGCTGCTGATCTTTGTCAAAATCTCCACATTCCAAGAAGGTGAGCCCTCGTTACTGTTTCCAGACGCCCACACAGAAGTCAAGGCCGGTTTGCATAGGACTGGAGGCTGGGACGTGGCAGCCTGCACCTCGAATTGGAGCAAGACTTTCACAGAAACAAAACGTAATCAAGTCCCCTGCACACACTCAGCTAAGCTCTCTGCACACAGGTATACATGAGTTCGCACGCCGCCCAGGCAGGTGCTGGATGACAAGAACAGAGACCAAAAAAGATGCACTGATCCTGGGGATGATGATTTGAGTTCAATCTGTATTTGCTGAAAGCCCATCATGTGCCAGAAGACAGAGACACAAAGAGATGTCCTGACAGAGAGGACGGCTGGCCAGACACTTTGGCGACACACAGGACCGGCTAGGTCATATGCGGGGCCCGGTGCAAAATGAAAAGGCAGGGAGCCTTTGGTCAAAAAGTATTAAGAATTTCAAGAGCATGACACAAAGTTTGGGGTCCTTCTGAGCATAGCATCCCCTGCAACTGCTCCAGTCCCATGTCCGTGAAGCCAGCCTGGGTTGCATGTGGCAGAAAATTAACCCAAACCAATGGAGGGAGGGGGGGAGGGGAGGGAAGGGGAGGGGAGAGGGGTAAGGGGTGAAAGGAAAGGTGGGGGAGGAGAGGGGAGGGGAAAGGAGAGGGGAGAGGGAAAGGGGAGGGGAGGGCAAAAGGGGAGGGGAGGGGAAAGGAGAGGGGAGGGGGAAACGGGAGGGGAGGGGGAAATGGGAGGGGGTGGGAAATGAAGGAAGGGAGAGAGAAAGGGAAGGAGGAAGGGAGGAAGGGAAAAAAGGAAGAGAGAAAGAAGGGAGGAAGGAAGGGAAGAAGAGGAGAGGAGAGAGGATGGAAAGAAGGAATAAAAGAGTTAAAGAGCAAGGAGGCATCAAGAAAGAAAGGAAAGGAAAAGGAAAAGAGAAATATGTGCATCATATAACTAACCATCTAGGAATTGCGTCTATCTGACTGGACACAGATTCAAATCATTCTCAAAACCAAGGTTTACTGACCCTTGCTAGGTGTCAGCCACTGTTCTAAGGGATTTACATGTATTGACTCACTTACTCATCATCACGAGCCCCTGACCTAGGTATTTCTATGTCCCCATTTTTAAGATGAGGAAACTGAGGCACAGAAAGGTTAGGCAGCTTGCCCCAAGATTCCAGATTCAGTACGCAGCCAAGCCAGGATTCAAACCCAGGCACTCGCACTCCCAGCTCACACGAGGGGTGTCCAATAAAAATTATGCACACGGTCCACATCCTGAGCATGTGCAGGCTTCCAGGAAAGCAGGTGCTTTGGTAGACACATCCAGCACCAGTTGTCTGTGGAGGCAGAAGGGTTAAAGGAAGAGCTCTCCATTGGTTTAGGGTATATTCATTAGGGATGGCCCATTCTAGACACCCTCATCCCCATCCTGTGTCCTTTCATAACTCCTCAATAGCACAGAAGACAGCAGGATGGGGAAATGGCCACAGTATACAGAGCCCACTGTGCCAACTCTGAATTCACACCTGAATCCTGACAGATTTCTGCAAGGTGAAACCTGTAGGAACAGCTCTCACGGTGAGTACATTTTAGACATTTCTCAGTGACTGTCCCTGAGTGGAATGCAACCATCCAGATACATTAGCTGTGCCATCCATCAGCCCAGCAGGCTCCAGAAGCAGAGGCCAACTTCCTCAGAGATGGTGGCGCTCAGCCTGGGTCTCTCCAGAGGACGCTGGGACATCTACCCAAGGGTCCTCAGAGGGCCACCCCAGCAACAGATCTTTTCATTCTTAATGTGAATTTCTTGCTAACCTTTAAAAATGGGGAGTTCAAGCCCAGGCATCTTGAAGAAACGGCTGAGCCCATGTCCAGAGCAAGACATGTACCAGATGAATCTGGAGGATCTTGTGCCAAGAAGTAGGAAAATGCTTTTACTGATGGGGATGCATCAAAAGGACATGCGAGGCAGCTGGAAGGAGCGCCTGCTGGGCAACGATGGGATGATTTAGAGCATCCAAACAACTAATGACTCAATGGGTTGAAACCCATCAAATATACTAAAATTCATGGGCTCACAGTGATACTAACAATGGAGCATATGGAGAGTCTATCGGGCTGAATTTCCAGCTTCTCTTGAAAAACTGGAAGATCTGACAGCATTAGACCTATACTCTCATATGATGACAGTTGGCTGGAGCTGGGAGCAGCTGTCCCTTGTAGGCAGAGCACAGGCTTTCCACTTTGCCACAGTCCCCACCACTCCCTATTACTGCACTGGAGAGAGCGTGCTCATTGTTTGTATATGAGCACCTGCTTCACTCCTTTATGCCATGTACTTCCTACTTCAGTCTCAAATATCCTTCTGATCTGGAACATCTCTCATCTAGCAGTTCCTGGAGGTCAGATCTGGCCTAGCTTCTCTAGGCTGCTTCCAAAAGGCCCATGATCAGAAGGAAATATCATGCTACTGAAAAAAGATGGACCACATTCCCCACCCAACCTCCCTGCCCCTGCCACACATCCTCTGGCCTGCCCGCTGTCTGCCCTGTTTGGTTGGGGTTCTGTGCAGAGGCATAGTGGGCTATGATTTGCATTTTCAAAGGCTCATTCTGGCTCCTCGATGAGAATAGACTGGAAAGAGATAAGCATGAGAGAAGCAAGATGCTAGAAGCAGCTTCCGCAGATTCCAGGAATGAGATCATGGGGCTTGGATCAGGGTGGAAGAGAGAAGATGGGCCAGAACCCTGGGAGTTCAAAGCTAGAGGTGGCGACTCACTGATTGATAGGATGTGGGATGTAAAAGGAAGAGAGAAGCTGGGATGACGCCAGAGTTTTCAACCTGAGCAAACTGGAAGGATGGAATTGCCGTCAGCTGCCACGTGTGTTCTGGGAAAGTATGACTTTCATGTCTGTTTAAATTAATTGAAATCCCAATTAACTTTGATTTAAAATCACCATTCCCAAGCAGCAGTTGCCTGCCTCCCCTCATAACCCAGAATCAAAATGGCACCGCTCTTGTAACGGTGACCCGGTTTCTCTATGACTAACAAACAGGGATGCCAAACGGGTTGAGTGCCAGTGAGCCAGGAGCATCCGTAAGAAAGAATCTCCCTTTAAAGGGCCACTGCTGCAGGATTCTTCTGCAAACCCCAGTACACACCCACCTTTTGTCATGCTCAATTATGTCTAAGAAGATGTGAACAGTGTATCAGCCCATCTTCCTAAAATAGCCCAGAAGAGCAAGCAGGAAATATTCCACCCCAAAAGGTCTTTCACTGAAGAGTTGGGAAGCTCCGGGAACAGGTGCATATAATTGAACAGCCTCGGACACCAGTACTCAGTGATGGGCCACTTGATGTGACATCGTATTTGATTTCTATAATTGCTCAGCCTGTGCCTTGAGTCAAGGAGACATCCTAAAACTGTTTCTCACATCGACACACCCGTTAGCAGATGAAAGGGAGGTGCCCTCCCAAAGCCTCTAAATGTACTGTGCCTCTCATTGTTCAGTAAGACCCAGAACTACCGTGGGGGTGTTGTTGGGGGGGAGGTCAAAGTGTTTCTCTGCGTGGCTGGCTACGGTTGCCATGGTAACCAGAGGCCTACCAGAGGAAGCAGCCACTGAGAGACAGCCCCACGGGGGACCCGTGGCTGGGAGCTTTCCGAGTAGAGAAGTCTTACCTCCCTGGGGTAGGGAGTGGTTAGGTAGACTTGAAGAGGGCAGTCTAACTTATAGGCCTGGGTTCAAGCCCAAGTTTCCCTGCTGATTAACTGTGTGAACCCTGGAGCTTACTCAAGAGCTCTGCACCTCAGCTTCCTCAACTGTAAAATGGGAGGGACCATGGGTGTAGTGGGGATCTAAGGAGACAGGCAGTGTGCCTAGCAAACA
The DNA here is from genome assembly GCF_000001405.40 of Homo sapiens. Classification (NCBI taxonomy): domain Eukaryota; kingdom Metazoa; phylum Chordata; class Mammalia; order Primates; family Hominidae; genus Homo; species Homo sapiens. The sequence continues at coordinate 125,310,385 of NC_000012.12, read as the reverse complement.
GGAGCCCTCAACAATCCTGCTATAATTCCCAGCCACCATCCACACCACCACCTCTGTCCGGGTCTCCCACAAGCCATGCCACTGCCCACCAGGAGATCTGGCTGGACACGTGTGCAGGAAGAGCTGCTTTGCACAGCTTGTGGTGGATGGTGTCTTCCAGAGGGTCACACCAGTAGATCCATCTCACATGACATTCCTTCCTACAGGGATGGGCCAATGTCCCTTCCCTTTGAGTCTGGGTGGGCCTGGGACTACAGTGAAAGGGACTCCATGGGCCTTGTGAGGCAGTCATAAAAGGAAATGCAGCTCCTGCCTGGTCCTCTTGGGACGCTCACCCTTGCAACCAGCTGCCATATTGCAAGGAAGCCAGGCAGCCACAGGAAGGGGCTCATGGAGGTGTTCCAGCCACAGCCAAGCTGTGATCCCAGCAGACAGCAGCATCAACCCCCAGACATTCGAGTGAGCCCTGAGATGACTCCTTTGAGCTGCCTAGGATGATGACAACAAGTGGACCAAAGACAGCTGTTCCTGCCACACCCTGTCCCAATTCTAAACTAGTGAGCAAAATAAATGCCATTGTTCTTTTAAGTCACCAGGTCTTGGGGTAGTTTGTTATGCAGCAATTGATCATAAGAACACAACTCCTAGAAATTTTAATTTTGAGCCTCACTCTAACAGCTCACTATAAAATTCCTTGAGGGCTCAGCCAGAGGACAGACTTTGCCAAGGAAGCACATCTCCGTTAGCTCTTCAGTGATGAACCTGGAGGGGAAGCAGAAGTGCTGATTTTTGCCTGTTGTATTGTCCATTTCCCCCGAGAATGGAAATTCCAAGAGGACAAACACCACATCTGAGTTTTCCCTGCCTAGGACAGAGCCTGGCACATAGTAGGTGCTCAGAAAATATCGGTCAAATGAATGAGAACATCAGATACAAAAAGAACCAAATAATTAAGATTCTAAAGTGTGGGAATGAATGTTTTCACCTGATGTGTACTAGTAGTAACCACAATAACCAAACTAATAAAAGCAAGCTGCAAAGATCTAATCTTACTACCCCTAAAAGAACAAACATCTGGCAGGTAGAGGAAGGCAGATAAAGTGATATTTTTCTTTTCAAGGCTGCTTCTGAGTCTATGAAAAGATAAAGAGCATCTTATTCCAAATAGCATATAAAATTGAAGCATTATTAAAATATATAACAAAGAATCTGAATGTCTCCTGACCACAATGTTCAGTTTAGGATTAGTCATAATAGCAGAGAACTAGAATCAGTTTACAAGCCCATCAGGTGGAGAAGAGCTAAATAAATCATGACATGATGGAATATTACACAGCAGGTAAAAAGATTGAGGTAAGTGTAAATGTGCTAACATGGTTAGGTCTACAGAATATATTGTTGGCTGAAAAAAAGCAAGTTGCAGAATACTATATCAATATAACATTTAAATGAAAAATTAAATGCACAAGAATAATATATTGTTCATGGTTCCATATATAAGGAAAAATATAAAAACATTAAATTCATGATCATATTTGCCTCTGGGAGAGGGGATGGAATTGAGGATGGTGCAAAAGAGAACTTCAATGTTTTCTGTAATGTTTGGGTCCTTTTTTTTACAAAATAATAAAAGACCTGCTGCAAAAGTGACAAAATGTGAACAGCTGACATTTCTAGGTGTGGAATACACTGATATTTGTTATGTTACTCTTTGTACTTTTCACTTTTTTTATTCCTCAAAATAAAAATTACAATTAAAAAAAAAGAAAGGTTTTTCACATCCTGCTAGTAGAATTGTAATTGGCAACCACATTTTAAAGCACAATGTGCAATAATTTATTAAAATGGCAAATGCATAACCCCTTGAGCCCAGCAATCTCATGTCTTAATATTCACCCTGGAGAAAGGCTAAGCACTCAGTCAGATAACAGGATATTAGCCAAGCATTGCTCATAATGGAAGACACTTGGAGACAGCTTAGATGTCCACAAGTGGGGAATAGCTAAGGTGTCCAGAGCAGTTCCATATTCCAGAACAATATACAGCAGCAGCAAAGAACAGAGTGGATGACATCTATGAAGTGGTGTGAAACCATCTTCAGGATGCATTGTTGAGGGAAAATAGGCAAGTTGCAAAAATATTATGTAAAGTATATCTTTTTTAAAATACTGTATTTTTCTACAGGTGAATATATATGTATACACATATATATAACTATATATATACTTATACTATATATAGTATATGTATATACTTATGTGTATATATATACTTGTAATATACTTGTATTGTAAGTATATATACTTATAATATACTTGTATTATACATATATACATATATTACAAGTATATATACTTGTATTACTTATATATACTTATATTACTTATATATATTTATATTACTTAATATACTTATATTACTTAATATATATATACTTGTAATATAAGTATATATTAAGTAATATAAGTATATATACTTAATATATATATTTAGTAATATAAGTATATAAGTAATATAAGTATATATAAATATATAAGTATATATTAATATAAGTATATATACTTATAAGTATTATAAGTATATATACTTGTAATATACTTGTATTATAAGTATATATACTTGCAATATAAGTATATATACTTATATTACAAGTATACACATAGACATGATCTGAAATAAAGAAAATAAAGGTGTAATAACTGTGGTTACCTCTGGAGAGAAAGTAGAGAGAGACGTGGGGCTTGGGATGCTGATCACAACAGACTTTAGCCCTATTTGTAATGTTTTCATTTTCACACAGATAAACAGTAATAATAATAATAGCACACCCTATCTCGCTTTTCTGATTTGCACTGTTCTAAGTGCTTTCCATGCATTCATTCATTCATTCAATCCAACAACGGTCCTAAGAGGTTGAGTGCTATTATTATTCCTATTTTACAGGAAGGATCCCAAAGTACAGAGAGGTTAAGAAAATCACTTAAATCAAAAAGAATCACAACCATACAGACTGAAACACATTAGTCGTATTTAAATCCATGGGTTTGTCATGATACTGCACGAAACCTTCCTGAGTGTCTACACCATTCATTCACTTATTCAAAAATGAGCCCTCTCTATGTGCCGGACAGAATCCCTGGTCTTGTGGAGCTGATGGGTTTAGTGGGAAAAAGAAAGACCACCAATGAAATAAATAATAACATGCATAGGATTCTAGACAGCTGCAAATGACATGGAGAAAAATGAAGAAGGATAAGCAACACTGGAGTGGACTCCAAGTGGTTGCAGTGTTAAGTAGGAAGCCAAGAACCTCCTCAGGCCAAGGGCCACCATCATAAAGGTCTAAAGAGGTAGGAGCACAGAAAGGGAAAGGAGGAGGTCCCAAGAAGAGGAAATAGGTGCAAAGTCCCTGTGGCAGGAGCATGCCCAGGGTGTTTCCAAGGCTAGCAGGAGGCCAGTGTGGCCAGACTGGAGCAAGTAAACAGACAGGAAGTCATAGAGGTAATGGGAATGACCAATTATTTAGAGCATTCTGATCAACTTGAAGGACACTGGCTTTTACTTGGAATGAGATGGACATCACTGGGGCATTTTGAGCAGAGGAAGAACATGGTGCAATTGACATGCAGCAAAGCTGCTTTGGTTGTTGTGGGAAGAAAGGATTGAGAAGGGACAAAGGAGGAGGCCACTGCAATGGTCCAGGCAAGCAACAATAATGGCTGGGAGCAGTGAAGGGAAGGAGAAGGAGTTAATTTCTGAATATATTTGGAAGACAGAGCCACAAGATTTGCTGAGGCTTGGAAGGAATTAGAGGGGAAGAATCAGGGATGCTCTAGGTTTTTTAGCCTGAGAAGCTAGAAGGATGGAATTGCCATCAGCAGTAGGGAAGGCTGTGGGAGGAACAGATTCAGGGCAAAGGTGGGAAGTATGGTTTTGGGCCAGGTGAGTATGAGATACCAATGAGACGTCCAGGTAGAGATGTCATGTAGACAGTCAGAGAAAGACGTCTGGAGCCCAGGGGAGAAGTCCTGGCTGGAGATAGATTGAATAAGCTTCATCTGCCATCTGCTAAAACCTGAGGCTCCAAGAGCTAAATGTGGCCGGCAGGTGTGTTGTGTTAAGCCTGCATAATATTTTTTAATTTAGATTTATTTCCCACATTTGTCGTAAGAGTCCAGATTTCCAGTCATGGTTGGAAAATTAGACAATCTGCCAACTTTAGACTCCAGTTCCTGGTTGGAGATGGGCAGTGTCCACCTCCTTGGACCAGGCAGCCAACCAAAGCTTCCAGTTGGCCAGCTAAGCTTATCACCTTACCTGCCTGGCCCCCTGGGGCCTATCGGTAACATTCCTGGCACAAGACTCTAAGAAATGAATCTCCACTTAGACAACAGCTGTAGCACAAAGCTAGTGAAGCCTGGAACTTCTGACTTTTCCTCCTTCTCTACCCAAAAAGCTCATTACAAGGATCTCGCAGACAAAATAACCTAGCATGATCTCTAACTTCACTGGAGTACAGAGTTGTTAAACATACCCAGCAATAGAGAAAGATGGAAACTCAACGTCAGCCAGGTGGGAAGCAACACGAACAGTCCATCTGGCTCTCATTTCCCTAAATCAAGATTTCCTTGTCTTTTAAACTTAGAGATCTCCAACAAAACAATAATAAATCACAGCAAAGTGTTAGGAGGTTTTCTTTGCCATCCCACAAAGCATGTATTTCCATTACCTGTCCCAGATTGGCCAAACGAAGACCAATGTATCTATAAAACGCAATGACATGTTAATACAAACCTTAGAAAAGATAAAATGCTTTTTATCTCCATCTTAGGAAAACCTAATAAAGAATTAACTGTCCGCGATGCCATGGAATTTCACTCAAGGCTTTACTTTATGCCAGGACTTCTTAGATCATTAACTTTTAACAGACAGCCTTCCCCCCCCTACCCTGGGCTTTGGACATGTGGCTGCCATCTCACACTACACTGATAAGCCATTAAAATTGGACTCCCACTTCCCATCAGAACTTTAGTTACGAGCTCCGGCTGATGCCTCCTCATGACAGCAAATCCCAGCATGAATCTCGTATGTCAAGGTTTGCAGCTAAAAGGTCTCAGCAGTATTTACTCACACAGGTCTCTTATTGCTGAATGGGAACCCCTGAATCTAAACTGTCGCCCACGTCTGATCTCCATGATGGCACTCCTGAAGAAGTTGTAGGAGACGGGTTGAAAAGAAGGCAACTGATATTTGTAAGGCTTCAGAAGTGTACCAACATATTCAGAGTAGCTGGGGAGTTCTCCAATCCATGACAAGGAGTGCCCAACCTCCCCAGGGGAGTTAAAAAGTAACAAGTCTAATATCCTGAAACAGCAAAGCAAATGTCTTACTTCCAACAAGACGATGGCTCCAATAGTGATTACCAGAGAGAACAATGACCTCCCAACACTCAGGAAAAAGCTCACCAGTGCTATGCTAAGAATGTGTCAATACCTGCACTACGAATGTGAAGCAGCAGCAAAGAAGAAAAGATTTTTTTTTTTAGAAATGGGGTCTCACTATGTTGCCCAGGCTGGAGTGCAGTGGCTATTCACAGGCGCAGACATGGTGCACTACAGCCTTGAACTCCCTGCCTCAAGAGATTCTCCCTCCTCAGCCCCCCAAGTAGTTGGGACTACAGGCAAGCAGCACCATGCCTTGCTAAAGAAGAAAATTTTTAAACACTAGTTCCTGGTGTTTGGAAAACTGGATATCCACATGCAAAATAATGAAGCTGGACCTTTATACCTTATACCATACACCAAAACTGTCTCAAGATGTATTAGAGACTTAACTAAAAGAGCTAAAACTATAAATTCCTAGAAGAAAACCTAAGGGCAAAATCTTCATGATCTTTCAAGGGTGTTATATTTATGAAGTCATTGCAAAATCCATGAAGGACAAATCTTCATGGATTTTGCAATCATTTCATAAATATAACCAAAAAAATAAAAGCAACCAAAATAAATAAATTGGACTTCTTAAAAATAAAATTTTTGTGCATTAAAGCAGGGGTCCCCAAACCCTGGGCTGTGGACCAGTACCAGTCCGTGACCTGTTTGGCCACAAAGCAGGAGGAAAGCCCGGCCAGTGGGCAAGCGAAGCTTCATCTGTGTTTACCGCCGCTCCCCATCGCTCACGTTACCACCTGAGCTCCGCCTCCTGTCAGATCATCAGTGGCATTAGATTCTCATAGGAGCACAAACCCTATTGTGAACTGCGCATGCGAGGGATCTAGGTTGTGTGCTCCTTATAAGAATCTAACTAATGCCTGATTTGAGGTGGAACAGTTTTATCCCAAAACAATCCCCCATCACTGTCTATGGAAAAATTATCTTCCATGAAACCAGTCCCTGGTGCCAAAAATGTTGGGGACTGCTACATTGGAGGACACTATACCAAGAGAGTGAAAAGACAGCTCACAGAATGGGAGAAAATATCTTCAAATTCCTATGTGATAAGGGTTTACTATCCAGAGAATAGAAACTTCTACAACTTAGCAACAAAAAGACAAACAACCCAATTAAAAAATGAGCAAAAGACTTGAATAGACATTTCTCCACAGAAGATATACAAATGGCAAATAAGCACATAAAAAATTCTCAACGTCATTATTCATTAAGGAAATGCAAATCAAAGCCACAATGAGATACCACTTCACACTCACTAGGATAGCTACAATTTTTTAAAGGGAAAATAATGTCTGGGAAAATACATGGAGAAATTGGAACCCTTACAGATTGCTGGCGAAAATATAAAATGGTGCAGCTGCTGTAGGAAACAGTTTGGCAGTTGATCAAAAAGTTAAGCATAGAATTACCATACGATCCAGCAATTCCACTCACAGCTATAGACCCTAAAGATCTGAAAACAGATATTCAAAGATACTTGGCCATGAATGCTCACAGCAGCATCACTCATAGTATCCAAAAAGTGGAAACAGCCCAAATGTCTATCAACAGATGAAAGAATAAACAAATGTGATCTATCCACACAATGGAATATTATAAAAAGGAATGAAGTTCTGATAGATGCTGTAACACGCATGAGCCTGGAAAACATTATGTTAAATATAGGAAGCCGGACACTAAAGGACAAATATTGTGTGACTCCACTTACATATGAAATATCTAGAATAGGCAAAGTTATAGAGACAAAAAGTAGATTTGAGGTTATCAGAGGCTGGCAGGAGGGGAGAAATGAGGAGTTTTTGCTTAATAGATACAGAATTCCCTTCTGTTTTTTTTTTAATATGCAGAGTCTCGCTCTGTCCCCAGGCTGGAGTGCAGTGGTGCGATCTCAGCTCACTGCAACCTCTGCCTCCTGGGTTCAAGCGATTCTCCTGCCTCAGCCTCCTGAGTAGCTGGGATTACAGGTGCCTGCCATCATGCCTGGCTAATTTTTGTATTTTTAGTAGAGACGGGATTTCACCATGTTGGCCAGGCTGGTCTCGATCTCCTAACCTCAAGTGATCCGCCCACCTCGGCCTTCCAAAGTGCTGGGATTACAGGCATGAGCCACCGCACCCAGCCTGCTTAATGGATATAGTTTCTATTTCAGATGATTAAAAATTTTGGAACTAGACAGAGGTGATTGTTGCATTTCATGGTGAATGCAATTAATGCTACTGAATTACACTTAAAAATGGTTAAAGTGGCAAATTTTATGTATATTACAAAAATAAATTTTAAAGAAGGGGGAAAACACCTTTTGCCCTCTTTGCAAGCACCGAAAATCCAGAGTCCCATCCCAGACTTTAGATTCGGGCAGGCCTGGGTTCAAATCCAGCTCTGCCAGTTATAGATTGTGTGTCTGTACTGGCTATCCCTTTCCACAATAGTGCTGTATAACGAACAACCCCAAAACTCAGTGGCTTAGAGCAGTAAGCATTTGTCTAACACATCCCTCTGCAGGTTGATGATTCCACCTGGGCTCACTGGACAGTTCTTTTAGTCTCAGCCAGGCTCACTTTTTTTTTTTTTTAGACAGGATCTGATTCTTTCACCCAGGCTGGAGTGCAGTGGCATGATCTCAGCTCACTACAGCCTCCACCTCCTGGGATCAGGTGATCCTCCCACCTCAGCCTCCCTAGTAGCTGGGACCACAGGAGAGCACCACCATGCCTAATTTTTTTTTTAATTTATTTTTGAGACAGAGTCTCCCTCTGTCGCCAGCCTGGAGTGCAGCAGCACAATCTCAGCTCACTGCAACCTCCGCCTCCCAGGTTCAAGCAATTCTCTTGCCTCAGCCTCCTGAGTAGCTGGGATTACAGGCACGTGCCACTGCACCTGACTAACTTTTTATTTTTAGTAGAGACAGGGTTTCACCATGTTGGTCAGGCTGGTCTCGAACTCTTTGACCTCATGATCCATCCACCTCGGTCTCCTAAAGTGCTGGGATTACAGGCATGAGCCACCGCACCCAGCCAATTTTTTCTTTTTTTGTTTTGTTTTGTTTTGTTTTGTTTTGAGACGGAGTCTCGCTCTGTCGCCCAGACTGGAGTGCAGTGGCATGATCTCAGCTCACTGCAAGCTCCACCTCCCGGGTTCACGCCATTCTCCTGCCTCAGCCTCCCGAATAGCTGGGACTACCGGTGCCCGCCACCACGCCCGGCTACTTTTTTGTATTTTTTAGTAGAGATAGGGTTTCACCACGTTAGCCAGGATGGTCTCGATCTCCTGACCTCGTGATCCACCTGCCTCAGCCTCCCAAAGTGCTGGAATTACAGGCATGAGCCACCGCGCCCAGCCAGACTCACTTAAATATCCGGGGCTCTACTAGCTCTTGGCTCATCTAGACTGGCCTTGGTGGCACGACTCGGATCTTCTCCACTTGCCTTCCATCCTCCGGTAGCTTGGGTGTGTTCTCCTCATGGCTGCAGACAGCATGAGGCAAAGAGGAAACACAGAGGGTCTTCAGAGCTGGGCACAGGGCTGGTGCACGGGCCATCCCCCTGAATTCTAGTGGCCAAAGCAAGGCACGAGCCCTGCTCAGATTCAAGGGGTAGAGAAATAGACCCCGCCACTTTAGCAAAGTAATTCAGCCCTGAATGCAATCAAGCTCTGCCAGTGTCCTTTGACAACTCAGCACCTCCACATAGATCCCTCTATAAAATGAAAAATACAGATCAGTGCGAGGATTCTGAGATAATCCACAGAAAGCAGGTAGCACTGAGCCTGACATATTATAATCCACTAACAAATGTCAGCTTTTATGAGATATTATCAGCCACTTAGGTCAAATGCTCGAAATTTCAACTAAAGAAATTTTTTAAATAAATACCAACATGTATACCAACATACATACATATATATATATACATATATATCTCCCAGAGTCACGTAGCAATGGAGGCAACCTCATAACATTCTCCTTTTGAATTATTTGTAAGTTATATGCCATGGGAACCCATCCTCAGAAGTCACCGAGAAAGCTGTCATCACAAAAGCACCCCAGTGCAGGCATAGTACAGGTAAGGCTGTTTGCAGGCAGCTGAAGGAACAAGGCTCGCCCAGTGCAGCACCTAAGTGTGTGGACTCTGGAGGCACAGTGGCCGGGGTTCAGATCCCAGCCATGCCCTTTGCCAGCTGTGTGGCCTCGGGCAAGTTACTCCACCTCTCTATGTCTTAGTTGCCTTATCTATAAAATGAGCTAATGACGGCTCCTCCTACCTCATGGAGTTGCTATGAGGATTAAATGAGTCAAGTCACCTGATGTGCTCAGAACAGGTCCTGGTATACAGTAGGCACTCTATAAATTGTAGTTATTATGACAAAGATGTTCCCCTTTGCTCAGACAGGGCCTTAGTGTTATCTAGGGCTGGGCGCAGGGTTGCAGTGACATGATCTCTGGATGTAGGCAGATAGGTAGGTGCCACTTCTCTAGGGCCACACACAGGGGCCAAGGTGCCATCTGATGCCACTTGGGGGCTGGCTCAGCTTCCCTACAGCCTCTGGCTCTGTCAGGGTGTCAGGTGGTCGGGCTGTAACAAGGGATATAAAGAACAAAAGAGACCAGGTGCAGTGGCACATGCCTGTAATCCCAATGCTTCGGGAGGCTGAAGTGGGAGGACTGCTTCAGGCCAGGAGTTGGAGACCACCCTGGGCAGCACAGCGAGACCTTATCTCTACATGTACCAAAAAAAAAAGAACAAAAGGGCAGGCTAAGAGGAAGGGCCGTGGCTGGGGTAGGGAGAGGGGTTCCTTTAGGTGGGGTGATCGTGAAGAAAGGGAGAGAGCAGGCCTGGAGGTATCTGGGGGAAGGTGTTGCAGGCAGCAAGCACAGCGAGTGCAAAGCCCCCGTGGCGGCCCACGCAGGGCGCATGGGAGGAACAGCTGGGAGCCAGACCCTGCAGGGCCTCAGGCCATGAGCAGGACTTGGGGTTCTTGCTCTGAGTGAGGAAGGAAGCCAGCAGGGAGTTGAGAGCAGGGAAATGGCATAATCTGATTGACAACTTACAGAACCCCACAAGCTCTGTGTGGACAGACAGCAGGGCAAGTGGGGGACGCAGGCCGGTCCAGGAGAGTGAACCAGGGTGGGAGGGGTCACTTAGACCAGGGTGAGAAGAGTACAGATTCTGGGCATCCTTTGGAGGAAGAGCCAGCAGGATCTGCTGGTGGATCAGACAGGATGTGAACACTGACACTGACGTGGTGACATGCGTCTGGAAAAGCGGTGACAAGGGTGGCCCCAGGGCTTTGGGTCTACACACTTGGAGCAATGAGGTGCTGCTTCTGGGATGGGGAGACCAAAGGATGCACAGGCTGCATGGGGCTAGAGGTGGCTCCTGAAGGCTCTAGGGAGCTCCTGAGCAGGTCAGGGAAGGGTGAAGCAGGCGCCATCAGCCCAGAGTCGGTCTGGAAGGCCGCAGACTGGAGGCAGCCATCCAAGGTATTGACATGGGAAGGGCTGGAGGACCAGGTCCTGGATCATTCCAGATGCCGAAGGTCAGGGAGATGGATGGGGAGCCACAATGGGGCTTGGGAGGAGCCGCCAGGGAGGCAGGAAGTAAGCCAGTGAGTGATGAGTCCCAGGGCCCAGGGAAGAGCAGATCCAGGAGGGAGGGAGAAAGGAACAGACCCGAGTGTTGGAGAGACAGTGGGGTGACTTTGACAAGAGCTGCTGCATAGTACAGTGGGGGGTACAGCCTCATAAAAGCGGGTTCAAGAGAGAACAAGGTAAAAGAATGGATGGCAGCAGAGCGCCAGGGTGCACACCTGTATAGTCCCAGCTATGCAGGAGGATCGCTTGAGCCCGGAGTTTGAGGCCAGCCTGGGCAACACAGCAAGACCTCATCTCTAAAAAACAAGTGATGGGCCGGGCGTGGTGGCTCACGCCTGTAATCCCAGCACTTTGGGAGGCCGAGGCAGGCAGATCACGAGGTCAGGAGATTGAGACCATCCCGGCTAACACGGTGAAACCCCGTCTCTACTAAAAATACAAAAAATTAGCCGTGCGTGGTGGCGGGCGCCTGTAGTCCCAGCTACTCGGGAGGCTGAGGCAGGAGAATGGCATGAACCCAGGAGGCAGAGCTTGCAGTGAGCCGAGATCGCGCCACGGCACTCCAGCCTGGGTGACAGAGAGAGACCCCGTCTCAAAAATAAAAAGAAAAAAAAGAAAAAAGAAAAATAAGTGATGGGAGGGAGTAGATGTAACACTTTTTTTTTTTTTTTTGAGACAGAGTCTCACTCTGTCGCCCCGGCTGGAGTGCAGTGACGCGATCTCGGCTCACTGCAAACTCTGCCTCCCGGGTTCAAGTGATTCTCCTGCCTCAGCCTCCCGAGCAGCTGGGATTACAGGCACCTGCCACCACACCAAGCTAATTTTTGTATTTTTGTTTGAGACGGGGTTTCACCACGTTGGCCAGGCTGCTCTCGAACCCCTGATCTCAGGTGATCCGCCAACCTCAGCCTCCCAAAGTGCTGGGATTACAGGTGTAAGCCACCATGCCCTGCCGATGTAACACTCTTGAGGAACGTTTCCTACAAAATGGAGTAGAGAAACTGGCAGTAGCTGCTGGGTGGGTGGGAGGGAGATGGACTGGTCAATGGTATTGGGGTTTTTTTGTTTTCATTTTGTTTTGTTTTGTTGTGTTTTGGAGACAGGGTCTCACTCTGTCTCCCAAGCTGGAGTGCAGTGGCGCAATCATGGCTCACTGCAGCCTAGAATCCTTGCTCAAGTGATCCACCTCAGCCTCCACAGTAGCTGGGAACACAGGCTCGCGCCACCTTGCCCAACTGATTTTTAACTTTTTTGTAGAGATGGGGTGGCCTCACTATGTTGCCCAGACTGGTCTCGAACTCCTGGGCTCAAGTGATCCTCTTGCCTCAGGCTCCAAAAACACTGGGATTACAAGCATGAGCCATCATGCCAAGCCTAAAGGTATTTCTTAGGAGGCGAGCATGCTTGTTTACTGTTGGGAATGGTCCAGCGGAGAAAGGAGCGTGGATAATGTGGGAGAAAGAGAGAGGAGGAAGAACCACAGCAGAGTGAAGGAGTAGGCAGGAGGAAATGGGATGTAACCCATGAGCCACCCCAGGGCTCCCCCTTCATTTATGGGTCCACTCACTCCTAGAAGATCCTGTCCCTGTTCCTCCCAGGGCTCATGTTCCTCCAAATCACAGGTGGAGGTCTAGAGCACCAGCAGTCTGCTTGGCCAGCACCTGCACTGAACTGGGTGTGAATATTTAGGACCTCACCCTTGAGCATCTCAATTCTTGCTTCCACTTACCTAGCTGCAGGGAAGTGAGGTCCACCTTTTAGCCCCAGTATTGAGCGTAATGCCTGACACATCGTAGGTGCTCAATAAATGCTGATGGAATGAATCACCAGCAATAGGTGGCCGCTGAAGCGTGGTCCTGCTCTGCTTTCTAAAACTTGGAGGATGGATGGTGTTGGGAACAGCACTAAGCCAGAAGGCTGGCCATTTTCCCCAGGACGCTCCACACAGGGCACCCCAGGAGAAGGGCTTCTGGTGACAGTGGGCCAATAACAATGCTCAGAGGCCCATCCACACCTGTCACCCTATCACCTGTCAGGTCTACACCATGCAGCAGGGAGGTTGAAACATGTGCCACCGTGTGCCTGCCTCGGGACATGAGACGATCCCCTTCCAAGGGGAAAAAGGCTCCCTCCTCCTCCCATCCACCCTGTTGTCTCACTGGGTAGGAAAAGCCATCCAATGCTGACCCAGGCAGGACCCCCCCAAGGAAACCCAGAGTCTCTGGACCTGTGGCCAGCACAGCAACCTCCAGCTCCGTCACCCTCCCCTTAGCCTAGAGAACAGAGAGCCAGCAAGACCAAGACCATTCTTCCCACTGCTCTGCTCTCTCAGAAGGACGGATGGACGAGCTCACTCACAGCTGCTCGTGCAGACCTGTTAGGGACAAGCATGCATCTTCCACAGCAGCTGGGAATCTGCAGGCCTCCTGTGCACGGTTAAGAGATTACCAGGCCCCGGCTGTCAGTTTAACAGCTTTCCCCGGCTCCTTTTGCTGTAATCCCTAACGTAGCACAAGGAGCCTGAGGAGTCCTCCTGCCCAGACAGCCTGGTCCCAGTTCGGTGATTCTTCACACAGTGATAAAGGAGTGGGATGGAAAGACACTTTGCAGCCAATGCTCACTGGAGCATTCATTCACCCAGGTGACAGTTAGGAGCCCCCGCCAGGTGCTGGGTTCTATGCCGAGCATTTGAGATACGGCAGAGAAGCCATTCTTCCCCTCATGGGATGGATGTTCTTGTTGGGGGAGACCAACAGCAAATCATAAACAGAGCAAGTAGATTATCCAGTTTGTCAGAAGGTGATACAAGCAGTGGGGAACAGGGCAGGTGGTGCCCAATTGGCAGGTCACAGTGTGAAGCAGAGAGGTCCGGGAAGGCCATCCTGGGAGGCGGGATCTGGGCAGACAGTGTGAAGTAGAGAGGTCCCGGAAGGCCATCCTGGGAAGACGGGATCTGGGCAGAGACTTAAAAGGATGTGAGGGTGTTGGCCAAACAGATACCTGGGAAGCGCACTCCTGGCAAGGGAACAACGGGAACAAAAGCCCGGAGGTGGGAGGTGCCCGGTGGGTGGGAAGAAAAGTGAGGAGACAAGTGTGGCCAGAGCAGGGCATAGGCAGAAGGAGATGGGATCAGGAGAAGCCCAGGACCACGCTGTACTGGGCCGTGGGGCCACCATAAGGACTTCGGCTTTTATCGGAATGAGATAAGGTGTGCTTATGGATTCTGAGCAGAGGAAGGAGAGGATCAGACTCGGGTATCAGAAGGCTCCCTCTGACTTGGAGTGGCTGTGAATGTATAGTACAAACTCAAGGGCAACCTTTTCTTTTTTTAAGTGTAAAAAGAAATGTCATTGATACGTGAAGAGAGGAGAAAAAGCATACTCATATAAAGTGTTCAATTAAAATCAGAACCTGTTACTCTAAGTGCTACTATCAGCAAGAGCTATTTCGCCACAGTGCTAAGTGCCGCCTGATTGTGTTATGCATCGTTTTATTTAATCCTGGAGATGAACCTGTGAATAAGGCATCATTCTTGTTCCCATTCCACAGAAGGCAAAACTAAGGCTCTGTCTTGCCCAAGGCCCAGCCACCGATGCACAGTAGAGTCAGGTCTCAGACTCAAGTCCTGGCTTTAAGTACAACATGGTCTGCCTCCTACGCTTTGGGCAACATCTGTGATTTTGGCACACTATTGAGAATGAACTCAAAGGAGATGTCTAAGGAGATACAAGACATCATCACAACAAAGCAGCCTGCCCCAGACACCCAAGTCTGTCTGTCTCTGTCTCTGTCTCTGTCTCTGTCTCTCTCTCTCTCTCTCTCTCTCTCTCACACACACACACACAGGTTTCATGGAGGAGAGACAGCCGGCCTATGTGACCCACACTTCCCAGAGTCTCTCCTGTAAGCCACCACATACAGTGTTTCTGTTCCATCATTTCATGTCCACGTTCCCTTCCAGCTCCTGCCCCAACAGGCTGGATCCCTGTGTGAGTGGCCATAGGAGACGCTCACAGACCTTCCCTCGAACATCTCATAGATCCCTGGCTGGAAGAAGGGGCCCCACCCAGAGCTCTGTGGTTCTCCCACTCCCAGCCCAGCCACGGAGTGCTCTCCCAGGTGACTTGTCAGAACAGAAGCACAAGATAATTATCACACTAATGAGCTTTTTTTCCTTTTTAACTAACTGGCAACTTTAGTTCTCTTTGGTCATTTTGCTGTTTAATCATGGCTGACTCTCGTTAACTTTTGTTCACTTCCTTTTTGTGCTTTTTTTCTTCTGCAGCCTTTGCCTCTAGTAGAAAAACTGAAAATACAGAAAAGCTTAGAGTGGCTCACACATACACAATCCTACCACCCGCCGTTAAGGTTGTACATGCTTCCTGCATTTTTCTTTATGCATAGTTTCAATAAGTTGATATTTTATTGTATACACCACTTTCATTCTGCATTTTTTCTGCCACTTAGCATAAACACTTTCTCCTATTATTAAAAATTCTTTATACAATTATTTATAAAGACTACCTAATATGCCATGGCATGGCTCTTCCACAGATTTTCTCAATCATTCTCCTGCCTTAAATCAATATCATGTATACTGTGACCAGCAGGACTTCGGAGTCAGCAGACTGGCTGCTTACCACCTTGGGCAAGTGACAAGCTTTCTAAGCTTCAATTTCCACGTTTGTATGGTAGGGAATTGAGGTCATAATAACCTCAAAGTTTGTTGGGAAGATTCGTAGTTGATATATAGGCAGCTCTTACTGCAGTGCCTGGCACTTATTTAGACCTTCAGTGGCAGCCATAATTATTTTATCAAGGAACCATGTCCCCATCATTGGAAAACTAGGTTGTTTTAAATTTTCTACCATTATAAATAGTTCTGTGATGAACATCTCCATGCATAATGTTTAATCCACTTTTCCCATTTGAGATTATTTCCTTTTGATAGATTTCCAGCAGTGGAATTACCAGGTCCAACAGTGCATGAGTAACTCTTAAATCTCTACCAGGTCTGGCTTGTTGCATCTAACCAATATTGCCAGCAATGCAAGCATGCCTATTCCAGTTGTCTGCTGCCTAACACACCACCCCAAATGTAGTGGTATATAGGCAGTTATACAGAACAAAAGCCAGTTTATTATAGCTCACAGGAGCTTGGAAATGGGAATTCAGATCAGGCACAGAGGGCATGGGCTGTCTATGCTCACAGTGGTGGAGGCCTCAACAAAAGAGACTTCAGTGACAAGGCTGACTCTGAGGCTTGGGACTTCCTTCACCTGGAGGCTTTCTCACTCACAGGTCACCTCTAGGCTTGCTGGCTGCAAGGCTGGGTTCAGCTGTCAAACGGGGTGGCTTGGGCTTCCTCACAGCATGGCAGCTGGGCTCCAGGAGGAAAGTATCTCAAGAGGGAACATTCTAAGAGAACCAAGCTGCATGGCCTTTAGGGACATAGCTTTGGAAGCCACACAGTGCCACTCCATAGTTCAGAGCGGTTACAAGCCAGCCCCAATTCAGGGGGAGGGGACATAGACCCCCACACCTCTCAAGGGGTGGAATGTCAAAACTTTGTGACAGGTTTTTAAAACTGCTGCAATAAGCACTATTCACAATAGCAAATACATGGGATCAACCTAGGTGCCCATTAGTGGTGGACTGGATAAAGGAAACATGACGCATATACACCATGGAATATTACATAGCCATAAAAAAGAACAAAATCATGTCCTTTGCAGCAACATGGATGCAGCTAGAGGCCATTATCCTAAGCAAATTAATGCAGAAACAGAAACCAAATACTGCATGTTTTCACTTATAAGTGGGAGCTAAACACTGGGTAGACATGGACACAAAGATGAAAACAATAGACGCTGGGGCCTATTCAAGGGAGGAAGGAGAGGAACAATTGCTGAAAAACTACCTACTGGGTATTATGCTTAGAACCTGGGTGACAAGATCAATCGTACTCCAAACCTCAGCATCACACAACATACCCATGTAACAAACCTGCACAAGTACCCCCTGAATCTAAATGTTGAAATAAAAAATAAAGTTAAATAAAACTGCTGCAATACGCTTTACTAAGAATTGACTCAATAAAGTAATACAAGGGCAGCAGGTCCTCTTGTCCATGTGAGCAACCACAGGTGAACAGGGAGTCTGACAAATTGTGCCAATGTCTCAGGGAGAGACTGTACCACATCCCTGGCCATCAATTTATCCCCATGTCTCCATTATGTCAATGGCATGTGTTGAAAGGAGCCAGCCCCATAGCACTGAGCTCCCCAGCTCCCAAAAGAATCCAACCCATGACCTGGGCTTAAGAACTCCTCGCTCAATTAAATATCCATTGTTCTTGCACATCCAGCAACCATTCCCCATACATTTGCTAACAACACCTCAATTTTCCTTGGAGAAACCACTCTGAGCCCACATGGTTTGGGTGGTCATGTGACCCTGACCTGGCCAATCAGCATTGTGCAAACTTCTAGCCACTGAATGAGTTCAGAGGCAGGTACATGATCCAAGGAAATCCAGTGAGATTCAGTCTTGTCATTTCTGCTGAACCGACTGAGAAAGAGAAGCCTCCTTTTCATCACCAGCTATACGAATGACATAAATTTGGATTGTCACAGGTCACTCCTGAAGGGGTAGCCAGAGAAAGAGGCCAACTGGAAACAGGCAAGGAATGGAGAGAGACCAAGTCCTAATGTCTTCATTTGAGTCCTTGGATTTAGCCATACCTGAAGCTGTCCCTCCCAGATACTGCAGTTTTGTGAGCCAATCTCTTTCTTTGTGCAAGCCAGTTTTGAGTTGAGTTTCTGTCACTCGCAAACAGAAGATTTGTAGCTGCTACATTGTCTCATTATAGTCACTTTCTAGTCCTTACTTTCATGACCAAACTCAACCAATGCAGTACAAAATGTTTTTTTAATCAAACCAAATCTTCCCTGGCTGTAGGCCACCAGCTCCAAAACCAGAGAAATGGAAACATTTCACATTTGTTCCAGTGTGTAAAACCTTTCAAGCTAACACCTCCCTTCCATTCTGTCACTGCAATTTTAAAAATAAAATGGGAAATAAAGGTGTTTCTAAGCAACAAATTATATATGTAATGGGGGAGGGGGAGGAGAATTAGAAGGTTTAATCTAGGTAGAAACTATTCCCATTTCTTTCTGAAGTCACTACCTGCTTGAAACCTCCACAGGAGAATGAAACAAAGGTTGAGCTATTTTAGTTCTTCTCTGATATGTTGGTAATAAATGTATCCTAGAAATTCTTGAATAGTGATACCATAGGCAAATGAGTGAGACTACTCTGATAAAATAATTTGTTAGAAAAAATATGGCTTTGGATATTGTGTTAATTATCTGTTGCTATTTATGGATTACCACAAACTTAGCAACTTAAAACAATGTGAATTTTAATACAGACAGAGTTTCAATTTGGGAAGATGAAAAGGTTCTAGAGATAGACGGTGCTGATGGTTGCATAATCATGTGGATAGACTTAAGGCCACTGAACTGTACCTCTACAAATGGCACATTTATGTTATGGATATTTCACCACAATTTTTTTTTAAAAAAAGCAAATATGTCTCATGGTTCCCATAGGTCAGAAGTCCAGACACATCATGTCTGGGTTCTCTGCTCAGATTCTTGCAAGGATGAAGTCAAGGCATGCCCTGAGGTGTGGTCTCATCTGGAGCTCAGGATCCTCTTCCAAGATCACTCAGGTTGCTGGCAGAGTATAGGTCCTTGCGCTTGGAGGACTGACATCCTCATGCCCTTGCTGACTGTCAGCCAGGGGCTGCTCTCAGCTCTTAGACACCAGCCACATTCTTGGTGACATGCCCCCTCCATCTTCAGAGCCAGCATGGAGAATCTCCCTCTAGCACTTCAAACCCCTCTAACTTCTCAGTCTCTGGCCAACAGACTTTCATCTAAAGAGCTCCAGTGATTAGATCATGCCCATCTGGACAATCTCACTTTGTTAGTTCAGGTTGCTATAACAAAGTACCACACACTCAAGGCTCATAAACAACAGGGACTTATTTCTCACAATTCTGGAGGGTTGAAAGTCTAAGGTTAGGTGTCAGCTTGGCCGGGTTCTGGTGAGGGCCTTCTTCTGGGTTGCAGATGGCCACCTTCTCACTGTGTCCTCACATGGCAGAGAGAGAGTTAGCTAGCCTTCTAACCTCTTCTCATAAAGGCACCAGTCCCATCATGAGGGGTTCACCCTTATGATCTAATCACTTCCTAAGGTCCCCACTTTCCAGTGCCACCGCATTGGGGATTAGCATTTCAACGTATGAATTGGCTGGGGGACGGGGAAGGATTAAGTGGTATGGAGACACAATTATCTTGTCTTTAACACTCTCTCTATCTTAAATTCAACTGTGCCATAAAACACAATCCAGTCTCAGGAGCGATATTCCTCATATCCACGGTCCTGGAGATTACACAGGGCATGTGTACCTTCAATTCTGTCTACCATACATGCCTTGAACTCCAGTGATTCCAATCATAAGTATACACTCTGGAGGAAGTTTTGCATTTGTACACAAGGAGATGTACCAGGACACTCACTGTAGTATTGTTTACCGTGGCAAGAAACAGCAAGCAGCCTAAATGCCCATCAGCAGGAGGACAGATGAATATTCCGTGATATATTCATATACCAGAATACTATGCAGCAGTGAAATAAACTACAGCAATATAGATCAGCACAGATGAGTCCCACCAACGTGGCAAGATGAACACATTGCGGAAGGATATGTTTAGCAAGATGCCATTTATATAAAGTTTTTAAACACACACAATGCCTCATGTAGTTTATGATTACATATATGGATAGCAAACTTAAGAAAAATTGCTAAATTCAGGCAGTGGTAATCTCTAGGGAGAGCGAGAAGGAAGGAAATCTGGGAGGAGTCTACAGGAGCATCGATTGTAACTGTCAGGCTTTATTTCCTCGGTTGGGTGGTGGGTGCACGATATTCATTAAAATATTCTCTGTGCCTCTTTGCATGCCTGGAATATTTCATGATTTTGAAGGTAGTAAGGTTTCATAAATCAATAAGAGCAGAAAGTTGAAAGTGAAGCTCTAGAATTGCCTGCTGTTCAGAAGCTTCGGCAGTTGGGTAATTCCGATGCGTAATGAGCTACTTGAATGAATTACGGCCCAAACTCAGCCAAGATTCACGGACGGCTTTCATTTTGTTCCAGTTTTGGATTTTAAAACATACCGACTTTGTAGGCTCTAATGAAGAAACAATCACCACTAGAAAAACACACACGGCATATCCAGGCTTCCTCTTGCTGACATGGTATATCTTTGATTTAAGGGGGACATAAAGCATGATGGATTATAATTGGGGGATTGAAGAGCGCCCAGATATGTCAGCAGCATGACTAGGGGATAAATTGTCCAAAAGCCTTGGAAACCTTCCCAAGGTGAGGACTTTTGAGACTGCTGTAGCATGAGAAACACTGCTTCCCTCTGTCCAGAGACAGTGTGGCCCGATGGTTGAGCCCATGCACCCTGGAGCCACTTGGGCTCAGATCCATGTTTGGCCACTTCTTAGCTGTGTGACCTCAGTCAAGTGACTTGATGTCTCTGTGCCTCAGACTCTGTCTGCAAAGTGTGGCTGATGAAAGTATCTACTTATGCATCTGCTCTGAGAAGTAAATGTGCTAACACGTGTAATGCAGCTAGAACCAGCCCAGCATGTGGCAGGTGTGTGATCCATGCCACTATTGTTATTCTCTGTCTGGGTTCCATTGTCAAATAGTGTGGACCTCCAAATACAGGGGTGGGTAGAACCCATGCCAGAACTAGACTTCCTGGTTTCAAATCCCAGCTTCACCACTTAAGAGTGATGCAACCTGGAGCAAATCATGTGTACTCCCTGAGCCTCAGTTTTCTCTCCTGTAAAATGGGGATGATGATCATGGCAGGTGGGTTCTTGTGCCGATTAAAGAAGTTAACACAAGGAAAGCACCAGAAGGGTGCCTTGTGCCACCGCTTTTGAAATAACAATTCTATCTTCATTTTAGGAAGAAGAGAAGAACCTTCTTGAAAGGCCAGGTTGTTCAGTGTTTGTGTGAGTTTGCTTATTATAAATATATAAATACTTCAGATTCCTTTGGCAGAGAGTATGGGACTCAGAACCCACCTCAGCCAGGAAGGGGTCAGAACCCCTGAGCCAGAAGTACAAGACACACATTGCTGAGAACACTCCAGGTCAAGCCCATCAAAGCTTGGACAAATTCTCTTAAGAATAGGTAAGGTGTGGTAACTGCTTAACTCCTTGCAATAAGGTTTAGAAAACTCAGCGTTGCCTACGAGCCAACCCCAAGCCACAGTCCCCTGCTGCCTCTGCATGGCACCGCCTGCCCTTTGAGCTTGGCCACAGCCCACCAGCCAACTACCATCAGCAGCCTGGGGTAAATTTACAAGAAAACTCCCACCCAGCACCCCACTGTGAGGAATACCCCTAAAACAAAAGTTCTCAACCAGGGATGATTTTGCCCCCAGGGGGACATCTGGCAATATCTGGTTGTCACGAATTTGGGGAGTGAGTGGTACCGGCATCTAGTGGGAGGAGTCCAGGATGCTGCTGAACATCCCACGATGCGCAGAACAGCCCCCTGCAACAAAAAACTATTTTACCCCAAATGCCAAGAAAAAAACCTAAAAATACAAGCGTAACATGGTCCTAGATGTGATTCCAAGAATACCCACACAGCATGCCCATAGTAACAAAAAAGCTGGAAACAACCAAAGTAACCAGCAATATGAGATGAGTTACAAAAATAAGTGAATAAGTGATGCACCATCCCTGCTGCAAAGCTAGCAGCTCTTTTTTTTTTTTTTTTTTTGAGATGGAGTCTTGCTCTGTCGCCCAGGCTGGAGTGCAGTGGCGCGATGTTGGCTCACTGCAACCTCTGCCTCGGGGATTCAAGCTATTCTCCTGCCTCAGCCTCCTGAGTAGCTGGAATTACAGGCGTGCACCACCACACCCGGCTAATTTTTGTATTTTTAGTAGAGACGGGGTTTCACCATGTTGGTTAGGCTGGTCTTGAACTCCTGAGTTCATGATCCGCCCACCTCAGCCTCCTAAAGTGCTGGGATTACAGGTGTAGCTGGCAGCTCTTTAAAACAGAAAGAGGCCGGGTGCAGTGGCTCACACCTGTAATCCCAGCACTTTGGGAGCGCAAGGCTGGCGGATCACCTGAAGTCAGGAGTTTAAGACCAGCCTGGCCAACATGGTGAAACCCCGTCTCTACTAAAAATACCAAAAAAATTAGCTGAACATGGTGGTACCAGGCACCTATAGTCCCAGCTACTCAGGAGACTGAAGCAGGAGAATCGCTTGAACCCGGGAGGCAGAGGTTGCAGTGAGCCGAGATCGCGCCATTGCACTCCAGCCTGGGCGACAGAGTGAGACACTGTCTCAAAAAAAAGACAGAAAGGGATCTCTATGTGATGTGCTGGGACAAAGATCTAAGAGGTATAGAATAATGTGAAAAAAGCAAGATGCATAATAGTGTAAGTAGTGTGTTCCCTAGTATTTTTTAGAAGGGAAGGTATAATTCTGGCATGTGCATTTGTTTGTTCTGGAAGCGATCCTCTAGAACTGTAAAGTGGTTACCTTTGGAGAGAGACTATGCAGGGAGGTTTCATTTTTGTTTTGCATCATTCTGTGGTTTGCGTTTTTTGTCCTTCTACTAATATTACTTGCATTTTCTGTTTAAATGTCAAAACAGAAAAAATTCATCCCTTGAGGTTATTTGGGCAGGGAGATTAAGGCCCTTTTTGTTTTCATCTGAGTATTGGTCTACATGTGCTTTAAAAGCTTGGAAATGGTACCTTTAAAAATAGTTACTTAGGTGCTAGAGAATGAAATAATTTAAATTATGTGTACTGTAGTAGACAGAATTAAATGCCTCCCCCAAAAGATGCCCACGTCCCAATTCCCAGAACCTGTGAAGATGTTACCTTACATGGTAAAAGGGACTTTGCAGATATGATTAAATTAAGGATCTTGAGATGGGAGATGATCCTGTAGTGTCCAGGTGGGCATGATGTCATCACAAGGGTTCTTATAAGAGGGTGGTGGGAGGTCCAAATCAGAGGAGACGGGGCCACAGAAGCAGAGGAGGGAGGGAGGAAAAGGTCGGGGCAAGGCCGGGGAGATAAACAGAGACAGAGAGAGATGGAGAGGGAGGCTGATTTGAAGATGCTACCCTGCTGGCCTCAACAATGGAGGAAGGAACCATGAGCCAAGGAATGCAAGCAGCCTCCAGAAAGCTGAAAAAAAAAAAAAAAGAGGAATTCTGGCCAGACCTGGTGGCTCACGCCTGTAATCCCAGCACTTAGGGAGGCCGAGGAGGGTGGATCACCTGAGGTCAGGAGTGCGAGTCCAGTCTGGCCAACATGGTGAAACCTCGTCTCTACTAAAAGTAAAAAATCAGCTGGGTGTGGTGGCACACACATGTAGTCCCAGCTACTCGGTAGGCTGAGGCAGGAGAAGCACTTAAACCCAGGAGGCAGAGGTTGCAGTGAGCCAAGATTGTCCCACTGCACTCCAGCCTGGGCGACAGAGTGAGACCTCATCTCAAAACAAAAAAAAAAGGAATTCTCTCCTAGAGCCTCAGAAGGAACACAGCCCTGCTGACACCTTCATTTTAGCCCAGTGAAACTGACTGCAGGCTTCTGACCTCCAGAACTATTATATAAAATAATTTATCTCTGTTGTTTTAATCCACTAAATTGGTGGTAACTTATTATAGTGATATAAAACTAATATTTATTATTTTATTATACTAATATTTATTATTTTATTATATTTTCCCACCAAAAGGTGTTCCTGCCAAATACTTCACCAGATCCTTGAAGAACCCAGAGTCAGGCTGGTATCCCATTCTCTATATGTAGAAACTGAGGCACGGCACTATTCAATGACAGTTGCCCATGATCATTCAGTTACTTGGTGTCAGAGCAAGCAGCAGGGCTTAGTTCTGTGCCAGTGCTCTCCCTGACACACAAAGGCAGAAGAAGGCTGTACCCAAGAGCATGAGTTCCGGAGGCAGAATGCCTGGGATTATGTGCTGGTTCTCCCGCTACTGGCTGTGTGATCTTGGGCAAGTGAATTAACTTCTCTGTGCTTCTCTCTTCTCATCCGCCAAACAAAGATAAAATAATCCCTGCCTTAGAAGGCTGTGGTGAGGATGAAAGGTATACATGTAAAGTACCTGGCGCTAGGGTGACCTCGATAAACATATGAGGATGATTCATTTCGAGTTAATGGGGAATTGAGCATGG